>NC_000004.12:3893527-4200023 GCF_000001405.40 Homo sapiens
GCAAGGGCTGACAAAGGCGAGATGTACAAATACCAGCCTAACAACTTTTCCAGTGACTCCTGACCTCGATGGGTGGTTTCTTGCACAGCCAGTACAACTGCAGCTCCTAGCAGCTGTGGCGCAGCTACTGTCCCATCTGGTAACCGAATCCATCCTTCCTCCATCACTTGTCCTTCCCTCTACCTGGAGAAAGTCCTTCTCTTCTTTAGAAGAAGTAGGTCCGAGATCAGGTGCTTGAGGGAGCACTGATGCCCAGAAGGGGGCAGATGCTGCTTTTCGAGCCTCTGAGCCAGCGCGGGAATTCCCCAAACCCAGCAAGGTGGAAGCTCGCTGGTGTCCCCTGCAATGCATAACTGCCACCTTGTGGGGTTTCCACACTGCTTCTAATCATTGCAAGATTTCTTGTTGATATTTTCTGTCTTTTTCCCCAGAGTTCAATAGGCCCTTTTCTTTCTATCACACTCCATGCACTTGAAGGGTTCAAAAGACATACCGAGAATCAGTGTAAATGTTGACAGTCTCACCCTCACTGAGTTCTAAGGCCCGAATGAAAGCAATGAGGTCAGCTTTCTGGGCTGAAGTGGCCTGGGGCAATGATCTGGCTTCAACAACAGTGTCCAGGGTTGTCACTGCATACCCTGCACCTCTCTCTCCTTGGGGGTTGAAGAAGCTGCTCCCATCCACGTATAGTTCCCAGTCTATGATGCCCAAGGCTGGCGCCGGAGGTCAGGTCTGCTAGAGTCAATGGAGTCCAACAATTCTACACCGTCAGGCTCGACACGGCTCTCTGATACTCGGAGCAAGGTGGCGGGGTGTAGGGTGTTACAAACTTCAATGGTTATACGGGGATTTTCACAGAGCAAAGTTGGGTCCTTGGTGAGTCTGGCATTCGTTAGCCAATGATGTCCTTTAGTATTCATTAAAGTCACCACAGCACGGGAGGCCTTCATGCTCAGGTTTTGCCCAAGAGTCAGCTTATTTGCTTCTTGTACTATCAGGGCAGTTGCTGCCAAGGCCGTCAAACAGGGGGACCATCCTTCAGAAACCCCATCTAGTTGTTTAGAGAGGTAGGCCACCGGCCTCGGCCAGGGCCCCACAGTTTGGGTTCAAAGTCCAGCTGCCATCTTTTCTCTCTCTGATGCATACAATGGAAAAGGCTTTGTCAGATCGGATAGCCCCAGGGCTGGGGCTGCAGAAGTTTTTCCTTTAACTCATGAAAGACTTGCTGTTGTTGGGATCTGCATTCCAAAGGTTCCCAGTCCCCGCCTCCTTTGTGACCTCATACAAAGTCTTGGCTAATACTGCAAAGTTTGGGATCTGCAGTCTACAAAACCCCACAGCTCCTAAGAATTCTCTCACCTGCCTTCTGCTCTTAGGCTCTGCTAGATTGCAAATGACCTGCTTTCTTTCCGATCCCGGGCTGCGTTCCGACCCCTGTCCGATAGTAAATCCCAAGTAACGTACCTGCTGTGGGCAGATCTGGGCTTTCTTCGTGGACATCTTCTACCCACAGTCCTCCAGGTGCCGGTGTAGGGCATCTGTTCCCTTGGCACACCCGACTGCCGTGGGGTGTCCCAGCAGAAGGTCATCAACCTACTGGAGCAACACGCAGCCTAGGTCTCTGCTGGGAAACTTCTGGAGGTCTCGAGCCAACGCCTCCCCGAAGATGGTGGGGGAGTAGTTGAACCCTTGGGGAAGCTTGGTCCAAGTGTACTGAGTAGTGATACATGACTCCGGATCTTCCCACTGAAAGACAAACAGCTTCTGCCTCTCAGGGGCTACTCTGAGAGGAAAGAAAGCATCTTTCAGGTCCAAGCAGGTGAACCCGCTGTCCTCAGCTGGCAGCAACCCCAGCAATGTGGACGGGTTAGGTAGTGTTGGATGGAAAGTCAGTGTAGCTTGATGAAGCAAGCGCAAATCCTGTACCGGCCGGTAGTCCTCTGTCCGTGGCTTGGGAACAGGCACGAGGGGAGTGTTCCATGGAGACCGACAAGGAACAATAATTCCAAAAGTTCTTAGGTGCTTGAGACGGACCTGGATACCTTGAAGGGTTTCTGTGGGGACCGGGTCCTGTTTTTGCCTCACCGGCTGGGCCCCAGTCTTAACTGGCCAATCCCGGAGGGTTGTCTTCTGCCCGTACTCTTGGCCACCGCTTAGCCAGAGCTGGTCTTCTCTCTTGGCCCGGCTTAGTTCACAACAGTCTCCATTCGTCCTCTCGGGGACCATAAGGGTCATAATGACTCCCGTTCCGGGTAACTTGAGTAGCAAAGAGCCATGCTCTGTCAAAGAGATAGTGGCTCTCAGCTTGTTGAGCAAGTCCCTTCCCAAAAAGGTCAAGGGACAGTCAGGCATGTACCAAAACTGATGAATGACTTGATGTCCTCCTACAGGACAAGTCCGGGACAAGCAGAAAGCTTGCTTTGCTGAAACCCCCGTGGCTCCGATGACGTCAATAGTCTTTTTGGATAAGGGGGCGACCGAGGCGTTTACTAGCGAATGTTCAGCACCGCTATCTACAAGAAAGTCAATGTTTCCACCCCCGACTGTCATTCTGACCAGAGGCTCTTTGGGGACGCTTGAGCCCGGTCTCCCTCAGTCCAAGAACCCTTCTGCCAGGTTGAGCAGGGCCCCTTCCTCCTTGTCCGGGGCCTCCTGCTCTGAGTCACCTTGTTTTCTTTTGAGCTCAGGGCATTTGTTCTTCCACTGTCCTATTTCTTTACAATAAGCACACTGGGTACGCTGCAAACTCTGACAGCCAAGCTGAGTTTCCTTCCCATGGCCCCCCTTCCCTTGCCTCTTTGGGGGGACCCCTCTGATTGCCGCAGCTGACAAACAGGGCGGCTTGTCGCCGGGCCTGTCCTCCATTCTCTTTGCCATTTTCCTTAGGGCTTACTGCATCCCTGTTTACAAACACCTGGCTAGCTATTTCTAGTAATTGGGATGGATTCATCCCTGCAAGCCCAGCCTGTTTCTGCAGTTTTCTTCTCATGTCTTCTGCGCTTTGACAGACTAAAGCCATGGGAATCATGAGCTGATTTCAGGGCTATCGAGATCAAAGGGAGTATACATATGATAAGCCTCACACAGTCTCTCGTAGAATTGGGCTGGACTTTCTTTTTTTCCCTGAATGACCTCAGAGAGCTTGTTAATGTTTGTGGCCTTCCGAGCTTCCCTCATGAATCCTTCCAAGAGAGCTTCCCTGTCTCGGTTTAGCCTGTGCATATCCTCTCTTTCATGTGGGTCCAAATGGGGGTCGGTTCCTGGGGACTGGGTCCTTCCATACTCTTGGGGGTTTTGATAATCAGCTGGAGCATGTTCCTCTAGCCACTTAGTTGCTGCTTGGAGGACTCTCCGCCTGTCTTCGCTGTTAAAGAGGAACATGAGCAACTGGTGCCAATCAGCCCAGGTGGGCTTGTGGGTCTGGATAACAGTTTGGAGCAAATCAAGTAGGGCTTGTGGCTTTTCGGTAGAGGGTGGTGTAGTGTTTTTCCAGTAGATAAGGTCGACGCAGGTGAAGGGCTGGTACCCAAAAACACGCCTCTCCACCACGTGACCATCCTCATCTATCGCAGTATACCCCTGCTCTCTCAGGGGCATTTGTGTCCCCGTTTTGTGTCGCAAACGAGCTGCCGAGGGAGGGGTGGAATGGCGCAATGCGACTTACCGCAATTAATAATCTCAATTATTAATTGACACTAATAATTATCAATATTAATAACCCATAATATAATTTTTAAAATCAATACCGATAATAATGATAATTAATATTAAACAGTTATACTAACGATCACAATAAATGATTAATATTAATGATTAAAGACGCCTGACATTAATAACTGATATTGATCTTATTCATTAGAAAACAGTAATATTAGCCCCTAATAATATTAATATTAATAAACAGAAAACTTTTTATTAGCAATTATTTGTTAATATTGATATTAATATCGGTTATTCATATTCATGTTAACAATAAATGAGGAATAATTCATACTAATATTACGTCCTAATACCTCAGTGGGTGCACACCCACCTGTGATATTGCTCCTCATGTCCAGGGAGGGAGAGAGTATGATATTACGTTTAATATCGCAGTAGGTGTACACCCAGCCGGTGATATAGATCCGAATATAATCTCCAGGGGGTGGAGTATGACGTTACTCCCAATATAGCACTGGGTGTGCATCCTCCCGGTGATTTTGCTCCTAATATTCAAGGAAGAAGAGAATGCTATTACTCCCAACATCGCAGGAAGTGTACACCCCCGTGTGAGATGGTCCTTAAAAATATTCCAAGGCGGAAGGGGTGATATGACTACATATATGGCAGAAAGTAGACACCCCCAAGGATATTATTCCCATGATTCTGAAGGGAAGAGGATGATATTACTTTCAATATCACAGAAGGTGGACACGCCCCCACTGATATTGTTTCTAAAAGCAACGTGGGAGAGGAGGACATGACACCCGATATCCCAGGGAGTAGAAAGACCCCTATGATAGTGTTCTTAAAATACAAGGAGGAAGAGGATGATATGACTCCCAATAAAGACGGGTGTACAACCTCTGTACACCAAGGGTGTACACCCGTCTGTGAAACAGTTCATAATCTCCAGAGTGGGAGATGATATTACTCACAATATGACAAACAGGAGGTGAGTCCAGCGCGGATCCTAAGAGCCAGGGGGGCAAGAGGGGCTGGCTCTTACTCCCCGCATCGCGGGGGGCGCCTCGCCCCCCTGCGATTTAGATCGTAATATCCGGGGAGGAGAGGCGGGTGCTACTACTCCCCGCATTGCGGGGGGCGCCCTCACCCCCCTGCGTTGTGGCTCGTAATATCCAATGTCGAGAGGGGGTGATATTACTCCCTTTCTCCTATTATATTTTCTCTACTGCCACACTTAGTTAACACCCCGGGACATTATTTTCCATATTCTAGGATGGTGTCACTGTTTAAGTCCCAGGGGTTATACACCCTGTGATATTATTCGTGGTATTGTTGCGAAACGTGAATCCTTATTTCACATGTCTCTACACACTCTGATATTATTCGCAATGCCCTAGCGGTACGGTAATAATAAGGTCACAATGTGTGTACAGCTTGTGCTATTATTCTTCATGTCCTACGGGGAGGTTGATTTTATTGTCACACGGAGTATTTTCCCTTTCGTATGATTCGGAATATCCTGGAGGCATGTCACTCCTTATGTCACAGGGTTTGTACACCTTTTCATATTACTCGTATTACCCTTATAAGATGCCACTCCTCATATCAGCGAGGGTGTACACTGTATGATGTTATCGTCATGTTCTAGGGAAATGTTACTTTTAATGTCACAGATGTTGCACACCCTGTGAAATTATTCGTTATAATTTTGTGGGATGTGACTCCTAACGTCACACGGGGTGTACACACAGTGATATTCCGTGTAATCTTCTATAGAAATGTTACTCGTAAATCACAGGTCCTGTACACCCTTTAATATTCTTCGTCTTATTCTAGGAAAACGTGACTACTAATGTCACAGGGTGTGTAGACCCTGTCAGAAAATTCATAATATCCCAGTGGGAGTTCACTACTAATTTCGCAATGCTTGCACACCCTTTGATATTGCTCGTATTATCCTAAAGAGATGTGACTACTGATGTCCCAATGCATGTACATTCTCCGATATTATTCCTTATATCCTCAGGGGATGTGACTTCTAATGACACACGGCGTGTAGTCCCTGTGTTCTATTTCATAATATCCTAGGGCAATTGCACTGTTAATGACACAGGGGTGTCATTATTATTATGATATTATTCATGATATTGTAGAAGGATGTTACTCCTAACGTCACAGGGGTGTACCCCCTGTGATAGTATTCATAATTTCCCTGGGGTCTATACTCCTAATGTCACAGAAGATAACACCCTGTGACATTATTTGTAATATTCTGGTGAGATGATTCTCCTTATATCACAGGAGGTGTACACCCTGTGATAGCATTCTTACTATTCTAGGGGGATGTCACTCGTAATGTCACATGTGTCTTCCTTCTGTGATATTACTGGAAATATGCTAGCTGGATATTACTTCTAATGTCACAATGTGTGTACGCCTTGTGATATTATTAGTAATATTCTGGGGGGATGTTACCCCTAACGTTACAGGGGCGTACACAGTGTGATATTGCTCCCAATATTATAGGGGGATGTTACTCCTAATGTCACAGGGGGTGTACAGCCTTCGATATTATTTGTAATCTTATAGAGAGTTATTACTTTAATGATCACAGTGGGTGTACACACATGGGATACACCCACTGGGATATTATATGTAATATCTTAGGGAGATATAACTCCTAATATCACAGTGGGTGTACCCCATGTGTGTACATCCTGTGATATTATTTGTAATATCCATGGTAAACATTATTTCTAGTATCCCACAGAGGGTACACCCTGTGATATTTTTCATAATATCATAGGGAGATATTGCTTCTAATAACACAGTGGCTGTACACCATGTGTGTACACTCTGTGATGTGATAGCTTATACCCTAGGGAGATATTCCTTCTAATATCAGAGTGAGTGTACACCTTGTGATATCATTCGTAATCTCCTAGAAAGATGTTGCTGCTAATATCACAGAGGGTGTGCCCCCAGTGACATCATTCGAAATATCCTAGGGAGATGTTACTCGTAATGTCACAGGGGTTGTACACCCTGTTATATTATTGTAATATTCTAGGGGGGCGTTGCTTTTAAAGTCACAGGGGTGTAAACCCTGTGATGTTATTCGTAATATCCTAGGAAGGGGTTACTCCTAATATCACATGGGTTATACTAGGAAGAGGTTACTCCTAATATCACACTCCTAATATCACACCCTGTGATAGCATTCGGAATATCCAAAAGTGATGTTTCTTTTAATGTCACATGGGGTGTACACCCTTTGATAATATTCGTAAGATCCCATGGATATATGACTTCAAATATAACATTGGGTGTACACACATGGTGTACACAGGGTGTGTGAACACCTCCTGTGGTATTATCCATAATATCCTAGGAAAATGGGACTCCTAATATGACGGTCTTTGGACACCCTGTGATGTGATTGGTGATATCCTAAAGAGATGTTACCACTAAGGTCACAATGTCTGTATGCCCCCTGATATTATTCGTTATATCCTCGGGGGATGTTAGTCCTAATGTCACACGGGGTGTACTCCCTGTGATGTTATTCGTAATATCCTAGGGTGATGTTACTTTCAATGTTACTGGGGGCATATATCATGCATATTCAACGCCTGTGATACTATTCCTAATACCCTAGGAGCATGTTCCTCCTAATGTTCACATGGGGTGAACACCATATGTGTACACCTGCTGTGATATTATTTGTAATATCCTAGGGGAGTATTACTCCTGATGGCACAGGAGATGTACACCATGTGTGTCAACCGCCTGTGTCATTATTCATAATATCCTAGGGGGATGTTCCCTTGAATGGCACAAAGTGTGCACAAAAGGTCACAGAAGGTGTGCACCTTGTGATGTTATCTGCAATACCCTAGAAGGATGTTACTCCTAATATGTCACAGGGGTGTACACACTTTGATATTATTTGTAATCTCATAGAGAGTTATGACTTCAAATATCACAGTGGATGTTCACACATAGTGTATACCCTGTGATATTATTCGTAATATCCTGGGGAGATGCAACTCCTGATATCACAGTGCGTGTACCCGGTGTGTGTACACCCTTGATATGAGTCGTGATATCCAGGGTAAATATGACTCCTCATATCACACAGTGTGCACACCCTGTGATATTTTTCATCCTACTTTAGGGAGATATTGCTTCTAATATCACAGTGGGTGTACCCCATGTGTGTGTACTCTGTGACAGTATATTCTATATCCTAGGGAGGTATTCTCGTAATGTCACAGTGGGTGTTCACCCTGTGATATCATTCTTATGTGACCTTGCTGCCTTTTTGAACCCACCCTACAAAAGGAATGGAACAGATAAGAAGGTCTTGAGATTAGACCGTGCTGCCGTGCGGCTGCCGCAGGACACTTTTCATATCCCTGTTTCTCAGGCTGTAGATGAAGGGGTTCAGCATGGGGGTGACCACCGTGTACATCACTGAGGCCACTGCACTCTTTCTCGGGGAAGATGACACATCTGAACCGAGGTACCCTCCAACGCCTGTTCCACAAAATCAGCAAACAACTGACAGGTGAGACCCACAGGTGGAGAAGGTTTATACTTCCCACCTGATGATGAAACCCTCAGAATGGAGGAAACAATTTTACTCCATTGTAAGAGAAAAGGTCCCCGAGATGGGAAGAAAACCAAATACAGCAGCAGGGAAATACATGTTGATGTTCCTGGTGAAGGTGTCACAACATGCAAGATGGGGGAGTTGAGAAGGTTCCCAGAGGAAATTAGGAATTTCCACATCTTTGAAGCAGGTCATTTGTAAGGCAATCAAGTTGTGCAGCTGGGAGTCTAAAAGACTGAGAAAAACAAAACAAAACAAAACAAAACAAAACAAAACAAAGACAACAAATCTAGGAAGGCACAGAATCACGGGCTCAAGATGGCTGAACGATATAGAGGGTGACAGATGGCTACAAACCGGTCATAGGCCATCACACTCAGGAGCATGTCTCTCTTCCATGCCTCCAAAAATGGCAAAGAGAGACATCTGAGTCAGGCAGCCTGCATAGGAGATGACTCTGCTGTGAGACTGGATGTCCACAATCATCTTGGCGACTGTGGTGGAGGTGAAACCGATGTCAGGCAAGGGCAGTTTGGAGAGGAAGAAGTACATGGGGGTGTGGAGGTGGGAGTCAGCGCTGACGGCCAGGATGATGAGCAGGTTCCCCAGCACCGTGACCAGGCGCATGGACAGGAACAGCCCAGTGACGACCGGCTGCAGTTCTGGATCCTCTGAGAGTTCGAGGAAGAGGAATATAGAGACATCTGTTAGACTCTGTGGGTCTCTATAGTTTGGACACCTTTTGCCTGGAAAAGAGGGTTGAAAAATCGGAAACAAGTAAACCAATACCCAGCATTGTGTCTGCATTTTGGTTATAAGCAATTCACAAGTAATGTTTTCAGATTTCAGAGCAATCCACACTCAGCAATATTTTGTAGTTCTGACAAGCTCAATTGCCTTATAATGCTTTCAACATCGATTGCTGTGTTATTCACGTCTTGCTGTACACACCTGCCTTAGAGACACTAGCTTCAAGAACGTTCCAAGAACCAGATCATCATATATAACAAATTGGTAATTGCTGGAAAATACAGCCTATCTTTTCCGAAGAACAAGATGTAATAAAACCATTGTCTTCACTTTAAGAAAAAGGTTATCCTAATTAAAGGAAATTAAGAACTCAAATATTTTATTTATTCTACTACATTGATACAAATTCCCTTGATTTAGAACATTTGTAAACGCTGTATAACAGCTGAGACCATGCCATCTGGAAATGAAATGAAAGTTGATAGTTCATAAGCAGAGAATAGGTCCTAGTGATTTCATCATTCTGTTTTCGGACTTTTCTCCTTCAAGAGAGTAATTGCTTACTCAAATCAGTGGGTCTTGTTTTAAAATTCATGGAAGCTCTAACTCCTGTCCTTAGCTTAGGTGGACTTAGAGTTTTCATCAGAAAGTTTGGCCGGATGCGGTGGCTCATGCCTGTAATCCCAGCACTTTGGGAGGCTGAGGAGGGCGGATCACGGGGTCAGGAGATCAAGACCATCCTGGCCAACATGGTGGAACCCCGCCTCTACTAAAAATACAAAAACTTCGCCCAGTATGGCGGCGCGCGCCTGTGGTCCCAGCTACTCGGGAGGCTGAGGCAGGAGAATGGCTTGAACCTGGGAGGCAAAGACTACAGTGAGCCGAAATCACACCACTGCACGCCAGCCTGGGCAACGAGAGCAAAACTCCGTCTCAAAAAACAAAAACCAAAAAGAATCAAGTAAGCCAAAGTCACGCTGATGACAGCCAATTTTGATGAAGCAAGGAAGGGTCAATTCAACCATTAACATAGATTTTGACTTTTGCTGTCTCCTATGTGCCAAGCAAGATATAGGCTCTGGGGAATCAGAAACCAAAGAGACTCACTTGTTCCTCTCACAGTACTCAGTACTTACTGAGAGAAGGACAAAACAAAATGTCCTGTCTGGAATGCAGGGAAACCAGAACTTCAGGTCAGGGGATATTTCCGTTGAATTGTGTGGAGTTGAAGTTGAAAATCTTAAGGAATGTATCTAAAATTCACTTTGCCTTTACTTTATGTATCCGTCACCTAGAGATCACGCAGCGGGCGCCCACGATCAGCTTAATCAACACTCACTTCCATCGGATCAACTGGAAATCAAGTCAGATGAGAGTGCTGAGTCTCAGAGGATGGACATCTCACCCCTTGCCATACAGAGAAGTAGAAAGGGTGGTATTCAAAATTCATGGCCAGACTCGAAGTCCCGGGTACTATACTCCCTGGACTTCCAACTCTCAAAAAGTTGTGGGTTTTTTTGGTTTTTGTTTTTGTTTTTGTTGTTTTGAGATGGAGTCTCGTTCCGTTGCCCAGGCTGGAGTGCAATGGAGTGATCTCGGCTCACCGCAACCTCTGCATCCCAGGTTCAAGCTATTCTCCTGCCTCAGCCTGCCAATTAGCTGAGATGACAGGCGCCCGCCACTACGCCTGGCTCATTTTTTTCTATTTTGAGTAGAGACGTGGTTTCACCATGTTGGCCAGGCTGGTCTCGAATTCCTGACCTTGTGATTCGCCTGCCTCAGCCTCCCAAAGGGCTGGGATTACAGGCATGAGCCACCGCTCCCAGCTTCCAAAAGTTTTAAGCAGAGCTCAGAGGTCTTAACCACAGGCACATCGGAGGAGCATTTTTGAAATGCTTTCCAGCTTCCTCAGTAGGAATGGAAGCCAAACTCCGAATTGATGACTCCTTGGAGGAAGTCGAGAGCTGTAAGGAAAGCCAGGAACAGGGGCAAGGGAGAGATGCGTCCCGAATGATCCTGTGCCAATTCTTTCTGGAATCCTCGATGTGATCTCAGCTGCCCTTTCCATACTTGACACAGTGATTCTGGCACCCACTGGTCTAGCTGTGGTCTACAAGGAACCCCCAAAGGGAAGGGCACAGTGAGCAGGGGCATCCGCCTGAGTGACGAGGATTTGAGAGGGCAGGTTGGTTACAGGGAGAGGACTGGCCAAATGCCATGTGTCTGCACTTAGACTGTCTGGTTCAAATTGGACTTCACCCTTTTTGACTTCATGATCTAGTACGAGTTATATGAAAAGGTGTTGCTCCTTTTCTAGTCTGTAAAATCATCCTGAAATGTGCACTAATAACGTGGAGACTACGCAGATGAAATGAAACAGGCTGCATAGAGCACAGAGCTCAGAGCCTGGCCTTTAGGAAGCCCTCAGTAAGAGTTCATGATGCCATGGTGTCTGTCGTCTTCCTCTTTATCCTCATCATCACCTTCATAATCTTTTTGTTGTTCTTAGGGAATAGTTTAGAGGTACTGATTCCCTGCTATCATGGGTGAGATGTCTATGAAAAGCACAACCAGTGGGGGAGGAAAGCAAAGTGTTGAATAAGATTTCTGAGATCCCCAGCACAACCAAGAACAGAAACTGCACAGTCTGCTGAGCGGACAGTTTGCACATTGGTCTCCTCCCATCTGCCCACTGCACTCTCCTGTTTGTCCTGAGGAGGAGGAAACCAAACAAGGCTCCCGACCGTCCCTCAACACTCACTTGAAGGTGTGCCCTGGCCCTCCACACCTGTGGGTATTTCTAGTTGGGTGGGATGAGACACTGAGGAAGGAAATAAGACACAGACACAAAGTACAGAGAAACGACAGTGAGCCCAGGGGACAAGCGCTCAGCATACTAAGGATCTGCACCAGCACTGGCCTCTGAGTTCCCTCAGTTTTTATTGATTATTATTTTTATTATTTTAGCAAAAAGGAATGTAGTAGGAGGGCAGGATGATAATAAGGAGAAGGTCAGCAACGAACATGTGAGCAATAGAATCTATGTCATAATGAAGTTCAAGGGAAGGTACTATGACTGGACGTGTACGTAAGCCAGATTGATGTTTCTCTCCACCCAAACATCTCAGTGGAGTAAAGAATAACAAGGCAGCATTGCTGCAAACATGTCTCACCTCCCAACATAGGGTGGTTTTTCCCCCATCTCAGAATTGAACAAATGTACAATCGGGTTTTATACCGAGACATTTATTTCCCAGGGTCAGGCAGGAGACAGTGGCCTTCTTCTCTCTCAACTGCAAGAGGCTTTCCTCTTTGACTAATCCACCTCAGCACAGACCCTTTCGGGTGTCGGGCTCGTGGACGGTCAGGTCTTTCTCATCCCACGAGGCCACATTTCAGACTATCACATGGGGAGAAACCTTGGACAATACGCTGCTTTCAAGGGCAGGGCTCCCTGTGGCTTTCCACAGTGTATTGTGCCCCTGGGTTATTGAGACTAGAGAATGGCGATGACTTTTACCAAGTATACTGCTTGGAAACATCTTGTTAACAAGGCACGTCCTGCACAGCCCTAGATCCCTTAAACCTTGATTTCATACAACACATGTTTTTGTGAGCTTCAGGTTGGGTCAAAGTGGCTGGGGCAAAGCTACACATTAACAACATCTCAGCAAAGCAATGGTTGAAAGTACAGGTCTTTCTCAAATTGGAGTCTCTTATGTCTTTCCTTTCTACATAGACACAGTAAGAGTCTGATCTCTCTTTCTTTTGCCTACACTCACTGAACTGCCCTTCCCCTCTCCTGGGCCATGACCACAGAGAACAGGTCCACTGTCCTCCCTGCGTGGTGCACCATGGATGCTCAGACTCCATCCTCAAGGCTGGCAAGAAGACAGGGTGAGACATGAGGCTCCTGATACAGGTGACGGCTGTGGAGCCCACAGGACTGCAACCTCACACTGCAGGGCTGGAGGCACAGACTGAGTATTTACTGTTCTGTGGCCTGGGGGGCTCAAGGCACAGAGCTCCTCATTAGCCAAAATCACCCAAGTTCCCCAACCTCTAAGGATTTCCTCATCACCATGCAAGAACAAGAAGAGAAAATGATTGTCCATAGAAGCTTTGGGACTCTTCCTCTAATCAGGAGAAAGCTGGTATGTATTATTCACTTCTTTCTTTTCTTTTTAAAAATCCAACTGCTTTAATTTTCATCTTTCATTATGGGAAAATATACCACGTATAAATATGAAAAATTATAAATATATATTAGTTCATATAGAATGGCCAGTGTAAACATTTACAGTTTCCACTCTTTTTCACTTTACAGTTTAATGACATTAAGTACGTTCACATTGTTTAGCAACCATCACCGCCATCATCTCCGGAACAGTTTTGTTTTTCAAAATGGAAATTGCACCCATTCACCAAGCTCTCCACTCCTCTCTCTCGCCCACCCCTGGGGGCCACCTTTCTAGTTTGCAACTCTAGGAGTCTAACTACTCTAGACACTTGATAGATAAGTAGAATCATACCGCGTTTAATTTTTTTTTTTTTTAGATACAGAGTCTTTCTCTGTCGCCCAGGCTGGAGTGCAGTGGCATGATTTTGGCTCACTGCAGCCTCCACATCGGGGGTTCAAGCAATTCTTATGTCTCAGTCTCCCGACTAGCTGGGATTACAGGCGTGTGCTATCACGCCCAGCTAATTTTTGTATTTTTAATAGAGACGAGCTTTCACCATATTGGCCAGGCTGGTCTCGAACTCCAGACCTGAAGTGATCCGCCTGCCTCAACCTCCCCAAATGCTGGGGTTACAGGTGCGAGCCACTGAGCCTGGGCATGTTTATCCTTTTGGGATTTATTTATTTCACTGACGATGATGTCTTCAAGGTTCATCCGTGTTGCGGCCTGCATCAGAAGTGCCTGTTTGCTTTTGTTGTTGTTTTTTATTTGGTTTTATTTTGTTTTGTTTTGCGTTTTCATGGAGTGTCACTCTGTTGCACAGGCTGGAGTGCAGTGGCACAATCTGGGCTCACCGCAACCTCCGCCTCCCGGGTTCGAGCGATTCTTGCGCCTCAGACTCCTTAGTAGCTGAGATTACAGGTGCGTGCCACCACACCAGCTAATTTTTGTATTTTTGGTAGAGATGGGGTTTGCCATGTTGGCCAAGCTGGTCTTGAACTCCTGACCTCAGGTGATCCACCCGCCTCAACTTCCCAAAGTGTTAAGATTACAGAATTGAGCCACTGTGCCCAGCCCAAGGACGTGTATATTTTCTATAGACTTTTGATGATAATACTTTGACAGCAAATATATTGTGACTATCTATATATACATATATATATATAGAGAGAGAGTGTGTGAGAGAGCGAGAAAGAGAGAAAGAGAGAGAGTCTCCCTTTTTCACACAGACTGGAGTGCAGTGGCACAATCACAGCATGCTGCGGCCTTAAATTTCTGGGCTCAAACAATCCTGTCACCTCAGCCTCCTGAGTAGCTGGGACTACAGGCATGTACTACCATGCCCGGCTAACTTTTTATTATATTTTCTTGTAGAGATGAGGTCTGACTTTTTTGCCCGGGCTGGTCTTAAACTCCTGGCTGAATGTGATCCTCCTGCCTTGGCCTCCCCAAGTGCTGGGATTACAGCTGTGAGCCATTGCATCTGGTGTGAAGCTGGGATTGCAGGTGTGGGACATGGCATGTGGTGTGAATATCTCCTGGTAACTACCTTGTACTTTCACTTTCATTAAGATGTCTTTCGACCTCATGAAATTATCTGAAAAACAGAGATGAAACACTGTTCTGCTCCATCTTCCCTGCAGGCACTTGGGCCCCATCCTGCTCTCTTGCCCCCTCTTCTAGTGAATGGCCAGATAGGAACTATTGCAGCTTTATGGGCCATGTGGTCTCTGTTGCAAATATAACAGCTCTGCTGTAGTAGTGCAAAAGCAACCACAGACCATATGGAAACCATCTTTCCTGCATGGCCTCTGTAATCTTTTAGAAATACCCGTTGGGTCACACCACTGTCTGACTTAAAACATATAGATGACCTCTTCCGTCTCCTAAGCTATTAGGTTGGTGCAAAAGTAATTGCTGTTTCCATTAAAAGTAATGGCAGAAATTGGCTGGGCATGGTGGCTCACACCTGTAATTCCAGCAGTTTGGGAGACCGAGGCAGGTGGATCACTTGAGGTCAGCAGTTTGAGATCAGCCTGGACAACATGGTGAAACCCCATCTCTACTAAAAATACAAAAATTAAAATTAGCTGGGGGTGGTGGCATGTGCCTGTAGTCCCAGCTACTTGGGAGGATGAGGCAGGAAAATGGCTTGAACCTGGGAGACGGAGGTTGCAGTGATCCAAGATCACACCAGTGCACTCCAACCTGGGTGACCAAGACAGACTCTGATAAAAAAAAAATAAATAATGGCGGAAATCACAATTACTTTTGCACCATCCTAATAAAAGTCAAGTCCTGACCACAGCCTAGGAAGCCGGCTATGACCTGGCCCTTTTCACCCTCCCCAAGTTCAACTCCCGAGACCTTCCGTTTCCTCTCTGCTCCCCGCTCTGGCCTCCCATTCCTCACTCTTGTTGCATCAGATGCCTGCGCACCCTGGTGTTTCTGCATGTGCTCTTCTGTTAGCCTGGAAAGTTCTTTCCTCCCTCTTCATCCAGCACTACTAGATACCTCCCCCTGCCTTGGCCTAGCCAGGTCCCCTGTCATTTAGTCTCAGAGTATCTTGAATGTCTTCTTCACAGCCCAACTTACAATCCTCAGTCACTTGCTGAGTGGGTGCCATCCTTTCTCTCCACCTAGAATGCAAGCTCCCTCAGGGCAGGGGCTGGAACCGTCTTGTTCTTTGCCAAATCCCCAGTGCCATCTCTGGCACAGAGTGGGCATTATGAAAATATTTGCTGAGTGCATAAAAGGAGGGAATCATGGATTTGAGCCCTCGGCTTGGCGCCCTGGAGATGTGGCTCCATAAAATCAGTTCCCATTTTTTCTCTCTCCTCTTCTCCTGGGAGCTGGGTGTCTGGGTTCTCCTGCCAGGAGAGCTTCTCTCTCATAAGACTCCAGGTGCCTCTTGGCCTAGGCCTGCCTCCTGCTAAGTGAGACTCTTTAGGGTTAGTCTGCATCGACTCTGCTGAGATGCAGCCGCCAGAGCTGGGTAACATGGGCCATGTTTGGCAGGTCCCTGGGAAGGAGGCTTCCGAGTCATCTGGATCAACTAGTTTGAAGTTACAAACTCACCAGATGTTGGTCATCTGGAATCCTAGTGATGAGCTGGTCCAACCCCTCCTGTTGTAGTCAAGTCACTTGTGGAAAGCCACCACTTGGCTGGGACCCCAAGCTCAGGCCAGGGCTCTCTCCATGGTCCCAGGCTTTACACTAAGGGAATGTCAAGTGTTCTCCAGAATCACTTGGACTACTTTATACTTTTGTGTCTCCTTTTCCTATTCTGTATTCTGGAAAAACAGAGTTTTCCTTGTGATTGAACAGAATCTTCACACTGTGTTATTGCCGGCATTGTTTTAAATTTAGCCTTGGTTCATCCCCAGCTGGAGTGAATGACTTTCATTTGATCAGCTGCCGTATGCCCTTGGGAACCTCCAAAGGGGGTCCTATGGCCTTTAAGGCTCCTTTCCACTCTTAGATCCTGACTTGGGGCAAACACACACTCCAGCTCGTCATGTCCAGATAAGACACCCAGAGGCCATGGCGAGGGTTCCCCCTGTCGGGGCCCTATAGCGGTTGAGAGGATCAAGGCAGCAGTCAGGGCCTGATGGTTGTCCAGAGGAAAGCACAAAGCATACCGAGCGCTGGTCTGACAGCACTTAGGGGTGTGACAGAAACTTTCTGTCATGGAACCAGAGATTGGAGACCGTGGGAACACATCCGAATCCACATCTCCCTGACAAGGTGGTGCTGATCTCCAGTGGTCCTCCCTGGTCGGGGAATCACATAGCTCTGACTCTGGAGCGTGTTGTTGTGTTTCTCTTTCAGTATGAGCTTGTCTGTGGCCCTGGAGTTCCTCCCTTATGAAACAATAATGCCTCCCAACACAGGACATCCCAGGCTGCAAGCTTGTCCCTTCTGCCCAGCTTCCTTACCCCTTACCACAAAAGGTGCCCCAAAAGCCCACAGCAGGGCCTGCCAGAGGCTGACGACATATCTTTCACTGTCCCAAGGGGGCAGGAGCAGCGATGGAAATATTAGGCCACAAAAGGCATGCCTGCAGGCACATATGAGGGAAACACCCAAAGCCAGATGTCAATGAAACAGTAATTTGGTGGAGTAGGAGAGGTCATATTCTCATGCAAGACTGTCTAAATACATAAGTCTCCTGGGGCACAATCTGCCAAGGGACAATGGTTCATGCCGCGCCACCTATTACACTGCCTTGCTAAGAACTTCCAACACACACTTACACACAAAGATACACACGCACATATGCATGCACACACATGCATGCATACACACATGCACCCACACACACATGCAAGCACACATAGAGATACACACACACACACAAACACACATACAGATACACATACATACAGGCACACACATGCACACACACAGGTACACACACATGCACACAAACACACGAAGGCACACACATGCACATGCATACAGACACATGCACACACAGGCACACAAATACATACACACATGCACACACAGATACACATATGCACAGAGATACACATGCATGCACACACATGCAAACACACATGCACATGCAGACACATACGCACAATATGCACGCACATACATGCACACACACATGCACACATGCACACACAGATATACACATTCATGCACATACAGGCACACACATGCAAACGTGCACACGCAGATACGCATGTACACACAAACACACATGCACACACATACACATGCACACACAAAAACACACGTGCACACACATGCACACACATACACATAAAGATATACACATAAAGACGCACACATGCACACACAGACACATGCACACAGAGACAAACATGCACACACAGACGCACACACATGCACACATCCACTCGCACACACATGCTCACACATATGCACGCATGTGCACATGCACACACGCATGGACATGCTTACAGACGCACATGCACAATTGCACACATACACAGACGTGCACACACATACACATGCACACGCACACACATATGCGCATGCACACACGTGCACACACATGCACACACATATGCACAAGCACACACGTGCACACATGCACACGTGCACACGTGCACACACATGCACACTTACACACACACCACTCCTTTTCCATTTATCTAATTTCCAATTTCTTTCTATGAGCTTCCTCAGACTCACGTTCTTGATTCTAGAATGAATTCAGGGAGTAAGTCTGTATTATTGAAATGACAGTAAATTCAAACATGCCTAAGAAGCTTTTTCAATATTGGGGAAGCCATCTCACAGATCATTCAAATGACCCCAGGAGACATTTCACCAGGAACACTTGTTCATCTCCCTCTCCCTTCTGCCAGCCTCTGTGCTTTAATATCTGGGGACAAACCTCTCGATTTTGGTTTCTCATCTCTTTGTCCCCATGTACACTGGACCGCACTACTGTGTCAAAGCTACTTGCAGCCTGACCTGGGAAATGCACTTTTGAATTCACTCGATTTGCCACCTATTTGGGTGGTTTGGGCTGGAAACTGCCTGCTCACACTCTTGGCTCCCAGCTGCTCCTACTTTGGGGGTGCCTAGAGACCCCAGCTCATCCCGTGGGTCATATCCCCACAGTGGGGCCGGGGATGCGACTGAGAGTTGTCTGGGCACCTCTCTCCAGCAGCATGGAGGATGGCGCTCAGCACTGTGTGACGTTGGCTGTTGACCACTGCCTGTTCAGGTCGGAATGGCCCAGCCTGATGTCCACAAGCACCTCTGCGGCACACTGGCCTGCAGACCCCCGAGCACGCACTGCATGCTTCTCACCTGTAGAGTGGCCACCCACACAGCGATGCAGACACACCAAGAAAACCCACAGGCAAGCTCAGAGTCGCCTGTTCTACTAGGGCTTTGTGAGCCTCTGTGATTTGAGTCACGAGCTTCTTGTGGTGATTTCATTTAGGTAACATCCAACACAGTGTATTTAGAGACTCTTTCTCTTGGACATTATATGGAGGCGTGGCCAAGGCTTGCTGAGAGAAATGTCCCAACACACCCCTCAATAAAACCAAATAACAGCTCATCAACTCCTTACATTAAAAAAAAACTGACATCTTATAAATAGCAAATATTGGATGACAATAAGGCACAGGAAAAAGCTCATAAGCCCAGATCAGCAGTCATCATTCAATTGTTCCTTAGCTACTGACTGTGCACCTGTTCTGTACCAGCACCGCATCCTAGATGCAGGGACACCACACGAAATAAGATGACAAAGCACCTGCCCCTGTGGAGCTGAGCCACTAGCAGAGGAGACAGTCACTAAACGAATATCTCTATCCTGTGATTTCTGGGAATGATAATCACAAAAAAGGATAGAAAGGGATGGAGGAAAGCTAATTTAGACAACTCAGGAACAGAATGGGGAGGTGGTTGCATCCCTCAAAATTCAGAGTAGCTGGAGTGCAAGCCTTGTATTAGCTGAGCCTGAATCCTGGCCCTGCCGTTGTCCACGGTGTCCTCAGGCAAATGGCTCAACTCCTCTGACCACCGGCTTCAAGTGCAGAACAGGGGACCAGAGTCCCATCTCTCAGGGTTGTTGCTGTGGACTGAATTGTGTTCCCCCCAATTCACTCATTAGGAGCTAATTAACATTCAAGGAGGTCATAAGGGTGGAATCCTAATCTGATAGGATTGGTGGTTTTATAAAAAGAAGAGATGTCTCTGTCTCTGTCTCTCCCCCTCTCTGCCATGTGAGGACAAGCAAGAAGGCTGCTGTCTGCCAGCCAGGAAGACAGCCCTTACCAGAAAGGGATGGTGGATACTTTGATCATGAACTTCTGGCCTCCAGAACAGTGAGAAAATCAATGTCTGTTATTTAGGCCATCCGGTCTCGGGTACTTTGTTATGGCAGCTGGGCTGGCTGAGGCAGTTGTTGAGAGGAACCGACAAGGTAGTTGGGGTAAAGCACACAGCACGGCCACAGCTCACTGAGCACAATGTCAGACTCATTCCCCTTCAATTGTTATTCTCTGTCTGGAGGATTTTCATGTTGGCTTTTCTCCAATAAGCTCCCTGGGGTCTTTGTAAATATGGGGATATTTCTGACAAGAAAAATCCTTACGGTTCTTAACATTGACAATGATCAGGAACAGCAAGACATGAAAATGAGAAGGTGGCTAGAAAAGAGAGGACCCACAGAAGAAACCAACAACCACACAACACACACACACAGGAGGAATCCTAATGCAGGAGGAGAACAGAACATCAGGGGACCCCAAGACTGAACTCTGCATCTCATGTATTGAGATCATTCCCTGATATGGTTTGGCTGTGTCCCCACCCAAATCTCATCTTGAATTGTAGCTCCCCTAATCCGCATGTGTCATGGGAGGGACTTGGTGGGAGGTAATTGAATCATTGGGTGGGTCTTTACCATGCTGTTCTCATGATAGTGAATAAGTCTCACGAGATCTGATGGTTTTATAAAGAGGAGTTCCCCTGCACAAGCTCTCTTGCCTGCTCCCAAGTAAGACATGACTTTGCTCCTCATTCACCTTCCACCGAGATTGTGAGGCCTCCTTAACCATGGGGAACTGTGAGTGCATTCAACCTCTTTCCTTTATAAGTTATCCAGCCTCAGGTATGTCTTTATTAGTAGCATGAGAACAGACAAATACATTCCCTAAGCCTCTATTTTCCTCTGAGACAGGCTTAACCCGAATAGGCCTATCTTCACAGGCCTTGAATAGTAATACTGTTATGTGTTATATTAACATGTATTTTACTGAAAGTCTCTGGTTTTTATTTCTCTGAACATAGGCAGGCATTGCTGAAACTTGCAGATGACATTCCAAGATGCATTCTATCTTAAGCAGAGAGGGTGGTGAGGAAAAATTGTAGATACCTTCCCCTCAATGGAGAGGTCCCCATGGTGTGGCCGACCTTGGTATAAGCCTTTTTGCTCCGTTAATTCATGAGGGCTGAGTCTGATTCATACTCACGGGGAAGACTAACAAGGGAAGCCTTGGCAACCATTAGGAATAACACTCATGACCCAGAAAGTGGTTCTGTCTTTATGGGGCATCATCTGTCTTGTTTACTAAGTGACCTTCTGGCTCATTTTTCTTCCAGCCAGGGTTGGAATTCAATAATTCTAGTTCCTTCCCAAATTTTAGAGCAGAGAAATACATTCCTCCGGTTTCTACTTTTCAAAAGTGAATGACATCTGTGGAGCTCAACTCCTAAATAGTGTGACTTTGTCTGTTTATGTGGTTCTCTTGCTGACTGCCTGGTTGTGACAGTGCCTGAACTCAGGCCTCTGTGTTTCTGAATCTTAGAAGCGGTGGTTGGCATGTCAAACTTGAAGTCATTGTCCTTTAGTTATCTGAGTGTTATAATTGAACAGCACATTTATTAACAAGACTTTAGTAAATCCATCAGCTTTCTAGGAAGCTTTGATTCATTGACCTATCTCTAATGTAAGCAAAGGCTGCCAGAGAGTCACTAACAAGGATTCCATCTTTCCTCAGAACCTTCGATTCGCTTGGGTCGAAGTTCATACCTGTTTCATGAAAAATGCAAAACCAATTAATCACAGCTGTTCATAGTATGCCTATTCTAAGAGACCTCTGCTGTTCCTACCCCAGGGACAGCCAGAATAATTAAAAGTCACAGAAATCAAACAAATGGGCCTCTGGATAAATTATAGAAGTTTAACCCAGGAAGAGCACTTATTAAATAATAAGCAGTCCCCGAAAATATTAAAGTACAAAAAGGATTAGAAATTGTTTTAAGTGTTGGTTCCAACTTCAGGTGCTGGTCTTCCACTCCACTGCGGAAGGGAACAAATGGATTTTCCCATCCTAAAGACAGTGATATTCATCATGCCCCTTGGAGGCTTAATAACATCTCGTTTTATTTTATTTTAATTGTTTATTTATTTATTTATTTTTGAGATGGAGTTTCACTCTTGTTGCCCAGGCTGGAGTGCAATGGCGCGATCTCCACTCACTGCAACTTCTATCTCCTGGGTTCAAGCGATTCTCCTCCCTCAGCCTCCTGAGTAGCTGGGATTACAGGCACATGCCACCATGACCAGCAAATTTTTGTATTTTTATTAGAGATGGGGCTTCCCCACGTTGGCCAGGTTGGTCTCGAACTCCTGACCTCAGGCGATCTGCCTGCCTCGGTCTCCCAATGTGCTGGGATAACAGGCGTGAGCCACCACCCCCGGCCAATAATATCTCACGTTAAGCATGGAGTTGCTGTCCGCTGTGTGGCCAGAGATAAAACAAGCCTCCATTACAGAGGGAGGTGTTATGGGGCTACTTTTTTTTGGAAACTACAGCAAAACGTGAGGCAAATCCACTTTTAGATCCTGGTTACAGTGCTGGATGGAGCTTAGCTAGCCTGTGATAGGGTAGCCTGGTGGTGCCTTGGGGGACTCCTAGCCATGTCAGACAGGACAGATGCCTTTGAGGAAAGATGGCACAGTGCTGGCTCTCATGCCCCCACTGAAGGGGGACCAGGCTGTTTATGGATCGGGTGGGAACCCTGTTAGAAAAATAAGTGGAGGCTGGGTGTGGTGGCCTACGCCTGTAATCCCAGCACCTTTGGAGGATGAAGTGGGTGGATTGCTTGAGCCTGGAAGTTCGAGACCAGCCAGGGCAACGTGGCAAAACCCTGTCTTTAGAAAAATAATAATCATAGTTAATTAATTAGTTGATTTTTTTAAAAAAAGAAAGAGAAGTGGAGCTAAGGAACACAGAATATGCCAGAAAGCCAAAGTGACCAGCTAGAAGGACACAGAAGAACATTACCATAGTTCTCTCCGAGCTTTTGGACTAGGGGTGTTTCATGTGGTTTTCAAATCAAACATACTTTACTTTTATACTTAGGGGGGAAAGACCTAATACCTACAATAAAGGTAACACGAGACAAAACTCTCACCAAAGTCTAACATCTTAGATGCTCTACTGGGTCTCTGCGATTTCTATTAGGGACCCCATGGGTTTGAATTCCATTCTAGATTTGATAAGAAAATCCAAATGCTCAACCCCCTCAACCCCCCCACCCCCCACCCCATTTACAAAAGCCAAGTGAAGACTAAGGAGGGGCCGGGTGCAGTGGTTCACACCTGTAATCCCAGCACTTTGGGAGGCTGAGGCGAGGAGAACACCTAAAGTCAGGAGTTCGAGACCAGCATGACTAACATGGTAAAATCCCATCTCTACTAAAAACACAAAAATTAGCAAGGTGTGGTGGTGGACACCTATAATCCCAGCTACTTAGGAGGCTGAGGCAGGAGAATCACTTGAACCCGGAGGCAGAGTTTGCAGTGAGTGGAGATTGTGCCACTGCACTCCAGCCTGGGTGAGAAAAAGCAAAACTCCAAAGAAAAAGAAGAAAGAAAGGAAGAAAGAAAGAAAGAGAGAGAGAGAGAGAGAAGGAGAGAGGGACGGAGGGAGGGAAATAAAGAGAGAGAAGGAGAAAAAGAAAAAAGAAAGAAAGAGAAAGAGGGAGAGAGGGAGGGAAAGAAAGAGAGACAGAAAAAGAAAGAGAGACAGAGGGAGAGAAAGAAAGAAAGAAGAGGAGGAAGGAGAAGAAGGAAGGAAGGAAGAAAACGGAGAGAGAGAGAAAGGGAGGGAGGGGGGAGAAAGGGAGGGAGGGAGGGGGGGAGGAAGGGAGGGAGGAAGGAAACTAAGGAGGAAGGTGGCGTGTACAGAGGTACAGAGGTCCTCAGGTGCTACCCGGCACTGGTGCCTACGCAGTTTCCAATGGGCTCAGCTTTGCAAAAAGCTCATTGTGTAACCCAGGAAGCCCAAATTTATTTCTGAGCAGATGTCTTTTCAAAGTGATTTTCCTTTTAGGAAGTGAGAGGAGAATGAAGGGGAGGGTTATCCTAATTCTGATGTTAAAAAAGTCAAAACAAAATAAATTGGTCTTCATTGCAACTATTGGCTAAAGCACTATCATCACCAGGACCGTCACCTCAAACACAACTCCTGACAGCCCCTTCCATTCTAATCAAGGTGTGCCCAGCTGTGGTCACCCAGGGGCTGTTTACCTTTACTTAAAGAGAAATGCTGGTACTAAGCCATAAAAATTACCATATTCACCATCTTTCTGCTTCAAAGAAGGTTTTAGATTACCAATGGCTGGATCAATCACTGTGAGTATGTTCTTGGGAACTAAAAGCCAAAAAGAAATATTTTAAATACGTGGTATATTTTTAAAATGTGGACTCAATATATTTTTAAATGCAATGTAGATAAGATTTTAAAATCACTTTCCAAATCGGTGCAAGAGTCACTCCCTCTCCCTGTTAGATACACACACTTACACACAACCCAATGGTATCCACGTGATCATCAAATGCTCCAGAGAGGTGGTTTTAGGCCAATTTTGCAATATTTAAAAAATGGAGAATAAAAACAAGATATGATATATCCATCCAGCAGAATACACCTCAGTAATAAAAAGGAATGAAGACTCGGCATGGTGGCTTACACCTGTAATCCCAGCACTTTTGGAGTTCGAGGTGGACAGATTACTTGAGGTCAGGAGTTCGAGACCAGCCTGGCCAACATATTTGAAACCCTGTCTGTACTAAAAATACAAAGTTAGCTGGGCGTGGTGGCACACGGCTGTAATCCCAGCTACTTGGGTGGCTGAGGCAGGGAGAATTGCTTGAACCTGGGAGGCAGACGTTGCAGTGAGCGAAGATCGCACCACTGCATCCCAGCCTGGGTGACAGCGTGAGACTTCAACTCCAAAAAAAAAAAAAAGTGAAGTACTGATATGATACATGCTACAACATGGATGAACCTCTGAAACATTACATTCAGTTAAAGAAGTCAGCCGTGCACACACACACAAAACATCCATTGCATAATTCCATTTGTATGAAATATTCAGAAAAGGCAAATCTAGAGAGAAAGTAGATGCGTGGTTACCTGGGACCGGGGTGTTGGGAATGGGGCAGTGATGGCAAATGGGCATAAGGGAGCTTCGGGGGATTGTAAAAATGTTTTAAAACTGGAGGGTAGTGATGGTTGCACAACTCTAAATTTACTAAAAAGCATTGAATTTTATTCACGTGTAATAGAATTTTAAGAAAAATAAACAACACCTGAATAGAGTGGTTAACTCTGGGCCGGGCATGGTGACTCACGTCTGTAATCCTAGCACTTTGGGAGGCTGAGGCAGGTGGATCACTTGAGTCAGGAGTTCAAGACCAGCCTGGCCAACATGGTGAAACCCTGTCTCTACTAAAAAATACAAAAATTAGCCGGACGTGCTCACTTGAACCCAGGAAGTGGAGGTTGCAGCGAGCTGAGAGTGTGCCACTGCACTCCAGCCTGGGTGACAGAGCAAGACTCCATCTCAAAAATATACATATATATATGTGTATATATATATATGTGTGTGTATATATATGTGTATATATATATACACACACACACATATATACACACATATATATACACACATATATATACATATATATACACACACACAGTGGTTATATATAAATATATATATATATACCAGTGTGTGTGTATATATATATATATATCACAGTGTGTGTGTGATATATATATATATACACACACACACACACACACACACACACACACACACACACAGTGGTTAACTCTGAAGATGAGCTTCCCTGGACTTAGTAAAGCAAAATGACTGTGACCAACTCAAAATCCACCATTAAACTCTTCCAGCACCTGCTCTTCTGCTTTCTACCCCAAGCTCTTTGCCTCTGTGTTTCCATCGTAAATCTGGAAAGAATTCGAAGACTCTGTGTTAAAGTGATTTGCTAAATATTATCAGAAAGAACTACAGAAAGATGCAGAGAGGATGGCAGCGGGACCGAATCCTTTGAACGTGGTTTAAGACTCTGCTGAGACTGACGCTAAGAATAAGCCCTGAGATGTCAGAACCCCCAGGCAAAGCAGCTGGCAGATGACAACACCCGCTGAAACAGAGGGCAGAGCAAGAATTCTGCAGGCCAAGCACTGCCGCAGGCTGGGAGAAGGGAGTGGAAACCGAATATTCCTCCTGCATAAAATTGCTTATTTTTGTTTGTTCCTCAGCGCAGCTGAGATCTTGGAGATGTAGCAACAGGAAATGGAAAGAAAGCAAAAACAAACTGCAAATTCAATTGCACTGCTTTTTTAAAAAAGAACAAGTGAGACATCTTCAGCAGCAAGAAAACCTTGTTTCCTTTCTTGGAGGGCTTAACTAAATTCTTCTGGGGATGTCCCAGGATCAACAACCACAGGACATTCCTAGATTGTGAGTTTTCCATGTACAGGAGGCCCTGGTGCCTTCGTGCCCATCAGCAGCAAGGGAGACTTCCCAGGGAGGCCCGGTGAAGTTGCTGGAGGTGGCTGATGATTTCTAGGGCCTCGAGGAATGTCCCTTGGCTGTCCTCAGGGCACACCACTGATCCTGGGACCATGGCAGCTTCGGAGAGCTGAGCGGAGCTGCTGCAAAATGCTTTCTGCTTTAATTACCTCTCATTCATTTCTGGGCCCTGAGAAGGATGCAGTAGCCCGGGAAGTGTCAGCTCTCCCTGCCAGGGGTGGGACTTCTTTCTCATGTCTGCCTCTTGGCTGTTCTCAAACTGTGGCTTCAGGAGGGCCTTGGCTCTTGGCAAATGCCAGAGGCTTTACAGTTTGAGAAAGAATCAGAATTTTGAAGAGGAGCTCAGAGAGGAAGGTCATTCTAGGATGCACTTTGCAGAATAACCAGGCAGTGAAAAGGTGAAATTGGCTGTGTATGACACAGGCCACTGCAGGGAATGTGCCCCTCTACTATGGGAAATTGGTTCTGAAATCCAGAGAATCTCTTAGGACCTTTAAAATCACCGTTGTCAACACACTTGTCAGATTTTTGCATCTGCTCGTTTCAAACGGGTTCAGAATGAGGTCGGGGACAGGGGTGTGATTGATCACCGTCCTGCTCCACTTCAGATATGTTGGTGAGAACACTGGGGACCACTCTTCATGGCGCTCCTACTGTGTGCAGCACCCTGTTCTCAGCAGTTTAAACCAGGGCCATCTTCCTCCTCATCAACACCTTTCCTCTCCCACTCAGCAATCTCAGCGTCTCAGCCCCTAGAGTGCAGCTAGTGTGCATACCCTAGTGTTCACCCTACAGGATGGTTCTCTTTGGAAGACTTAAACCACCACCCCCAAGCTAAATTAGGCCCCCTCCACTGCTATAGTCTTCTTCCCTTTTCTAAAATAGCATTTGTCACAATAGGGCATGATGATGTGTCTGCCTATTTGGTTAATGCTTGCCTTTCTCCCTCAACTGTTCACCCCATGAAAACAGGACCGTGTCTTTTTTTTTTCTTTTTCTTTTTTGAGACAGAGTTTCACTCTTCTCACCCAAGGTGGAGTGCATTGGTGAGATCTCAGCTGACTGCCAACTCTGCCTACCAGGTTCAAGTGATTCTTCTTGTCACAGCCTCCCAAGTAGCTGGGATTACAGGCATGCGATACCATACCCAGATAATTTTGTATTATAAGTAGAGACGGGATTTCACCATGTTGGCCAGGCTGGTCTTGAACTCCTGACCTCGTGATCCACCCGCCTCAGCTTCCCAAAGTCCTAGGATTATAGGCATGAGCCACTGTGCCCGGCCAGTTCTTGTTGTTTTACTTATTTATTTTTGGCAGATTACTGTTTACAAGCATTTATACACACACACACACACACACACACACACACACACACATATGGGAGTTTATTAAGTATTAACATTCACGATCACAAGATTGTGATTGTGTTATTAAGTATTGACTTCCACAATCATATATATATATCCCATTATATATCCTATTAGTTCAGTCCCTCTAGAGAACCCCGGCTAATACCCATACAAAAGCACAAACTGAAAAGGGGGGGAGCCGCTCTGCCTTGGAGGAGCACATGTCCCTTTCCTGGATCCTCCTGCCATAGGTCACAGAGTAGATGTTGAGGAACTTGGATTCATGGCAGTGCAGTTTCAGCTCCTTGTCTTCACACACGGTTTTGTTTTTTAATTCATCTGAAGCAGAAACAAAAATTGAAGGCACCATCAGCTTCCCCCAGAAGGAATTGATGAGCTGTGTCCAAGTCCCACTGCTCATTTCCCCAGGGCTGCACCCTGAGAAGGGGGCAGTGGGGATGGCCCTGTGGGCTCATGCTGTCTCTGACCCCAGAAAACAAAGCCCTATGCAGGAAGCAGGTGGGAAGCAACCTGTTGACAAGGGCAAAGACCCTGGGAATGATACTAAGGGGCAAATGGAGGAGAGGTGCTGGCGTTAAGGAGGCAGACACATGGAGTTAGGTCCCAGGAAGGGCCTGGCTAGAAAGCAAGTTTCTCTCGCTCAGCACTTAAGGTCACACATTCCTTCACTGAAGGGGGCCTTTTCTCAAATGTTGGCTTGGGATCCACATAGGTAAAGACAGACCAGAAATTACTTGAAAGAAGCATTAAGCTTCTTTCTCTCTCTGGAGAGAGCCCAGTTAAACCTCACCTCCAGCCCCTCAGCTGGCATCCCCTTGTGTGTACGAATTATTTATTATGTTAGTTTAGCTTAGTTTTTTTTTTTGAGATGGAGTTTCACTCTTGTTGCCCAGGCTGGAGTGCAATGGCACCATCTCGGCTGACCGCAACCTCCGCCTCCCGGGTTCAAGCGATTCTCCTGCCTCAGCCTCCCGAGTAGCTGGGATTACAGGCATATGCCACCACACCTGGCTAATTTTTTTTGTATTTTTAGTAGAGATGGGGTTTCACCATGTTAGCCAGGATGGTCTCGATCTCCTGACCTCGTGATCTGCCCGCCTCGGCCTCCCAAAGTGCTGGGATTACAGCAGTGAGCCACCGCGCCAAGCATTAGTTTAGTTTTTTAGAGACAGGCTTTCACTCTGTTACCCAGGCTAGAGTGCAGTGGTGCAATCATAGTTCACTGCAGCCTTGAACTCTTGGGCTCAAACCTAGGCACAAGGGATCCTCTCGCCTCGGCTTCTCAAGTACCTGGGAATATATGAATGCACACCATGCCAGCTTACATTTATTTGTTTAAAAGACAAGAAAGAGGCCAGGCACAGTGGCTCACACGCGTAATCCCGGCATTTTGGGAGGGAGGCTGAGACAGGAGGATTGCTGAGCCCAGAATTTGGAGACCAGCCTGGGAAATGTAGCAAGGCCTCATCTCTAATTAAAAAAAAAAAAAGCAAGAAAGATGATATGATACCAAATAAAATCATTTCCTTTCCTAGGAAAAGGGCAAAAACAAGGCACGGTGTCAGTTAAGAATCCCTCTTTAGAGAAGCATGAAAAGTCTGCCCCAAATCTGGTAAATCCAGGAACAACTGACTGTCAAGCTGATGGTGCATTCTAGGTTAGGATGATTTGGACCAGGTTGTACTTTGTTCCTAAAGAATTCAAGGAAAAGTTTGTTTGTTTAATCTGCTTAATATAGTAAAATCTTTCTTTGCAATGTCATGCAAAGTTGGCGTTACGTGTGCAGTGTTGAAGAAAACATAGTTAATTGTTTTTTTAAAAGAATGTACTCCAAAACCATTTAATTAGCAAAAATGTTTAATAATGATTTGATTTTTTTTTTTTTGAGACGGAGTCTTGCTCTGTTGCCCAGGCTGCAGTGCAGTGGCTCGATCTCTGCTTACTGCAAGCTCCACCTCCCGGGTTCATGCCATTCTCCTGCCTCAGCCTCTGGAGTAGCTGGGACTACAGGTGCCCACCACCACACCCGGCTAATTTTTTGTATTTTTAGTAGAGACAGCGTTTCACCATGTGAGCCAGGATGGTCTGAATCTCCTGACCTTGTGATCCACCTGCCTTGGCCTCCCAAAGTGCTGGGATTACAGGCATGAGCCACTGCGCCTGGCCCTTTGAGTACATTTTCTAAGAAGTTGGTCATGAGTTCAGATGTCTGCCTCAAAGAGATACTTGTGGTTTCCATTAAAGAACCCACCTTCTCTTTCTACAGGAGTATTTATGGGAGATATGGGCCTGGAGGTTGGAATCTATCCTGGTTGTACTTTGCTATACTGAAGTAAGGAGTAAACCTACAAATAAATTCATATTGAAGTGTACAAAGGGGGCTCTACAATAGGTAGGAATTCTATTTAGTTTTGTTGGGTAACAAATCCTTTGAGAAGCAAATAATAGCTCACCTACAAATCTGGTGATCTGTATAAGTTGGGATTTTTCATGGATCAGTTTTGCTTGGATTAAACTATATAATCACAAATATATTTACACCCAGAGAGAGAGAAAGAGTGTCTGTTGAAACTGTATCATCTTAACGTGTCTATAAAAGGCAATACCTGGAAGGTGGTGGGTGCCACACAAGTTAAGCTGTCTTCCCTCTGGCAGGCAGGCTTCTGGGAACTACACATTGGGTAATCTTGTCCATAAAATGCCGATTGGACACTTATTGTAGAATGCCGAGGGCACTGTAGATTCAGATAGTCCCCATCACAGGCATAGGTGGTGTGGTTTTACAGGAGTTTGGTTAGGTAACCTGGAAAATATTCAGTCGGGTTACAAGAGGCCCAGGAACCCACCACCCCTCCTTGGGTTTGGGGACAGGAGGACGTTGGTTCCCCTGGGGAAGGGTTGTTGAGTTAACAACATGTGGGGTAGGGCCTCCCTAGAAGCTCTGGTGCAGAGGTCACCAAACCAGGCCCAGAGGTGGGGCACAGGAGCCAATGTCAGCTTTCATGTTGATATGGAAGGGGGGCAAGGGAATGCTGGTTAGAGAAGGGTGGGGTCCCTGGCAAGCGCTCCACCCTCGGGCTTGTGCCCTTGCACCTTAGTGAGAACAGGCACTCCTGTTTTCATGTCCAAATGTTGCATTTTCCAAGAATACTCTGGCCTGCTATGACCCCCATCCTGTGCCCATAAAAAACCCAAGACCCTAGTGGGCACAGACACAAGTGGCTGGACATCCAGAGGAGCAGAGAAGCAGAAGAGCACACTGATGGACATCAGCAGATGCTGGCAGGCTTTTGACAGTGGGGAGATGTGGAATTCACTTGGGGGCGGTTGGAGGAGAGTCTGGCTGCTAGGCAGCCCGACTCTAGGGGAAGACCACCTTCCCACTCCATCCCCCTTCTGGCTCCCCATCCATCTGAGAGCCACCTCCTCCACTCAATAAAATCTTGCATTCATTCTCCAAGTCCACATGCGATCTGATTTTTCAAGTACACTAGGGCAAGAACCCGTGATACAGAAAGCCCTCTGTCTTTGTGATAAGGCAGAGGGCCTAACTGAGCTGATTAACACATGCCGCCTGCAGATGGCAAAACTGAAGGATACCACTGTAACACATGCCCACTGGGGCTTCAGGAGCTGTAAACACCCAATTCCACACGCTGCTGTGGGGCCAGAGCCCAGAAACGCTCCCCACGACCTGCCCATCTGCACGCTCCCTCTAGGGGTTTGAGCAACAGGGTACTGAGAAGTGAGCCATGCCCCTGTATCATGCCCTGCAAGGGGGATAAGGGAACTCCTCCTGTTTCAATGTTTGGGTCAGAAACCTTGGTCTGGGATGGCCCAATGAATGGTTTGGAGGGCTCTTTCCCCTTCAGGAAGCACTAACGTATTGGCCAGGAGCCAAGAGGTCCTGAAGCACCTTTATAAACCAGGAAAAAAAATTGGGGTGAGTGTCCCATGGACGTGTGGATGACCATCCTGAGGGAGGCTTTCATTTGCTCATCTCCCACTAGGGAGGCCATGCCTTATTGAGATGAGAGGATGCAGTTTCATTTCAAGAAATCACTCTTGGCTCTGTCTTGGTGCTGGCAAGGAAAGACAGGCAGGTGCCCTGTGCAGAGAGGTGATGGTGGGGCTCTGCTGTGGGTTGAATGGTGTCCCCTCAAATTCACGTTCATCAGTGTGGGGAAAAGAAAGAGAGATCAGATTGTTACTGTGTCTGTGTAGAAAGTAGACATAAGAGACTCCATTTTGTTCTGTGCTAAGAAAAATTCTTCTGCCTTGAGATGCTGTTAATCTGTAACCCTACCCCCAACCCTGTGCTCCCTGAGACATGTGCTGTGTCAACTCAGGGTTAAATGGATTAAGGGCTGTGCAGGGTGTGCTTTATTAAACAAATGCTTGAAGGCAGCATGCTTGTTAAGAGTCATCACCACTCCCTAATCTCAAGTACCCAGAGACACAAAACGCTGCAGAAGGCCACAGGGACCTCTGCCTGGGAAAGCCAGGTATTGTCCAAGGTTTCTCCCCATGTGATAGCCTGATATATGGCCTCCTAGGAAGGGAAAGACCTGAATGTCCCCCAGCCGGACACCCGTAAAGGGTCTGTGCTGGGGAGGATTAGTGAAAGAGGAAGGCCTCTTTGCAGTTGAGATAAAAGGAAGGCATCTGTCTCCTGCTTGTCCCTGGGCAATGGAACCTCTTGGTGTCAAGACCGATTGTATATTCCATCTACTGAGATAAGGGAAAACCACCTTAGGGCTGGAGGTGGGACATGCTGGCAGCAATACTGCTCTTTAATGGATTAAGATGTTTATGTGTATGCACATCAAAAGCACAGCACTTAATTCTTTACCTTGTTTAAGATGCAGAGAGCTTTGTTCACGTGTTTTCCTACTGACCTTCTCTCCGCTATTACCCTATTGTCCTGCCAAATCCCCCTCTCCGGGAAACACCCGATAATGATCAATAAATACTAAGGGAACTCAGAGGCCGGTACCGGCAGGGGTCCTCCGTATGCTGAACGCCCTTCCCCTGGGCCCTATTTTCTTTCTCTATACTTTGTCTCTGTGTCTCTTTCTTTTCCAGGTCTCTCATTCCACATAACGAGAAACGCCCACAGGTGTGGAGGGGCAACCCACCCCTTCAGTCAGGAACCTCAGAATGTGACATTTGGAAATTGGGTGGTTGCAGATGTAACAAATTAACTTGGCGACATACTGGAGTAAGGTGGGCCCTTCACACCATATGACTGGTATCCTTATAAGAAGAAAAGAAGAGACACAGAGGGAAGACAGCCGTGTGCAGCTGGAATGATGCACCTGAAGCCAAGGAATGCTGCGCATTGCCGGCCACCACCCAAAACTGGAAAAAGTCAGGCAGGATTCTTCCCTAGAATCTTCAAAGGCAGCACAGCCCTGCCAACACCTGGATTCAGACTATGGCCTCCAGAACTGTGAGAGGATGAATTTCTGTTGTTTTCAGCCACCCAAGCTTAGGGAATGGGTTGCAGCAGACTGGGAATAAGACAGGCAGCCAGGCAGCCTCCGTGGAATTCCCAGGCAGCTTGCAGGAGCCACAGTGGGCCCTGGGCTCTGAGAAGGTCTGAGGCCCAGCAGGCGCAGGGGCCTAAATTATTTCTCGGCAAGGAGGAAGGAAGGTTCATCAAGAACATAGATCCCCTTCCTCCTTCTCACACCTCACGAGGTCACAGCGACGTGGCTGGGAGGAGAGCCAGTGACTTTTCACTGAGGTGTGTGGGAGACAGCTTGGCCGCCCTTGGCCTCTGAAGGGAGGAGGTGGCGTGAAGGAGGGCAGCTTTGGAACTTCCCAGTTCCTGCTTGATGACCTGTGTGTAAAGTATTCCTGTTTAGGTTTCAAAATCCTCTCAGAAACATAATTCTCAGAAAATCTAGGCACCCAATCCAGCTCCCTGGCCTTCTCTGAAATCTGAAGTCAAAGGGGCTGAGCCAGCCTGCCCTGGGTGTCAGGCCTCTGAGCTCAAGCTAAGCCATCATATCCCCTGTGACCTGCAGGTACACATCCAGATGGCCCGTTCCTGCCTTAACTGACGACATTCCACCACAAAAGAAGTGAAAATGGTCTGTTCCTGCCTTAACTGATGACATTGTCTTGTGAAATTCCTTCTCCTGGCTCATCCTGGCTCAAAACCTCCCCCACTGAGTAGCTTGTGACCCCCACTCTGCCTGCCAGAGAACAACCCTCCTTTGACTGTAATTTTCCTTTACCTACCCAAATCCTATAAAACGGCCCCACCCCATCTCCCTTTGCTGACCCTCTTTTCAGACTCAGCCCACCTGCACCCAGGTGAAATAAACAGCCATGTTGCTCACACAAAGCCTGTTTGGTCGTCTCTTCACACAGACACGCATGGTGCCATGACTCGGATCAGAGACCTCCCTTGGGAGATCAATCCCATGTCCTCCTGTTGTTTGCTCCGTGAAAACGATCCACCTACAACCTCAGGTCCTCAGACCCACCAGCCCAAGGAACATCTCACCAATTTTAAATCTGGTAAGCAGCCTCTTCTTACACTCTTCTCCAACCTGTCTCACTGTCCCTCAACCACTTTCTCCTTTCCACTCTTCAATCTCTCCCTTCTCTTGATTTCAATTCCTTTCATTTTCTGGTAGAGACAAAGGAGACACGTTATATCCGTGGACCCAAAACTCCGGCGCTGGTCATGGACTGGGAAGGCAGCCTTCCCTTGGTGTTTAATCATTACAGGGATGCCTCTCTGAATATTCCCCCATGTTTCAAAGGTGTCAGACCACGCAGGGATGCCTGCCTTGGTCCTTCACCCTTAGCGGCAAGTCCCGCTTTTCTGGGGGAGGGGTAAGTACCCCAACCCCTTCTCTCCATGTCTCTACCCCTTCTCTGCTTTTCTGGGGGAGGCACAAGTACCCCAATCTCGTATCTCTACACCCCAATCCCTTATTTCCAAGCCCCTACCTCTTATCTCTGCACCCCAATCCCTTATTTCCGCACCCTGACCTCTTATATCTCTGTACCCCGATCTCTTATTTCCATGCCTGGACCTTGTATCTCTGCATCCCGACCCCTTTCCCACTTTTCTGGAGGGTAAGAACCCCCGAACCGCTTCCCTCCATGTCTCTACTCTCTCTTTTTTCTGGGCTTCCTTCCTTCACTATGGGCAACCTTCCACCCTCCATTCCTCCTTCTTCTCCCTTAGCCTGTGTTTTTAAGAACTTAAAACCTCTTCAACTCTCACCTGACCTAAAATCTAAGCATCTTATTTCTTCTGCAATGCTGCTTGACCCCAAAACAAACTCAACAGTAGTTCCAAATAGCCAGAAAATGGCACTTTCAATTTTTCCATCCTGCAAGATCTAAATAATTCTTGTCGTAAAATAGGCAAATGGTCTGAGGTGCCTGACGTCCAGGCATTCTTTTACACATCGGTCCCTTCCTAGTCTCTGTGCCCAAAGCAACTCATCCCAAATCTTCCTCCTTTCCCTCCCACCTGTCCCCTCAGTCCCAAACCCAAGCATCGCTGAGTCTTTCTAATCTTCCTTTTCTACAGACCCATCTGACCTCTCCCCTCCTCCCCAGGCTGCTCCTCGCCAGGCTGAGCTAGGTCCCAATTCTTCCTCAGCCTCCACTCCTCCACCCTACAATCCTTTTATCACCTCCCCTCCTCACACCCGGTCTGGTCTACAGTTTCATTCCATGACTAGCCCTCCCCCACCTGCCCAGCAATTTACTCTTGAAAAGTTGCCTGGAGCTAAAGACATAGTCGAGGTTAATGCTCTTTTTTCTTTATCCTAAATCAGATAGCATTTAGCCTCTTTTTCATCAAATATAAAAATCCAGCCCAGTTCATGGCTCGTTCAGCAGCAACCCTGAGACACTTTACAGCCCTAGACCCTAAAAAGTCAAAAGGCCATGTTATTCTCAATATACATTTTATTTCCCAATCTGCTCCCTACATTAAATAAAACTCCAAAAATTAAATTCTGGCCCTCAAACCCCACAACAGTATTTAATTAACCTCGCCTTCAAGGTGTACAATAATAGAAAAAAAGCTGTAATTCCTTACCTCCACTGTGAGACAAACCCCAGCCACATCTCCAGCACACAAGAACTTCCAAATGCCTGAACCGCAGTGGCCAGGCGTTACTCCAGAACCTTCTCCCCCAGGAGCTTGCTACAAGTGCCAGAAATCTGACTACCAGGCCAAGGAATGCCTGCAGCCCAGGATTCCTCCTAAGCCGCGTCCCATCTGTGCGGGACTCCACTGGAAATCGGACTGTCCAACTCACCTGGCAGCCACTCCCAGAGCCCCTGGAACTCTGGCCCAAGCCTCTCTGACTGATCCCTTCTCGGCTTAGCGGCTGAAGACTGACGCTGCCTTATTGCCTCGGAAGCCCCGTAGACCATCACGGACGCCGAGCTTTAGGTAACTCTCACAGTGGAAAGTAAGTTCATCCCCTTCTTAATCAATACGGAGGCTCCCCACTCCACATTACCTTCTTTTCAAGGGCCTGTTTCCCTTGCCTCCATAACTGTTGTGGGTATTGACGGCCAGGCTTCTAAACCTCTTAAAACTCCCCAAGTCTTGTGCCAACTTAGACAAAACTCTTTTAAGCACTCCTTTTTAGTTATCCCCACCTGCCCAGTTCCCTTATTAGGCCGAAACACTTTAACTAAATTATCTGCTTCCCTGACTATTCCTGGGCTACAGCCACACCGCATTGTGACCTTTTCCCCCAGTTCAAAGCCCCCTTCACATCCTCCTCTTGTATCTCCCCACCTTAATCCGCAAGTATAGGATACCTCTACTCCCTCCTTGTTGACCTATCATGCACCCCTTACCATCTGATTAAAACCTAATCACCCTTACCCCACTCAACGCCAATATCCCATCCCACAGCATGCTTTGAAAGGATTAAAGCCTGTTATCACTCGCCTGCTACAGCATGGCCTTTTAAAGCCTATAAACTCTCCTTACAATTCTCCCATTTTACCTGTCCTAAAACCAGACAAGCCTTACAAGTTAGTTCAGGATTTGCCTCTTATCAACAAAATTGTTTTGCCTATCCACCCCATGGTGCCAAACACACATACTCTCCTATCCTCAATACCTCCCTCAACAACCCATTATTCTGTTCTGGATCTCAAACTTGGTATCTTTACTATTCCTTTGCTCCTGTCATCCCAGCCTCTCTTCACTTTCACTTGGACTGACCCTGACACCCATCAGGCTCAGCAGATTACCTGGGCTGTACTGCCGCAAAGCTTCACAGACAGCCCCCATTACTTCAGTCAAGCCCAAATTTCATCCTCATCTGTTACCTATCTCAGCATAATTCTCATAAAAACACACGTGCTCTCCCTGCTGATCGTGTCTGATTAATCTCCCAAACCTCAATCCCTTACAAAACGACAACTCCTTTCCTTCCTAGGCATGGTTAGCGTGGTCAGAATTCTTACACAAGAGCCAGGACCGCACCCTGTAGCCTTTCTGTCCAAATAGCTTGACCTTACTGTTTTAGCCTAGCCCTCACGTCTCTGTGCAGCGGCTGCTGCCGCCCTAATACTTTTAGAGGCCCTCAAAATCACAAACTATGCACAACTCACTCTCTACATTTCTCATAACTTCCAAAATCTATTTTCTTCCTCACACCTGATGCACTTACTGTCTGCTCCCCGGCTCCTTCAGCTGTACTCACTCTTTGTTAAGTCCCACAATTACCATTGTTCCTGGCCCGGACTTCAGTCCGGCCTCCCACATTATTCCTGATACTACACCTGACCCCCATGACTGTATCTCTCTGATCCAACTGACATTCACCTCATTTCCCCATATTTCCTTCTTTCCTGTTCCTCAACCTGATCACTCTTGATTTATTGACGGCAGCTCCACCAGGCCTAATCACCACACACCAGCAAAGGCAGGCTATGCTATAGTACAAGCCACTAGCCCTCCTCTTAGAACCTCTCATTTTCTTTCCATCGTGGAAATCTATCCTCAAGGAAATAACTTCTCAGTGTTCCATCTGCTATTCTACTACTCCTCAGGGATTATTCAGGCTCCCTCCCTTCCCTACACATCAAGCTCAGGGATTTGCCCGCACCCAGGACTGGCAAATTAGTTTTACTCAACGTACCCCGAGTCAGATAACTAAAGTACCTCTTAATCTAAGTAGACACTTTCACTGGATAAGTACAGGCCTTTCCTACAGGGTCTGAGAAGGCCACCACAGTCATTTCTTCCCTTCTGTCAGACATAATTCCTCAGTTTAGCCTTCCCACCTCTATACAGTCTGACAACAGACCAGCCTTTATTAGTCAAATCAGCCAAGCAGTTTTTCAGGCTCTTAGTATTCAGTGAAATCTTTATATCCCTTACAGTCCTCAGTCTTCAGGAAAAGTAGAACAGACTAATGGTCTTTTAAAAACACACCTCACTAAGCTCAGCCTCCAACTTAAAAAGGACTGTACAACACTTTTACCACTTTCCCTTCTCAGAAGTCAGAGCTGTCCTCAGAATGCTACAAAATACAGCCCATTTGAGCTCCTGTAAAGACGCTCCTTTTTATTGGCCCCAGTGTCATTCCAGACACCAGACCAACTTAGACTGTGCCCCAAAAAACTTGTCATCCCTACTATCTTCTGTCTAGTCAAACTCCTATTTGCCGTTCTCAACTACTCATACATGCCCTTCTCTTGTTTACACTGCCGGTTTACACTGTTTCTCCAAGTCATCACAGCTGATATCTCCTGGTGCTATCCCCAAACTGCCACTCTTAACTCTTGAAGTAAATAAACAATCTCTGCTGACAGGACTATGCTGAACCTCCTTAGGCACTCTCTAATTAGATGTCCTAGGTCCTCCCAATTCTTAGACCTTTAATATCTGTTTTTCTCCTTCTCTTCTTCCATTTAGTTTTTCAATTCATACAAAACTGTATCCAGGACATCACCAATAATTCTAAATGACAAATGTTTCTTCTAACAACCCTACAATATCACCCCTTACCACAAAATCTTCCTTCAGCTTAATCTCTCCCACTCTAGGTTCCCACGCCGCCCCTAATCCCGCTCGAAGCAGCCCTGAGAAACATCGCCCATTGTCTCTCCATACCACCCCCAAAAAATTTTCACCATCCCAACACTTTACCACTATTTTGTTTTATTTTTCTTGTTAATATAAGAAGACAGGAACGTCAGGCCTCTGAGCCCAAGCTAAGCCATCATATCCCCTGTGACCTGCACGTACACATCCAGATGGCCGGTTCCTGCCTTAACTGATGACATTCCACCACAAAAGAAGTGAAAATGGCCTGTTCCTGCCTTAACTGATGACATTGTCTTGTGAAATTCCTTCTCCTGGCTCATCCTGGCTCAAAACCTCCCCCACTGAGTACATTGTGATCCCTACTCTGCCCGCCAGAGAACAACCCCCCTTTAACTGTAATTTTCCTTTACCTACCGAAATCCTATAAAACGGCCCCACCCCTATCTCCCTTCACTGACTCTCTTTTCAGACTCAGCCTGCCTGCCCCCATGTGAAATAAACAGCTTTATTGCTCACACAAAGCCTGTTTGGTGGTCTCTTCACACGGACGTGCATGAAACTGGAGTCCTCGCGCCCACCAGCCCAGAGTGCTCTCTAGAGGAAGGTTACAGACCCTTCCTGGCTCACTCATCCAGACGTTAGCTGTCTTGCTGAAACTCCTTTTTTCACCCTTGAAAACCACTGGAAGAATGGCCAAGAACCCAGCTATCCTGAGTAGGTTCACTTAAAGAAGCAAAATCTAACATGAGTAGCAAAATGGACATTGGCACCAGGAGTGTGGGTCAGAGTCCTGCCCCTTGGAACTACATCATCGCTTGTACAGTGTACCCCCCAGGCACCAAGAGACCAGGCTGAGACCCTTCAGTTGCCCTGGGCCTCTGGTCAGTGCTTCCCGCCTGGCACACAGGCAGGCCCTCATAAAACAATGAGTACTGAAAGTTCCAGCCTTCTTGGTGGGTTCTCAGCACCCCGTCGTGAGCCACACCCTACCCCAGGGAAATCAGGGTCACCCTGCTTCTACCCCTAGGCCAGTGCCCCTTCTGAAGTGCCCAGGCTGGCACCCCTATACTTAGATCTCTTCAACCTCCTCATGAAAACCTTCTTGTCTGTCACCCCAGCATTCCCCGGACTGTGCTAAATGAGCAGCTGACCACACGTCAAATCAATTTTCAGAGTTTGCCTTTGGTTTAATATTCATGGCTTATCCAAAAGATCTTGTCACCATAGCTAGATGAAAAAAATGACAAGGCTCTGGAGAAGCAGAGCCACAAGATGGAAGATACCTGGGTCCCAGGTTCATGAGGAGAGGAGCTGCCTGCTCCACAGACTGTCACGTGAGTGGGAATGAAACTTTTGCTGCGTTTAGACCATTACCTTTCTTCACTTTGTCACATAGTCTACCCCCGCTAAACAGAACTTGACCTCCAACAGACCGTTTACATCAAGACCTTCAGCAGTACAACCTGGCCTACACTCAGTTCAATTCCTTCTTCAAAAACCTAGGCCCGGCCAGGTGTGGTGGCTCACGTGTGTAATCCCAACACTTTGGGAGGCTGAGGTGGGTGGATCACCTGAGGTCAGGAGTTCGAGACCAGCCTGGCCAACATGGTGAAATCCCATCTCTACTAAAAATACAAAAATTAGCTGGGGTTTGTGTTGGGTGCCTGAAATCCCAGCTACTCCGGAGTCTGAGGCAGGAGAATCACTTGAACCCGGGAGGCGAGGTTGCAGTGAGCTGAGATTGCACCAAGGCGCTCCAGCCTGGGCGACAGAGTGAGACCCTGTCTCAAAAAATAAAGAAAGAAATAAAAATAAATTGAGGAAGGATTGAGCATACAAAATAGAATGAGCCTTTGACCCTGAATACCCTGCAGTGAGAATTCCCCTGTGGTTCTCAGGCTTCTGTAATTCCAGCAAATACACCCTTCCTTCATGTTCACTAAAATGCAGATATTGTGAGATAATGCTCATTTCTCACAGCTTGCTTGAATAATAATAATGATCATTATAGTAATTTACAACTTAATAGTCAACACTGCCTTTTTAACCCAGTCTGTGAGACTGAATCGAAAAAGTGACATTCTTTGAAGCTCTCAATTAATACACCAGACTGCATAAACTCTAATAACTTACCTTTCCATGGAAAGAGAATATGTGGGTATTCTCTTTGAAGACAAATGGTAGAGAGTAGACTCTCATCAAAGACCCTCTGGCAGTAATGAGTTGCATTCGGGAAGGTTCCAGAAGGTTCTGTGGAAGGCTGCAGTTTGAGATTGGTTCTCAGGTGTCTGTCTAACTACTTTCTAAGGATGAAGACTCCTGGTTCGTGTTTTAGCTACACCCACAGGAGCAACAGAGTAAGACATTCCTCCACACCATAACAGACCCCGGCAGTGCAGAGCCATGTGGGTCTTCTCTGTCCTGCTGTCCACAGTCTGGTTTTATCTTAGACCCAGCCTGGTGCAATTCATGTTGTGTATTGGCACTCCACTTAAGTTTCCTGTTTGTAAAAAGCCCCTTTCATTCGGTGATTCCTAGGGCTTTAGGGGAACTTTCTGGAAACCAGGAAGAAAGAAATAAAGGTTGTTTTGCTGAGGATGGGTTACATGGGGCGCGGGACCCAAATGAGTGGTTTGAGCAAAAAGTAGTCTCCACGCTGGACTAATGCTTGGCAACACTATGGGAAAATTTGGAGAAGCCGGGAGAGGAGGGGGCAGAGTTTCTTTCCCAGCCAGCCAGGGTGTCCAGGCACTTTTGGTCCTAGGACATCTCTCTGTGCATTCCCAAGTAATTGCAAGGCTTCTTCTTGTCATCGCCTGAGACTTGGATTCCCCAAGCGTCCTTCTTTTCCTGGAGCCTCTGAGTCCTCCATTCCTGAGGCCTTTCTTCAGCCCTCCCAATAGCCCTGCCATGATTTCATTGCAGGGCTGTGACCGTCTATGACAAGCCGGCATCTTTCTTTCAAGACACACCTCTGGACCTGCAGCGCCAGCTCTTCATGAAGCTCAGCGGCACACACTCTCCGTTCAGGGCCCGGTAGGCCTCCCATCCTCAGCTGCCTTCTCTCCTGCTCGCCACTGCCCTGGCCTGTCCCCTTCTCACTGCAGACCTGGGAACCCACTCACCCAGGGGTTGGCAAAGTAAGGCTACAGGCCAGTCTCCTGCTTTTGTAAATCAAGTGTCATTGGGACACAGCACACTCATTAACTTCTGAGTTGTCTACAGCCGCCTTTGAGCTGCAATAGCAGAATCGTGTTTTGCAACAGAGAACCTGTGGCCCGCAAAGCCTGAAGTATTTACTCTCTGGCCCTTTAAGAAATGTTTGTGGACCCCTGCGCTGTCTTACTCTCCTGCCAATGGGTTCCCAGGCCTGTGGCAGGACCTGTGGACCTGTGTGTCCCCTGGGGTGTCTCATGGGGCTAAGGAGGGGACCTTTGTGCAGGTCCACGCACCCTGAGGTGTGCCCCTGTGTAAGCTGGGGTGGTGTGGGAGGGCGTCCCTGCACCCTCATCTTGAGTCCAGGGGATGATAAGACAGTAAGTCCCGTGGAGAAAAGGAATGAGTCAGTCTTGTTTGCTGTTGTAAACTTATCACCCAGCAACAATATTAGAGAAAGCAAGCCCAGGCCTCGGATGGCAGGGGTGACCTGGTGCTGCTGATGTGGCCGGGCACCCCAACCTTTGGGAGCCTGCAGGCCTTGCCACGGCAGGAGATGCCCGTCCTGGGTCCTGGGCCTGCTCTGTGGCCTCTCACAAGCTTTTTTCCTGCTCTTTCAGCTCAGAACCTGAGGACCCAGCCACGGAGCGGTCGGCCTTCATGAAGAGGGATGCTGGGAGCGGGCTGGTGATGCGTCTCCACGAGCGGCCAGCCCTGCTGGTCAGCAGCACAGGCTGGACAGGTCTGCACGACCCCTGCAACACTTGGGGTTGGTGTGACAGGCACCTGGCCAACCTGTGTTGTCCTCACACCTGCCAGTCCTTCATGCCCCCACCCTGCCACGGTCTCAATGAGAAGGGGAGGTCGTGAGAGCTGTAAGAGGGGTGTCTAGAAACAGGACCCTGACATTCAATTCTCTTCTCATAGAGGACGAAGACTTCTCCATCCTGCTGGCAGCTTTAGAAAGTAGGTGTGTGGCTGCGGTGAGGAGCTCTGGGCTTGTCGGGGGCCACTGAGCTGTGAGCTGCTTGCCTGGCCTGCAGCATGTTCCTGTCCCTGGCCACTGGGTGGGGCAGCCTGGGGACAGTGGGGATGGTGGAGGTGGGCCGCCTTGAATCCCCAGTTGGGTCATTGAGTGACCAGGCCCTCAGGCTGAAATGCCCCCTCCAGGAGAGTATTTCACAGAGGCTGGTGGCCTCCCCACCAGAGCAGTGCTCTTTCTCCACCTGAACAGGTGACTCTGGCTATTGTTTATTTAAAAGTTTTTTTCTGAATGGGCATGGTGGCTCACACCTGTAATCCTAGAACTCTGGGAGGCCGAGGCAGGCAGGTCACCTGAGGGCAGGAGTTCGAGGCCAACATGGCGAAACCTGTCTCTACTAAAAATACAAAAATTAGCTGGGTATGGTGGTGGGGGCCTGTAATCCCAGCTACTTGGGAGGCTGATGCACGAGAATTACTTGAACCCGGGAGGCAGAGGTTGCAGTGAACTGACATCACGCCATTGCATTCCAGCCTGGGTGACAGAGCCAGAGTCTGTCGGAAAAAAAAAAAAAAAAAATTCTACCAGAAATTCCGTGTAGAATTGTTTCTTTTTTTAAACACAGAGTTTGAACAACTGACTCTTGACGGACACAACCTTCCTTCTCTCGTCTGTGTGATAACAGGTACCGCCTGGGCCCCTGGGTGTCTGTGTGGTTGGGGGATGGTGGATGGGGAGGGGCACGCAGCCTTTACCCTGTGCTTCCCACGATCTTGTCTCCTTAATCCTCACTGCAGCTCTCTGCCATAGGGACTTATACTGCTTGACATGGGGGAAACTGAGGCTCAGAGGGTTTCACAGCAGGGCAGGGAGCCCAGATTTGAATCTGTAGATACCAAGCTTTCTACTTTTTCAGTAGTTTCCAAGCATCTTTTTTGTTGTTGTTGTTACATCACTGGTGTCTTTTTTTTTTTTTTGAGACACAGTCTCTATCGCCCAGGCTGGGGTGCAGTGGTGTGATCTTGGCTCACTGCAACCTCCACCTCTCACATTCAAGCAATTCTCGTGCCTTAGCCTCCCGAGTAGCTGGGACTACAGGGGCCCACCACACCCAGCTAATTTTTGTATTTTTAGTAGAGATGGAGTTTCACCCTGTTGGCCAGGCTGGTCTTGAACTCCTGACCTCAGGTGAGCCACCCAACTTGGCCTCCCAATATGCTCGAATTACAGGCATGAATCACTGTGTCTGGCCATGTCATTGGTGCCTTAACCAAGCGTCTTTTAATTTTTTAAACGGAAGAGCCCCTGTCCCACAGTTACTGCTGCTGAGCCCTTTCAAGGTGACTCAGTGAGGAGGGAGAAAAGCGGAAGCGGTGTGGGAAGAGGCGGGGTCTGGGCCAGCTGCTGCTCCTGCTCTCCTCCCTCCTCTGGCCTCTAGGCTCCCAGGAGTGGTTTGGAACCTGCGCCATGTGCTCTGGAGGCTGTGGCAGGGCAGGGGCGTCTTGGAACCTGCGCCATGTGCTCTGGGGGCTGTGCCAGGGAAGGGGGAGTCCTCGTGTCCCCTGCGCACAACACAGACAGAAGGCTGGATCCACCCAGTGGGCGGTCGGGTGCCAGGCCAGTGCTTACTCCGCCATGTTTGCAGCCCGAGGCCAGCTGGCTGCAGGTGCAGGACTATGCCTCAGGGGTCAGGGTGCACACACCCCTGCATGTCTCGGGGCTCCTGGGTAGCTTCTGGAAGGGCCCAGATGGGGCCTGACTGGAGCTGCCGAGGGGTGGAGCTTCTGGGAAAAGGATCCCTCCTAGGGGGGAGTGTCTTGAGCCTGGGGCCATGTGGCAGGGACAGAGACGGGTCCATGGCAGTGTCTCCTCTTCTCTGTGAAGGCAAAGGGCCTCTGAGGGAGTATTACAGCCGCCTCATCCACCAGTAGCATTTCCAGCACATCCAGGTCTGCACCCCCTGGCTGGAGGGCCGAGGACTACCCCCGCTTCTAGGTGAGAGGCCAGCGGGAGGCTCAGGGAGGAGGCAGGGCCTTAAGCAGGGGGAACAGGGGTGGGCAGGATGTACTTTTTCTGAAAAGGTGGCTCTGGAGGCCACTTGGGCACGGGACCTGGGCTCTGGCTGAACTCCCGGGAGGAGGCTACTTTCTGGTGTGCCAGCCCCTCCCAGCCAGGTGGCCCCAGAGGCCCTTTACCAAGGGGTTTGAGGAGGTCACATCCTTTCAGCCTGCCACGCCCTCCATTCAGTCCTCTTCCTTCCTGCAGGAGGGCTGGGCCTGGGGTTGGGGCCACTGTTGCCCAGGTGTAGGAAGGCAGTGGCTTTGGGAGGTACAGGGACGATGTGTCAAACAGCGTCGCCTCTCCCAGTGAGATGGTTCTGCTTTGCCTCCGTCTCTTTCCCCGTTGTTTTCTCCAAGTGGGGAGTTGTGTCTTGGTCCTGATGCGTCTCTAGAGCCGCATCTTCCAGCTTCTAGTGAGCAGAGCAGTTGGAGGCTGAGGCCTTTTCCTGGCAGGACTCTCCAGCTAGTCTTTGTTTTAGACAGTCTCGCTCTGTTGCCTAGGCTGGAGTGCACGATCTCAGCTCATGCAACCTCCGCCTCCTGGGTTCAAGCGATTCTCCCACCTCAGCCTCCCGAGTAGATTATGGGATTACAGGAGCCCTCCACAACACCTGGCTTATTTTTGTATTTTTAGTAGAAACAGGGATTCACCATGTTGGCCAGACTGGTCTTGAACTCCTGACCTCAAGTGATCCTCCTGTCTTGGCCTCCCTAAGTGCTGGGATTCCAGGCGTGACCCATCACGCCTGGTCCCAGCTAGTCTTTAGAAATGTTAAGCCGTTTCGCTTTATTTTCACACTGACAGCTGGTTTGTAGTGGGTGTGCTGTGGTTTATTATTATTATTATTATTATTATTATTATTATTATTATTTTGAGAAGGAGTTTCGCTCTTGTAGCCCAGGCTGCAGTGTAATGGCACGATCTTGGCTCACTGCAACCTCTGCCTTCCCAGGTTCAAGCAATTCTCCTGCCTCAGCCTCCTGAGTAGCTGGGATTACAGGCACCTGCCACGACACTTCGCTAATTTTGTGTTTCTTTTAGTAGAGATGGGGTTTCACCACGTTGGCCAGGCTGGTCTTGAACTCCTGACCTCAGGTGATCCGCCCACCTTGGCCTCCCAAAATGCTGGGATTACATGCGGGAGGTGAACCTGGGAGGTGGAGGTTGCAGTGAGCTGAGATTGTGCCACTGCACTCCAGCCTGGGTGACAGAGTGAGACTCTGTCTCAAAACAAAACAACAACAACAAAAAAACCAAATTGTGATTACGTAGAAAAAGTGTCAACTTACATTTTCAGATGTCCCAGCCAGACCATGTGGCTGCTTGGCCAGCTTAAGCCACTTGTGCTTGGGGCTGCGGGGGGCCTTATCTGATTTTCACTCCCCTCGGGGGATGCTGCCTCACTGTGCTGGGAGGATTTGTGTTCCCAGGGCAGAGACCAGCTCTCTGACCGCACCCCTCTTGCCTAGCAGGGTCGGTGGACCTGGGTGTCTGTCTAGACACGTCCTCCAGTGGCCTGGACCTGCCCATGAAGGTGGTGGACATGTTCAGGAGCTGTTTGCCTGTGTGTGCGTTGTGAACTTCAAGTGGTAGGAGCAGAACCCGAATCTTTCTGGGGATAGCTTCACAGATCCACCGCTGAGGGGGAAACAGTGCAGAGCCAGCTGCCCACAGTGAGGCCCTGCCCCTTGGTCAGTCCAGCACACACTGGAGGCCATGAGGAGGAGCCCTGTGGTTACTGTGGCTGGGCTGAGCCTCACTGAAGTAGTTGCTTCCATTTAGAACTCATGTTATATTTAGGTTGGTACAAAAGTAATCACGGTTTTTGCCATTAAAAATGGCAATAACTTTTGCACCAACCTAATATGAAAAAAGAAAGCACCTTAAATACTAGAACTCCACTCGGGGCTTTTGCTCCTAGAGTAGAATTGGCGGGAATTGCCTGCAGGCTTACATGGTTTTCTTTGTTTTTCTCTCCCACCATGTCCCTTTTGGCCAAGCTCACATGGTGGGTTTGAATGAGTTAAATGAGTGTCATGCTGTGGCCTCACTGCACCCAGCATAGATGGGTGTTTGGAAGGGTGGCGTTAGAGGAGATTCTAGAAGCAGTAGCCCCAGCACAAGTTGAGCCCTTGGCCCCTGCTCAGGAGCCGGCTCCTGGATGGGATTCAGGGATTCAAGCCCCTCGTGTGAGCTGAGCTCAGGGAACGTCTTGATCAAATCTGGTGCCCTAGAAAAGTCATCTTTTATGTGCTGAACCAGTCTCCAGGGGGTTGCCTTACTTGTTCCACAGCCATGGAATTAAGAAAAACATACAAAAATAATTCTTCAGTCCTTGAAGAGCATCCAGCACAGAAGGTACAAACCCTCCTTAAGGCTCCCTCCTCAAATCGGTTTGGCCATTTTGATGTGCACTCCCCCAGGCCTTTATACCCTTCAGATGCCAAATCTAAGAACCAGCTCCCAGAAACCACACCCCCTGTTCCAATCCCCAGCCTGGCTTGAGCGTGGGGTGCGAGGGGAGCCCAGGTGGGCACCCCAGGGGTCTGGTGTCTTCTCCAGGCAGCTCTCAGGCTCCCTTGGTTCTCTCTGCAGTTTACATGAGCTGGTGAAACATCAAGAAAACGGCTTGGTCTTTGAGGACTCAGAGGAACTGGCAGCTCAGCTGCAGGTAGCCACATCTGCCACTAAGCCAGGGTGGGCAGGGTTCTGGAGACTGGCACCGAGCCACGCTCCCTGATCCCTGCTTCCCACAGTCGGGGTGGGACCATGTGGGGTCTGGCGGAAAAGCTAGGGAGGGAGCAGAGGTCACAGAGGCTGGCCTACTCTGCTGTCCCGTTTCGGTACAGTAGGCTCGGGAAAGTTAGGACACAACCCCACCTGCCCGCCTGCCCGCTGGATTTATGGAACAGACACTCCACAAATGACGCTGGAGCCGGGTGGGCCGGGCTGCAGTTTAGGAAGTGAGCAGGATCAGGTAGGTGAGTGGGCAAAGGGAGCTTCTGGGACCAGCCTTGAAAGATGGGTGGAATTCTGCAAATGTTACTTGTTTCTTATTGCAAAAAGTAATACATCGTTCTTGCCAACAGAATGACTGGCAGGATTTTCAGTAAAGGTCCAAGTCGGAAGTCATTTAGACTGGGTCCCCTAGTCTCTGTCAGAACCATGGTACTCTGTTGGGGTGTGAAAGTAGCCACAGATCATCTGTAGATTAAGGGGTGTGGCTTTGTTCCAATAAATCTTTATTTACAAACACAGGCTGTGGGCTGGATTTGGCCTGCAGGCTGTAGTTTGTGATCCTTGATTCAGACAGTTTAGCAAGGCTGAAAAGAACACCGACACCCCCTTGTTACCCACAGATGGGTGGGACTTGGCCAGAGGCCAAGAGGAGGGTGCTCGCAGGGGAGCATACAGCATGAAGAGGCCGGGAGGTGCCCCAGGACACCAAGTGTGGGAAAGTGGGACATGCGGGGAAGTTCCCAGAAAGCGTGATGTCAAGTTGGAGGCGGAGCGCTGCTGGGGCGTGAAGAGTCTCGAGTCCAAGTGAGGGAGTTAAGAACTTGGTAGGGGTTGTTGTTGGGTCGGGCACCTGGGGTCAGCCAGGTGGTGACCTGGGATGCGGTGGGGACAGGCAATGAGGTAAGCTCTGCTCTTTAGTATTATGCAGATGCTTTTCTCAAACTTTCCTGATCCTGCAGGCAAGCTAAACCTGTTCCGGAAGAACCTGCGGGAGTCGCAGCAGCTCCGATGGGATGAGAGCTGGGTGCAGACTGTGCTCCCTTTGGTTATGGACACATAACTCCTGGGCCAGAGGCTAAAACCCCAGGGCCCCTGCTGTCCTTCCCGCAGCTTCTTCTTGGAGTCTCAGGGCAAACCCTTTCAAGCAGCGCCTCCCAGTGGCCAGAAGCTGAAATGACGGCAGTGGTGCCGCCTGGTGAGTGAATTGCTTCTGTGACCCGGGAAGCTGTGGTTGGCTCTGATTTCTTTTTTGGAGGCTTGGAAACACTTCCTCTCTTCTTCTGTTCTTCACGCCCCATGCCCCTGCTAGCGTACTACTGTTCTGTGACTTCCCTGTGACCTCTGCAGTACTCCTCATCCTGCGTTTGGTCTCCAGGTGTCGCCTTTCTGCCGTGTTCCTAATATTTTGATTCCTGTCTTGAAAAAAGCACCTGCTGCACAGTAAGCCCAGGGATGTGGCAGCTGCAGCGGGCTTGGCTTTGTGAGGAACCGGGTGTGTCCACGTTGGGGGAACATCATACTTGATACACACGTTTTTATTTGCACAAAGAAAATGCTATTTTTAGAGCCAGAATTTTCATGTCTGATTTATGGTGATTTTCTTAAGAACCAGAACTGCTGGCAGAAAGGGGGCACCCACACGCTTAGATAGCCGATGTCTTATTAGAGGGCAGTTTGTGGTTCCTGATTTGGAAATTAATATTCTCCAAACATTCCAGTCCAATGAAAGTTTTATCCGCTTTCCCATGTAAAAATTCTTCCCATGAGAGTGACTTGATCCTCACAATCCCGTTGAAGTCGCGTGTGAGTCCTACAGTATTAGGTTCAGCATTGCCATCTCCAAGTGCTCTTTGTAGGGAAACAGTTTCTGGTCATGACAAGCTTCCACTTCCCATCTGATCCTGGCCTGGCCTGGAAACAGAGCACATGTGTTTGAGGATGGCGGTGTTTGGGGACAGGACATGAGCGTATTGTGTGGGGCTGCTAGGACAGGCGTGGTGTGGTGGGGGAGTGTCCAAGTCAGTCTACTTGTTTCACAGTTTCCCAGTCCCACCCAGGTACCTAGAATTGGCCTCCAGGATGGGACCAGAAATCTGGTTTTGCATAGAAATGGTTAGCAGCAGGCACCGTGCCGCTGTCCACTCTCTGCTGGCGTCTGCCCCAGCACTTGGCACAGCGGGACAGAAGCAGAGCTCTGAACCCACATCTACCTGGCTGCCCAGTCAACCCACTCTTCACAAAGCTTAGAAAGCGGCCGGGCACAGTGGCTCACGCCTGTAATCCCAACACTTTGGGAGGCCAAGGTGGGGGGATCACTTGAGGTCAGGAGTTCGAGAGCAGCCTGGCCAACATGGTGAAACCCCATCTCTACAAAAATACAAAAATTAGCCAGGCATGATGGCGGGTGCCTGTAATCCCAGCTACCTGGGAGGCTGAGGCAGGAGAATTGCTTGAACCCAGGAGGCAGAGGTTGCAGTGAGCTGAGATTGTGCCACTGCACTCCAGCCTGAGTGACAGAGTGAGACTCCATTTCAAAAAAAAAACACCAAAAAAAACAAAACAAAACAAACAAACAAAAACACACACACACAGCTTAGAAGGGGCTGGTGTTCTCATAAGCACAGATGTCTGAAGAGCCGTTAGCCAGAATGATTCTTTTTTTTTTTTTTTTTTTGAGATACGATCTTGTTCTTTCACCCAGGCTGGAGTGCAGTGGCACAGTCATTGCTCACCACAGCCTTGACTCCTGGGCTCTAGCAATCCTCCCATTTCCTGACTAGCTGGGATGACAGGTGCGTGCCACCATGCCAGTAATTTTTTTATTTTGTAGAGATGGGGTCCTGAACCCATGGCCTCAAATGATGCTCCTGCCTCAGCCTCTTTTATTATTTTTTTTTTGGACGGAGTTTAACTCTGTTCCCCTAGCTGGAGTGCAGTGGCGCAATCTCAGCTCACTGCGATGCCTCCCAGGTTCAAGTGATCCTCCTGCATCAGCATCCCGAGTAGCTGGGATTATAGGCGTGCAGCACCACGCCTGGCTAATTTTTGTGTTTTTAGTAGAGATGGGGTTTCACCGTGTTGGCCAGGCTGGTCTTGATCTCTTGACCTCAAGTGATCCGCTCACCTCAGCCTCCCAAATCCTCAGCCTCTTACAGTGTTGGGATTACAGGTGTGAGACACTGTGACCCGGGATGATTTTCAATCACAGTTTTTTGTTACAAGTGGAAAATGCATATCTATAAAAATGAAGTAGTGCAGACATGAATGTGTAGAAGTCTCTATAATCCTGCCATCCAAGGATGGCACCTGTTAACGAGTGTATTAGGGATGTCCAATCTTTTGGCCTCCCTGTGCCACATTGGAAGAAGAATCACCTTGGGCCACACATAAAATACACTAACGCTAGCAATAGCTGATGAGCTAAAAGAAAAAAATTCACAAAAAAACCTCGTACTGTTTTAAGAAAGTTTACAGATTTGTGTTGGGCCGCAGGTTGGACAAGCCTGCTATATATATATTCTAGGTTTTCTCCTATAGGTATACTTATGTGAAAATGATGATTGTGATAATTTTTTTTTTGAGATGAAGTCTTGCTACGTTGCTCAAGGTTGCCACAAACTCCTGGGCTTAAGCCATCCTCCCGTCTCAGCCTCCTGAGTAGTTGGGAATATAGGTAGTCATAACCATGTCTGGGTGATTATTATTAGTTTTTAAACAAAAATGGGGCTGGGCACAGTGGCACACGCCTGTCATCCTAACACTTTGGGAAGCTGAGGCAGCAGATCACTTGAGGTCAGGAGTTCAAGATCAGCCTGGCCAACATGGCAAAACCTTGACTCTACAAAAAATAAAAAAATTAGCCAGGTGTGGTAGCACCTGCCTGTAGTCCCATCTACTCAGGAGGCTGAGATGGGAGGATAGCTTGAACCTGGGAGGTGAGAGGTTGCAGTGGGCCGAGATGGCACCACTGCACTCCAGCCTGGGCAATACAAAGCCAGACTCTGTCTCAAAAAAAAAAAAAAAAAAAAAATGGTGGGTGGGTTCTTATACTATGTGTGCTGCTTGGCACTGTTTTTTTCACTTAAAAGATATTGCAGGTATTTTTTCACGTAAGTATCTGAAGAAAGACTTCCTTTTTTTTTTTTTTTTTTTTTGCCTTTTTGAGACAGGATCTTGCTCTGTTGCCCAGGCTGGAGTGTAGTGGTGAGATCAGGGCTCATTGTAGCCTCCACCTCCTGGGATCAAGCCATCCTCCACCTCAGCCTCCCGAGTAGCTGGGACTACAGGTGTGTGAAACCACGCCTGGCTAGTTTCTGTATGTTTTGTGAATACGGGATCCCACTATGTGGCCCAGGTTCGTCTTGAACACCTGGGGTCAAGTAGTCCTCCTGCCTTAGCCTCCTAAAGTGCTGGGATGACAGGCCTGGGCCCCGCACCCGGCCAGCCTCCTGTGCGAGGTTGTGCAGGACTCTGTCGTGGAACCCAGTACGCCTTCGTGTGCCGGCTTGTTTGTTTACTCTGTAGTTAACGGGCTGCCCCACGTGGACAGTCACTGGGTCGTCCGTGTCTCTGTGTGCAGGCAGAGGCTGCTGTGCGTGCATCTGTGCACATGGCTGCCAGGAGGGGCTGTGCTCAGGGGGAGCTGGGGCAAAGGCTGGTGGCAATGGGGGGCTTGGATGTAGTGTGGAGACCTGCGAGCCAGGTGGCCGGGCTGCAGTGTGCGGGAGCTCGGGGGTCACTTGGCCTCCGTGTGTCCTAGTGTATTTGTCACTGAGATGGGACAAGGACAGCACACCCTCACAGGTGCTGGGGGCTGACAAATGTTAGGTCTAAGGACAGTGGCTGGCCCACTACAGGGCCAATTCCCCTTCTCTACAGTCACTCTGCTTGTCTTCCACCGACTGGGTGCTCAGGACAGTGGCGTGGTGGATCCGCCTGTACAGCCTGTGCTCCAGCATCCTGCTGGCCACAGCTGTGTCCAGCCCTGACCCCGACTGCCCCTCCCACCACCTCCATTTTATAGATGAGAAAACAGAGGCCCAAGGGCTTAGGGAACCCTGCTCTGAAGCACACAGTAGGGCTGCTAGGCTCAGACCCTCCTTCCTGTGCTGAGCTGCCCTCCTCCTGCCTCAAGCCCCCCATGCTCCAAGCCCACCCTGCTCACCGGCCTCTGCCCGAGTTCCCCGCATGGTGTGGGAGTGTGGGGCATGCTAGCTTTACGCCGGCGCCCAGTTCTTTCACTTCCACTGGAGTCCTGCAGGGACAGCTCGGGGACCATGCAGGCCCGGGTGGGCGTGGGGACTCAACTAGCTCAGTGGTGAACAGCTGGCACGTCTGTGGGTTGTGGACGGTAAAGGCCACGTAGACCTCAGGAGCCCGCTGGTGCTCCCGGCAGGCAGCCAGCCTCCGCAGGACCCCGACTAGCGACACGATGGCTTCTGGGCAATACAGCACGTCTACGGTGAAATCTTCAGGTTACTGAAAGGGACAAGTGGAAAGTTCCAGGTCATGCTGACCACAGCAGCAGGGCGAGGCCAGAGAGGCAGCGGTCATATGAGACTATTAGATGCCATTTAAACATTTGGGCCATTAGATGGAAAGGCAATTACTACGGTGAAAAAGGAGAACCCTTAGAGAAAGCTGCAAAAGACCGAAGCAAAAGAAAAAAATGTCCAGACTCACTGGTGTTCCTTAAAAAACCAGCTCTGGTTTTCGGCCTATCTAGAGGGCTTTGAATGACACAAAGCCTGAATCTGCCATGAACTTCGTGTTTCAGGTATCCGCTGATTTGTCTGCTGGCTTGCAGGGGTGGGCCTGTGTCCCTGGCCACCGCTGGACCTGTGGTTTTCAGGGCTGGGACCCAGGACCACAGGCAGAGCTCTGTTCCATCAGAGAGGGGACTGAGTGTGCTGGCAGGGGCGAGGGGTTTTCGGTGGCCCAGCCAAACACCACCTTCTCTCAAGTGCCCTGTCCTCATCCCAGAAGTGGTTGTTTTCCTCCGGTGGTCTCTGAAGGACACAGGGCATGGCTCTGGGACAGAGCCATGTGGTGACAACTGGAACGGGAGTATGCCTGTCTCCAGCAAGAGGGCTGTGGCTTGAAGGTCACCTTAAGAGGCACCCCTGTCCTTTGATGTCAGCCTGGAGGCCCAGAGTAACTCTTCTGGAAGCCCCATCATGTCCATGCCTGACAGCATCCATTGTTCCCTTTTCCCAGAGCCAAGAGCTGGGTAGAGCTGCAAGGACACCGCCTGCACAGGATGCCCGGGGCTGGGCATTACCTGCTGCAATGACAACATCTGGCTGGACGGCAGAGAGCTGACAGACCGTCGCGACGTCCCAGTCCAGCTGGGCCACTGTCACCCTGGGGCCGTCTAAGTTGGCAGTGATGTCTGCCTCTAATGAGAGGCCATTGAGAAGGACATTCCCTCGGAGCTGCTCGAGGACCCGGCTGTGACAGTCGCTGAAGATGTACGCCCGGGGGCGGCACATCTTGCAGATGGCCAGGCCTGTGAGGCCGGCGCCACTGCCAAGCTTTAGGACAGTCCTGGTGGGAGGAAAGGGGACCGTGTCTGTGACTGCACCAGGGTAAGCCTGCCTCGGTGCCCTGCCCTGCGCCCCGAGGTCACCTGTGAGTGAAGGCTGCTGGGTTCTCGGCCCATTCTGCAAGGTAGAGGGCAGCGTCCCATGTGACCAGGCCTGTGGTGCCGTGGGAGATGATGGCTGTGCTCTTGGAGAGTGTGACCGAGCCTCCCGAGGGCTGCACCAAGAGAGGGCGAGAGAGTCAGTCCAGCAATCAGAAGACAAGTGGCATAGAAGACAAGTAGCCATCCACCACATGGCTGAATAAACCATGACAGGACCAATCGCTACTCAGCAATGAGAAACAGCTAACTGTTGACATGCCATCAGCTTGCACAGGCCTCAAGGGTGTCATGTGGCATGAAAGACACTCATCTCAGGCCATACAGGATTCCATTCATTGAACATTCCTGAGACAACAGAATTCTGGCGATGGAGCACTGGTCAGTGGTGGCCAGGGGCCGGGTGTGGCTATGAAGGGGTGGCTGCCTTGTGATGATTCAATATGCTGTGTTTGTCCTTTGTGGTTTTCTGTATCTATGTTTTATGTTATTTTTTTTCAGTTCTGTCACCCAGGCTGGAGTCAGTGGCATGATCTTGGCTCACTGCAACCTCTGCCTCCTGGGTTCAAGCAATTCTCCTGCCTCAGTCGCCCAAGTAGCTGCGAGTACAGACACGTGCCGCCATGTCTGGCTAATTTTTGTACTTTTTTTTGAGACAGAGGTTCACTCTCGTTGCCCAGGCTGGAGTGCAATGGCCCGATCTTGGCTCACTACAACCTCCAGCTCCTGGGTTCAAGAGATTCTCCTGCCTCAGCCTCCAGAGTAGCTGGGATTGCAGGTGCTCATTACCACACCCTGCTAATTTTTGTATTTTTAGTAAAGATGGAGTTTCACCATGTTGGCCAGGCTGGTCTCAAACTCCTGACCTCAGGTGATACCCCTGCCTCAGCCTCCCAAAGTGCTGGGATTACAGGCATGAGCCACCACGCCCAGCCTAATTTTTGTATTTTTAGTAGAGACAGGGTTTCACCATATTGGCCAGGCTGGTCTCGAACTCCTGACCTCAGATCCACCAGCCTCGGCCTCCCAAAGTGCTGGGATTACAGGCGTGAGCCACCACACCCAGCCCTGTCAGGTGTTCTTTGAGGACTGGGCACCAGGTCCTTGTGAAGCAGGTAGTGTGTGCCACCCATTGGACAAATGCCCAACAACCGCACGAGGCATGATGTTGTTGTTGAAGTGCCTGATTTACAGACAGGGAAACTGAGGCTAAAGAAGGTTAATGGACCTCATATCTAAGACTGCAGAATGGGTGAGTCAGGATTTGAACCCACACCCACGTTTTCACTTTGTGCAGGAAGGGTATCTGGGCTGTGAGGGGGAGGAGGGTGCCCTTCTCATACCAGCAAATAGCTCCAGTGGCCCTGGGTGGACTCCTTGGCCATCAAAGTCTCCGCCAGCACCTCGTACAGCTCGTCCAAAGGCTCTGTGTGGACAGCCTCGTGCTGGGGGCAGGCTGAGTGAGAGCTTGTTTGCTTTCGTTCTAATCTGTAAAAATGGCCAGATGATTTTCGCCAGGTTTGGAGGGGAGATTTGGGATGGAATGGTGTAATACCGGCCAGCTGCCATATAAAATATTCACTTCATTGGGCGTGGTGGTGTGTGCCGAATAGTTCCAGCTACTCTAGAAGCTGACATGACAGGACTGCTTGAGCCCAGGAGTTCGAGGACAGCCTGGGCAAGAGACCTTATCTCTAAAAAAAAAATTCACTTGGTAGGGAAACCTGGATGGGAGGGCCTTCAACAAGAGGTGTTGAGAGGGTAGGGTTAGGTGTAGTCTAGGGCAGGAGACAAGAATTCCATGAGAGCTGCCACTTGACCATGACAGAGAGCTCTGTGTTTGGATCAAACACAGAGAGGAGGAAAACAAAAGGTGCTTTTAAGTGAGCCCAGGCAGAACTGTGAGGGCGGCCCATGCTGCAGGCTGTGGCTGTCAGCAGGCTGCTTCTCCACGGCTGGCCCCGTCCTAAGATTCACAGGGCAGCAACAGGGTACACTGGATGACCGCTGCCCTCTCCTGGTGGCACAGGGCAGACCTGCTGGTGACCACAGATGCAGCCTTTTGGGGAGGACTAGGGAGAAAGCAGGTATTGGAGAAGCAGGGGATTGTTTATTTGCTAAAAGTGTGGCCCTTTCACTCAGCAGGTCTGCTACTGCCTAGTGAGGAACGGCCTCTAGACATCCTCATGTCAAACCCTGCATGTTCAGGCCCATCTTTAAAATCCATCCTAGGCCAGGTGCAGTGGCTCTTGCCTGTAATCCCAGCACTTTGGGAGGCCAAGGCAGGTGGATCACCTGAGGTCAGGAGTTCGAGACCAGCCTGGCCAACATGGTGAAATTCTGTCTCTATTAAAAATACAAAAATTAGCCAGGCATGGTGGCGTGTGCCTGTAGTCCCAGCTTCTTAGGAGGCTAGGCATGAGAGCTGCTTGAACCCAGGAGGCAGAGGTTTCAGGGAGCCGAGATTATGCCATGGTAATCCAGCCTGGGCAACACAGTGAGACTGTCTCAAAAAAATAAATAAATAAGTAAAAAATAAAATCCATCCTGTATCAGTCAGGAAAGAGCTCATTCCAGCAGGATCAATGCAGAGAATTCACCAGAGGAACTAGTTCCAAAGGTGTGGCAAGAGCTAAACCTTCCAACAGGGGCCTGTGGGGCAACCCAGAGATGGACAAGAGCAGGAAACTCCAAACCCTTTGGCGGGCAGGACAGAGGGTGTGGGTGCGGGTTCCAGTGCTGTTTGCTGGGCCAGCCTGGTAGGAATGAGAATCCATATGCTAGGAGCTGGGGCTCCAGAGAAGCAGCTGCTGCGGAAACCCCAGGAGGCAGAGTGAGGGAGAGACGCTGGCCTCCCCTTCTTCCCGCCCTGCACTGTCTCCCATGGGTCACACGCAGTTGCAGCCAGTTGCCTGGGGAGACCCCTGCCATGCTGGGGTTTGCAAAGCAGGCCCAGAGACTGGGAAGGACGGGGGCTCCAGCACGCAGGTGGCTATGCTGTCCCACTACTCTGCGGACACTGCCCATAACTGACCTTTTTCATGAGTTCTGAGAGAAAGCACCGGGCATACTTGACTGACGGCGGGTGCTTCACACACACAGGATGCTTCACAGTCTATGGCAAAGGACAGAACGTTGGTTGCTGGGGAGAGCCCATCTGAAGTCTCCTATGAGCTTCAAGCCAACACAGCAGAGGGCAAACTCCAGGCTACCCGATCCCTCAGCAAAGATGTAGATGGACACAGCGTTCTGGCCCCACGCATCTGAAGTTTGTCTTAAGATATAAGCCGTTTCCTAAAAATGCTTCCACTGCAGTGGCACAGGCTATGGCAGCATTTCTAATGCCCATTCTGAGCAGGAACACAGGGCATGTGGGCCCAAACCACCTCCCTCCCAGGGGAGCCAGTGTGAACCAGGGTTTGCAGTAAGGACAGTCGCCAACTGTCTGGCTCTATGGAAGAGGCGGGAAGGCCCACTCAGCAACTGCTCTCTTGGAGCATCTGTCCCTGGGGACAGGATGGAGGGGAAGGGACGCTCAGGGTGACACTCCAGCTAAAGCCAAGAGAAGCCAAGTGCAGGACGAGCAAGTTCCAGGCAGTGGGAACAGCCGGTGTAAGCTCTGAGGTATCCACGGCCTAGCACATGGAAAGGAGGGCAGAGGGACTGGTGCAGCAGGAGTGGGGACGGTGGGAAAACAGGAGTCTGGAGGGAGAGGGAGGAGATGGTCCGCAGCACCTGCTGGCTGGGAGGGATGCAGATTCTGCCCAAGGGCAGAAAAGTACCCCACGCAATACACAGGCCCTTCAGGCTGGTGCTGGTTTTTCATTTTTTCTGACACAGTCTCGTTGTGTTGCCCAGGCTGGAGTGCAGTGGCCCGATCTTGGCTTATGGCAGCCTCCACCCCCCGGGTTCAAGCGATTCTCCTGCCTCAGCCTCCCGAGTAGCTGGGACTATAGGCGTGCAAAACCACACCCAGCTAATTTTTGTATTTTTAGTAGAGATGGGTTTTTGCCATGTTGGCTAGAGTGGTCTCGAACTCCTGACCTTAGGTGATCCGTCCACCTCAGCTTCCCAAAGTCCTGGGATTACAGGTGTGAGCCAGTGCACCCAGCCTTGTGCTGGGTTTTAAAGCAGCTCTCCCCACATTTCATGCTTCACCACCTACGAGAGTGAGGCTCAGGGTGAAACTCAGAGCAGGGTGCGAGATAACTTCAGGTATCTCCATGCTTGAAGCCCTGACCTACTGTATTGCCCCGAAAGTCTTCCCTGCTGTGGCTGCATCTTTTCCACGTGGATAATCTTGGTTCACCTCTAGCACAGGAATTCTTCCCCGGGGCTCCTAGGATGGGCTGGGTGGGTGAGGGTGGAGGATGTCTGCCTCCCCTGAGTTTGTATGGAAAATGTATTCTTCTGGTGCACTTCTTTCTGGGAGGGAGTCTATTGCTTTGTCTTTTCAGAAGGGCTGATGGCCCTTCGAAGGTGAAGACCCAGGATGCAGGGTGATCTGCACTTGGCCCTCAAGGCCAAGGTCAGGCTGCGGCTGGGCCGGGTGGTGATCCTGCCTCTCACCTGCATGCAGATGCTCTTGAGTCCAAACCCCACCCTGGGCAAAGCAAGGGCCCATTTAGGTTTAGAAGAGACAGGAGTGGGCAGGACAGGCCTCATGAATGCAAAAAAGAAAGTCTCTGAGCATCTACCAAATGCTAGAAGCTGTCTTGCACCTGTCATCTCTGTTTTTGCTGTGGATGGTTTAAAAAACTTTCCCTAGATTCCCCCCTCTCATGCAGATTTTTGTATATTCTGATGTCTTTGTCTAAGTCTTAGAAAATGAAAGAGCTGGAGCCGTCGGAGGTGCCCACACCCACCTGCAGTGCTGACTCAATGGTTTTGTTCTTTGAACAGGGGTGTTTTTAAAGGGTACAAGCACACCTGCGGTTCTTCTCTCAGGTCTTCCGGAGAGATTCAGGAGGCAGAGTCATGAGTCCCAGGGACTCTGGGATTCTTACCTTCTGCAAAATATCCCGCCGCAGCTCAGAATCTGATGAGTCTCTTAACTTTGCTTCTAAGCTCTGTGTGGAGGGGAGAGAGAGAAATCTCAAGGGTGCATTCACAAGAACATTAAACACGCAATAGAATGTGTTGGCAAAGCACTGTGTGATCTCTCCCTGGGGACGTGGAGCCAGTTGGAAGTGGAAGCCACAGCAGCTGAAAGCCTGACATTCAGATGCCGCAGGGTGCACCTGGATGAGTCACAGGAAGAAGGCTAGAAGAGTGACTCTTGGCCGCATTAGTCCTGGCTACTTAGCTGCCACCCAGGTCATGGGCCAGCTCCCTGGTTGCACTGGTCAGCCAGGAATTACCAGGGCAGCCATGGCACCAAGGTTTGATGGGCTTGCCATCTGAGTTTAAGTGGAAATGCAGAATGTGCCCATACCAGCCTGGGTTACATTGTCCTCTTACAGGGGCCTCAAGCCCAGCAGCGAACTTGGGCTCCCGACTTAGGCAGACTGTCTCGGCTGGTATGTGACACAGGGCAAGGCACTTCATTGCTTCAGAGCTCCTTCCATGCTGTGAAAGGCCCTACAAGACCTGGTCCTAATCCCTCTCTCTGGCCTGTTCTCCCTCACCCCTGGCCCACCCTGCTCACTCCACTCCAGCCACACTGGCTGCCTTGCTGTTGTTCCTCAACCACAGCTGGCTTGTTTCCACCACAGGGCCTTTGCATATCCTGTTCCCCAAGCCCTTCCCATGGCTGGCTGCTTCACCAGTCAGGCCCCAGTTTAAATGCCACCTCTTTGGGGAAGGCTTCCCTGATTCCCCGACTTTGGTGACTCTTCTCCCCAGTTGCTCCATTCACCATTTCCCTGTTTTATTGGCTTTAGAGCCACTCTCATCTGGTCTTTTCTTGTTTATTCATTTCTTTGTTTATTCTCTGGCTCTCCCATGCAAGCAGAGCCTCATCTGTCATGGGTACTGCTGATCCATGGTGCCAGGCTCACGGAAGGCATTTATTAAACATTTCGAGACTGAATAAAAACACTAGCTAACACCGACATGCATTTACCATGAGCCAGGCACTGATCCACAGGCTTTTGTACTCAACCCTGACAACAACCCTAAGAGGTAGCTATCATTATATCCCCCATTTTATTAAGAAAAAAACAACAGCACAGAGAGATGCAGTCACTTGCCCAAGGTCACACAGGGCCAGGGGCTGGGCCAGGATTGGAAGCAGACAGGCTGTCTCCTGGGTCTGAACTCTCAACTACTGCACCCTAATCAAACAATCCCTCTGGTCAAATGTGAGTGATAATAATAGTACCCACCTCGTGGGTGTTGAGGGTGAGCCCAAGTTAGCATTCAGCGTGGGCATGTGAACAATTATAGTCAATATTGAATGGAGACCTATGATGCTTTTAGGAAGGTTTCTATTTAGGGTTAAAAACGCACAAATTTCTCCTGACCAGAAATGATCTCTGAGTGCAAATATTTCATGTCAATGGAATAACGCAAACGATTAAGCAACACCCCATAAAATGGGGCAGACCCAGGGAGGAATATATATCCAAACTGACTCATCCCAGTGAGCTCACCGCACATGAATTACAAATGTGTCCGGGTGCATTAAGCTCCTCTGCTGGCAGAAGGGAGGCTGCTGCCTGCCATGCGCCTGTGCTGAGAATGGGAGGTCCCCAGGGAGACAAGAGGCCACCCCCTTCTCTGTCTCTTCCATCACAGGCGTGAGAGCCTCAGCGCATGAGCCGATTCTGTGCAGTGCTCGACATACAGATGAGAACACTGAGGCACGAGGGACAGCCTGTGACCTGGTCACCGCACTCAGGAGGACGTGGTTACCTGCGGTCCTGAGGGCGCTGACTTTTTAGAATGGGCGAGGGCAGCTGTGTCGCAGTGACCAGAACGATTACTGCCTTTAAAAAGTCGTGAAAATGATCGTGAACTGTACCCCACAACGAGCGCGCGTCTGCCCCCCAAGACGGTGGAGACGCCCCCAGCTTACGCCGCCAGCCCGCGGGGCAGGAGGGGTGCGAGCGACTCTGGCCAGGCCCCAGGGACGGGGACCGGGTCGCGCCGACCTGACCGGCGGGAGCCCAGGCACTCACGTGGCGGGAGCGCCGGGGGCTTCAGCACGGAGACACATCCCGTCTGCCCCTGGACTCCCGCGAGCCCCGCGGGCCTCTCCGCTCGCCCCGCCGCCCACCTGCCAGGGGAAGGAGCGCAGTGAGCGCGCCGCCAGGAAGCGGCGCTCGAAACTCTGCAGCAAGAGTTCTGTCCCCGCGTTCTCCTAGGGCGCCATGGCGTGGGCGGGGCCGCAGCGTTGCCGGGAGACCGGGCGGAAGCCGGGCCTGGACTGAAGAGGGGGCGGGCCCAGGGTAGTGCGCAGGGGCAGAGAGGGGGCGGGGCCCGGGGGCAGGGTCAGGAGGAGAGTGGTGGTGGCGTTTCTAAGGTGGGGCCAGGATGAGCGTCATGAGGGCGAGGCCTGGGGAGGGCCAGGATAAGCGTTGTTGGGGCAGGTCCTGGGGAGAGTTCAGGTTGGCGGGTCCTGGGGCGGGGTCGGGACAGGGTGATCCTGGAAGCGGGGCTTCGGAAGCGTCCAGGTTGGCGGGTCCTGGAGGCGGGGCCTTGCGTGGGGGCAGGATAAGAGTCCTGGAGGCGGGCGTTAGGGTGGGGGTAAACGATGATTGGGTTCAGGAGGTGAGACTCGGAGCAGAGCCCAGGAGACAGGTCTTAGGGCGGGGCTAAGGTCAGACCCTGAGAAGGGCTCAGGAGGCGGGGCCAGGGTGGGGCGTTGATATGTCGTAGCACGTGGCCAGGCGGTGCTCGGACTCTGGGAGGCGGAGCTTAGGACGGGCCGACGTGGGGAGGGGCCCAGGGTCCGGGAGGCAGGGCCGAGTCTGGGCTGCGGGCTGCACTCAGGAGGCGGGCCCTGGGAGGCGGAGCTTAGGGAGGGGCCGGTGTCGGGAGGGACCAAGGGACTGGGAGGAGGGTCGGGGCTGGGCTCAGGGGCCGAGAGGGAGCTGGGCTTGGGGAGGGGCCGAGACAGATCGAGGGGTCCGGGGTGTGAGAAACGGGGAGGGGTTTGAGGAGGGGATTGGAGTGTGGCTCAAGTTCGGGAGGCTTTACCTGCGGAGGGTTTGAGGCAGGTCCAGGAGCGAGCCCACGGTCTGCTGACACGGGGCCAGGGGCGGGCCCCAGGATTCGGAGCTTCGGGCGGGGCCGAGTCCGGGTTTGGGGCCCGGGAGGCGGGGCCGGTTAGGGCAAGGGTCCCCGAGATCATCGGGTCAGGCCTTGGGCCAACGTAGGCACTCTCGCAGTTCCTCCGCCTTCAGGAAGGTCTTTTTGGCAGGGGCCTTACGGGTGCGCGCTTCGGTCCTGGAGGCGTTATCCTAGCCTCCTCTCCATCAGCGCCACCCGTCTGGGGCCCGATAGGAGGGAGATTTCCCTCTGTCCCCCAGCCTTTGGACTGTCACCAAACAAGCCATTCGTTCACCAAATACTTATTAAGCGCCTACCATGTGTCTGGCAAGGGAGATGTAACAGTGAGAAAAACTAGGTGTGGTCCAGGCCCTCCAGGGGCTCAGGGGCTCGTGGAAGAAGTAGACATTGAAGTACTTATCACACAAATGAGTATAAAAGTACAATAGCGATATCTGCCACGAAGGCGAGCAGACAGAGCTAGCGGGGCTTGCAGGAGGAGTTTTGATCTTGCAGGGATAGGAAGGAGGACTTAGTTCCTGCGGGGTGGGCTTGGGGGTGGTGGTGATAGAGACGTGGGGACAGAGTGGAAAACAACAAAAATATAATTATTTTAGTTCAAAGTTATTGTGTCTTGAGTTGAAAGGCAGGGCAGTTAGCAACACAGTTCAGATTTCAGTACTGCCCCTGAAATCTGAACTGTGTTCAAAGTCTAAAACGTTTACCTTAGCAAATCCCTCATAAAACTCCATTTGGAAGAGTCCCGAGAGCGAATTTGTTAAGTATACTTGCAAAAGGTAGATGAGGAGACAGATAAAATCTTATTACCTCTTTCAGATGAGAGGCACTTGAGCCCTGCTCAGCTATGAGAATAAGAGAGGGGAATTAATTCTAATTGAATACACTTGTTCTCTTATAGCTGTTGTTCCACACCAGAACCAAATGAACGCAAGATCTGACAAAGAAAAAAAGAGGTTCATCTTTTATTCCCCCAAACCCTTTCATTTAAATCAAGAGGGTGGGATGTGGTTATTGCTGTGTTTTTAGGCAGAATCAACGGTTTCTGGGTCTGAGATGTTGCATACACCCTCTCAGTCCCTGTATCCTGAGATGGAGTCACCTGAGAATCCACAGCAAGTCCTAACCAGGGATGGGTCTGGGTGATTAAGGAAGGTTGGCTTCAGAACTGGGCCAGGGGCACTGCTTTGCTTTTGCTGTTTTGATCAGCTCTCTGCCTGCAGGAGACAAGGAAAACCAATGGGAACAGGTTAGTTATACTCATAAATCCTGGGCTTATTTTATTAACTCACATAATAGCTATTAATTGTCTTTCCTCCAAGGAGCAAAAGGGCATATACGGTCAATTCCATAGTAAGTAACACTGTATTATGTTATACTAAAATATTAATCTAGGTTTGTTCAGTCTTTCCTGATTCCGTAGATTGGAAGCGGATTGAAGAAGGACGCTAGTGGACCACAGAGCTGAGCCATGCACACAGAAGAAATCTTTTTTTCTTTTTTTTTTTTGGAGACGGAGCTTTGCTCTCTTGTTGCCCAGGCTGGAGTGCAATGGCGCGATCTCGGCTCACTGCAACCTACACCTCCCAGGTTCAAGCGATTCTCCTGCCTCAGCCTCCTGAGTAGCTGGGATTACAGGCGTGAGCCACTATGCTGGGCCATTTTTGTATTTTTAGTAGAGACAGGGTTTGAACACGTTGGCCAGGCTGGTCTCAAATGCCTGATCTCAGGTGATCCACCCTCCTCTGCCTCCCAAAGTGCTGGGATTACAGGCGTGATCCACCGCGCCTGGCCAGAAGAAATCTTTATCTTGGTGTGCAGTCTCTGGTGAGGGACAAATGTCATCTCTCTTGGATCTGAATCTGGAAGGATCAAGGCACTGAAGGGATTTTTTTGTTTCAGAGAGTCTCCCTCTGTTGCCAGGCTGGAGTGCAGCGGCACGATCTCAGCTCACGGCAACCTCTGCCTCCCGGACTCAAGCGATTCTTCTGCCTCAGCCTCTCGAGTAGCTGGGACTACAGGCACGCGTCACCACGCCCAGCTAATTTTTGTATTTTTAGTAGAGACAGGGTGTTACCATGTTGGCCAGGATGGTCTCAATCTCTTGACATCATGATCCACCTGCCTTGGCCTCCCAAAGGGCTGGGATTACAGGCGTGAGCCACCATGCCCGGCCTCACTGAAGGGATTTTTTTAATGTCACGTGGCTCTCACAGGTGCAGTGTGTTCGGGTGCAAGTGAAGATTACGACTGATGCTTAAAAACAAACGTAAAATTCCAGGTGGTGTTGTTATGGGGCGCAGCATTAGGACAATCTGAGTGGTTTCAGTTGCAAGAGTGTGCGTGTACGTGCAAGAGCTACAGTCAAGATTCAACTTCTGGCTTTGAGGTCTCTTTAATAACAGTAATAGCAACCTAAGTCAGTTTAACAGTATGGAATGGTTGCCTTTTAGAAGTTAAGCTATGGGCATGGAAGTTCAATCAGTACATTGAAGTTTTTCCTTTATCTCTTCTATGGTTAATGGTTTCTGCAGAAAAGGACCAATTGATTTCTTACTAAAACGTTGCTTCAGGGTGTAGAGACCTTTATAGGTCATGTGTCAACTTACAAAAAATTTTTATAGTTCAAATATGAATTACGTTCAATGTAGACTTTGTAATAGAATTGAAGGTTAAGTAAAGTTTCCACTTTCCTTAGGCTGTTTGCAGTGCCCAGCAGGCCCCATCATATCGAGATGGAAGTTATGTTAAAGGAGGAGGTTGGTCAGGGATGGGTAGAATAAGGAATATGCGCAGCTCAGGCTAATGATACAATTATTGAGGTGTAGAAAGAGGGCCAGGCATGGGATAACGCCTGTAATCCCAGTGCTTTGGGAGGCCAAGGCAAGAGGATCGCTTGAGGTCAGACCAGCCTGGTCAACAGAGTGAGACCTAACCTGTACAAAAAAAAAACACACACAAAAAAACAAAAAAATTACGTGGGCATGATGATGTGCACCTGTAGTCTCAGCCACTTGGAAGGCTGAGGTCAGGGGATCCCTTGAGCCCAGGAGTTTGAGGCTGCAGTAAGCTATAATCACATAACTGTACTCCAGCCTGGGTGACAGGGTGAGGCCCTGACTCAAAAAAAAAATCGAGTCAGGGAAAAAATTGGAAATCTTAATCCTCAGTACCCAGGAATGTGACCTTATTTGGAAATAGGGTCTTTCTAGATGTAATCAAGTAATGATGAGTCATCCTGGATTGGGGGCTGCTGGTGAGGGGGCAGATGCAATGACTGGTGTCCTTATAAAAGAAGAGAATGAGGGCTGGGCATGGTGGCTCATGCCAGTAATCTCAGCACATTTTGGGAGGGTGAGGTGGGGGGATCACTTGAAGTCAGGAGTTCGAGACCAGCCTGGCCAATAATAACAATAAAAAAGCCATTTTAAATTCCAATCCACTGAAAGAAAACTGTCCCTTAGTTAATGTCGTGCTTATTGGATCCATGAAGTCTTTGAAAATTTAAACTACAAGGACACTGCTCTCTGTGGTGGTGGAGAGAATACCAAGGATTTAAAGGTCTTTAAGAAAGAGAATGTAGAAATCGTACCCATTGGAAACAGCAAGATGATGATAATCGTACTGACAGTAATAATAAGCTCAAATATATAGAGCTTACTATGTATCATGAATTGTTCTGAATGCGTCATAAATATACGTTCCCTCCTTTACCCTCATGGCAGCCCAGTAAAGGCGCCATTCCCCATTTTACAGCTGGGGAAACTGAATTACAGAGCTTTTCTGCACTGAATCATCAGGAGCAAATGCTAGATCAGGTAATTGAACCCAAGCAATCTGGTTCCAGAGGCAAATAGATGTATTTTTTATGGTATAAAAACATACACATACATTTTTAGGGGAAGGGTGGGGGTAGGATGGGATGAGGATTCTGGGTAATTGCTTGGTAAATGCCAAATACCTTTCTTGTCTGTCCCTCTTTTCAAATGATAATGTCAATTGCAGCACTTTTTTTTTTTTTTGAGACAAGGTCTAGCTGGAGTACAGTGATGCAGTCATAGCCCACTGCAGCCTCAAATTCCTGGGCTCAAGCAATCCACCCATATCAGTTTCCCAAGTAGTTGGGACTACAGGCCCACACTACTATGCCCAGCTAATTATTTTAATTTTTGTAGAGATGGCAGGTGGCGGTGTGGGGGTGTCTCTCTATGTTGTCCAGGCTGGTCTCGAACCCTTGACCTCAAGCGAACCTCCTGTCTCAGTCACACAAAGCTCTGGAATTATAGGTGTGAGCCACTGTGGCTGGCTACAATACTATTTATTTATATTTTGGACCAACAGATATTCTAGCATATAAGAAATGTTATGCTCTCTGTACATTGAAGAGTTGGTCTAATATTTGGCCTGGTGGATACAGAAATTGCCTGTCTGCTCTGCTCTGGTTGAAGAAATAAGTCCGACTGTCTCCGAGGCTATGGAGCAGTCCATCAAGAATAAAAGCCCTCTGCCAGGCACGTTGCCTCACACCTGTAATACCAGTACTTTGGGAGTCCTAGGCAGGTGGATCACTTGAAGTCAGGAGTTTGACACCAGCATGGCCAACATGGTGAAACCCTGTTTCTACAAAAAATAGAAAAATTAGCTGGGCCTGGTGATACGTGCCTGTAATCCCAGCTACTCAGGAGGCTGAGGCAGGAGAATCACTTGAACTTGGGAGGCAGAGGTTGCAGTGGGGAGCTGAGATCACACCATTGCATTCCAGCCTGGGCGACAGAGCGAGACTCTCTCAAAAAAAAAAAAAAAAAAAAAAAAAAAAGAATGTCCTCATGATGGCCTCAAGCACATTGGTCCCTGAAGAGAGTCAAGGAAGGCCCACTTTACTCTGCACTGCAAAGCAAGCAGGTGTACAGGGATCTGAGAAGTGGATTCAGTGAGAGGCATTGACCGAAAGGATTTTCTGCCTTATGGTCAGTTCAGCAGAAGATTAAACTGAGCACAGCATCCTGCTCCCTGAAACCATCTGGTTGGTCAGTGGGGAATGTTCTTGTCTCGTTAAATGTCCTCATGCTACTGTCAAGATATCCTGTTACAAAACGTCATAAACCACGTTTACAAATAGGCCAGGTGACTGTGGAATTTCTCCTTGGCAAGGCTTTAGCTATGGGCGTGCGATTGGTGTGCAGTAATCAGTGTTCCGGGCCACTTGAGGGATAAAATATACCTTAGGTGATAAACTGTTGTATTTTAATGTGAATATTTCCACCAACATTAAACAGTAACCGCATGAGTTTTCTCATACCTGTTACACTCTGGAGTTGCAACAAGCTGACATGAAGCAAGTTGCAAACAAAATTATCGCATTTGGCTCCTATTCACAGCAAGGGTTCTTCAAGCTGTACCTGGGACAGTCTTCCCTCACATGAGGTTTATAGCATCATTTATTTAATTATTTATTTATTTTTTGAGACGGAGTTTTGCTCTGTCGCCCAGGCTGGAGTGCAATGGTGCGATCTTGGCTCACTGCAACCTCCGCCCCCCCGGGGTTCAAGCGATTCTCCTGTCTCAGCCTCCCGAGAAGCTGGGATTATAGGCACCCGCCACCACACCTGGCTAATTTTTGTATTTTTAGTAGAGACGGGGTTTCACCATGTTGACCGGGCTGGTCTCAAACTCCTGACTTCAGGTGATCCACCCGCTTCAGCCTCCCAAAGTGTTGGGATTTCTGGTGTGAGCCACAGCGCCCGGCTATAGCATCATTTAAACTTTGTTTCTGCCATGAATTGTTAGTTGGTAGTTAACAAAAAATAGACAACCTCATTTGTCTCATAGTTAGCATTGGTTTTTGTGTTTTCTTTAGGCTCGCTTTTTAATAGTTTTTAAAATTGTGAAACAGGGTCTTGTTCTGTTGCTGAGGCCAGAGTGCAGTGACACAATCTTGGCTCGCTGCAGCTTCAACCTCCTGGGCTCAAGCAATCCTCCCACTTTAGCCTCCTGAGTAGCTGGGACTACAAACATGAGCCACCACCGCTGGCTAATTTTTAATTCTTAATTTTTTTTTTTTTTGAAATGGAGTTTCGCTCTGTCGCCTAGCAGGTTGGAGTGCAGTGGTGTAATCTCGGCTTACTGCAACCTCCACCTCTCGGGTTCAAGCGATTCTTCTGCCTCAGCCTCGGCACCCACAACCATGCCTGGCTAATTTTTAAAAAATATTTTTAGTAGCGACAGGGTTTCACCATGTTGGCCAGTCTGGTCTTGAACTCCTGACCTCAAGTAATCCACCTACCTCAGCCTCCCAAAGTGCTGGGATTACAGGCGTGAGCCACCACTCCAAGCCTAAGTTTTAAATTTTTTGTAGAGACCAGGTTTTGCCATGTTGTCTAGGCTGGTCTTGAACTCCTGGGCTCAAGTGATCCTCCTGCCTTGGCCTCTCAAAATGCTGGGATTACAGGCATGGCCGTTATGTCTGGCCCTTAAAGCTGCTTTTTAATAACAGCTTTATTGAAAGATAATTCATATACCATACAATTTACCCATTTAAAGTGTATCATTTGGACGGGCATGGTGGCTCACACTTGTAATCCCAGCATTTTGGGAGGCTGAGGTGGGAGGATCGCTTGAACCCAAGAGTTTGAGATGAACCCAAGCAACATGGCAAAACCCTGTCTCGACCAAAAATACAAAAAAATTAGTTGGGCATGGTGGTGTGTGTCTGTAGTCCCAGCTACTCAGGAGGCTGAAGTGGGAGGATGGTTTGAGCCTGGGAGGTGGATGGTGCAGTGAGTTGAGATTGTATCACTGCACTCCAGCCTGGGCAACAGAGCCAGACCCTGTCTCTAAATAAATAAATAAAGTGTATAATTCAGTGGTTTTTAATATGTTCACAGAGTTCTGCAGCCATCATCACCATCAATTTTAGAAATTTTACCCCAGAAGAAACCCTGTATCCATTAGCAGTCACCCCTTATTTCCCTCCAACTATCCCCACCCCTGGCTCCTGGCAACCATTAATCTACTTTCTGTTTCTTTGGATTTTCATATTCTGGGCATATATATGTATATATAGAATCATCTAATATTTGTCTGGCTTCTCTCACTTAGCCTAATGGTTTCAAGGTGTATCCAGGTTGTAGCATGAATCAGCCCTTCATTCCATATTGTGGCTGATTAATGTTCCATCACACGGGTGGACTGTACTTGTTTGCTTATTCATCTGTTGTTAATAGGCATTTGTGTTGTTGCCACCTTTTGACAATTATGGATAATTTTGCTACGAGCATCTGTGTGTGTCTTTGTAGGAACAGGCTTGCATATTTTTTGATATGGGCAAATGAGAACCAGCGGCAGGGGGCCTCTGTGGTGACTTTTTTGGTGGTCTTCGTGTACTCTGTATAATGATCAGCCACTCAGGCTTGGGGGCAGCACTTAACCCTGCATTTCTTTCTTTTTTTTAAGATAGGGTCTCTCTCTCTGCCACTCAGGCCACAGTGCAGTTGACGCAGGGCAGGGGAGCCCCGAAGTGGAGCATAGTGTGTCCAGAACTGGTGGGTTCTTGGTCTCACTGACTTCAAGAATGAAGCCACAGACCCTCGGGGTGAGTGTCACAGTTCTTAAAGGCGGCTTGTCTGGAGTTTGTTCCTTCTGATGCTCGGATGTGTTCAGAGTTTCTTCCTTCTGGTGGGTTTGTGGTCTCGCTGGCTTCAGGAGTGAAACTGCAGACCTTCATGGTGAGTGTTACAGCTCTTAAGGTGGCGTGTCTGGAGTTGTTTGTTCCTCCCGGTGGGTTCATAGTCTCGCTGGCTTCAGGAGTGAAGCTGCAGACCTTCGAAGTGAGTGTTACAGCTCATAAAGGCAACGTGGACCCCAAGAGTGAGCAGCAGAAAGATTTATTGCAAAGAGCAAAAGAACAAAGCTTCCACAGTGTGGAAAGGGACCCCAGAGGGTTGCCACTGCTGGCTGGGGCAGCCTGCTTTTATTCCCTTATCTGGCCCCACCCACATCCTGCTGATTGGTCCATTTTACAGAGAGCCGATTGGTCTGTTTTACAGAGAGCTGATTGGTCTGTTTTGACAGGGTGCTGATTGGTGCGTTTACAATCCCTGAGCTAGACACAAAAGTTCTCCAAGTCCCTACTAGATTAGCTAGACACAGAGTGTCAATTAGTGCATTCACAAACCCTGAGCTAGACACAGGGTGCTGATTGGTGTGTTTACAAACCTTGAGCTAGATACAGAGTGTGGATTGGTGTATTTACAATCCCTTAGCTAGACATAAAGATTCTCAAAGTCCCCACCAGACTCAGGAGCCCAGCTGGCTTCACCAAGTGGATCCCTCACGGGGGCCGCAGGTGGAGCTGCCTTCCAGTCCTGCGCCCTGTGCTGGCACTCCTCAGCCCTTGGGTGGTCGATGGGACTGGGCGCCCTGGAGCAGGGGGCAGTGTCCATTGGGGAGGCTTGGCACTCATCGGGGAGGCTCAGGCCACGAAGGAGCCCACGAGGGTTGGGGGGAGGCTCAGGCATGGCAGGCTGCATGTCCCGAGCCCTGCCCTGCAGGGAAGCAGCTAAGGCCCTGCGAGAAATTGAGCAAAGCAGCTGCTGGCCCAGGTGCTAAGCCCCTCACTGCCTGGGTCCAGTGGGGTGGCAGGCCAGTCTGAGTGCAGGGCCCAGTGAGCCCATGCCCACCCGGAACTCACGCTGGCCTGCAAGCACCACCCCCAGCCCCGGTTCCTGCCAGCACGTCTCCCTCTACACCTCCCCGCAAGCTGAGGGTGCGGGCTCCAGCCTCGGCCAGCCCAGGAAGGGGCTCCCACAGTGCAGCGGCAGGCTGAAGGGCTCCACAAGTGCCGCCGAAGTGGGAGCCCAGGCAGAGGAGGCGCCGAGAGTGAGTTCGAAGGCTGCCAGCATGCTGTCACCTCTCAATAGCACGTGAGGGTTCTTGTCTTTACCCAGGAAAGAATTCAAGGGCAAGCCGGAGGTTTAGAAGAAAACAGCTTTATTGAAGAGGCAGGATTAGAGCCCTGTGACTGCTCCTGTAGGGCAGGGTTACCCTGGAGGCAGAGAGTAGCGGCAGAGAGTTTGCAATCACATTTATACTCACTTTTAATTGCATGCAGATTAAAGGGCAGTTTATGCAGGAATTTCTAGAAAATGGGTAGTAACTTTTGAGTCATTGGGTCATTTCCATGGAAAGGGGCAGTAACTCCCGGGTGTTACCTTGACAATAGTAAACTCACATGGCACACTGGTGGGCATGTCTGATGGAAAGCTGCTTCTGCCCCAGCCCTGTTTTAGCTAGTCCTCAATTTGGTCTGGTGTCCAAGCCCTGCCTGTGGAGTCAAGTCCTGCCTCCTATCTCACAGTGGCGTGATCATGGCTCACTGCAGACTCAACACCCCCGGGCTCAAGCAGTTCTCCCACCTCAGCCTCCTGAGTTGCTGGGACCACAGGCACGTGCCACTATGCCCAGCTATAGTTTTGCATTTTTTGTAGAGATGGTGTTTCACTGTGTTGCCTAGGCTGGTCTCAAACTCCTGGGCTCAAGCAATCTACCTACCTTAGCCTTCTAAAGTGCTGGGATTACAGGTGTGAGCCGCTGCACCCAGCCCAAGCTTACATTTTTAATCTCAAGTCACTTCTCTCTAGGTTTTGATTTCTTCTTTAAAGTGGTGGAACTAAGAGCATCTATTTTATAGGGTTGTTGGGAAGACAAAAATGAAAGAACTGTTATTCAATGTTTAGTGAAGCGCTGTGCACAATTTTGAATAATGAAGTTGGTGTTTATTTTTTATTATTTGTTTATTTATTTTTTAGAGACGGGGTCTTGCTCTGTTGCTCAAGCTGGAGTGCAGTAGTGCAACCACAGCTTAGTGCGGACTTGACCTCCTGGGCTCAAGAAATCCTGCCACCTCAGCCTCCTGAGTAGCTGGGACTACAGGCATGCATCGCCATGTCTGGCTATTTATTTATTTGTTTGTTTTTTGTAGAGATGGGGTCTCCCTATGTTGCCCGGGCTGGTCTTGAACTCCTGGCCTTAAGCAGTCCTCCTGTCTTGGCCTCCCAAAGCACTGAGATTACAGGTGTGAACCACCATGGCCAGCCTTATTTTTATTTTTAAATCAGCCTTATCAAGTTGAATTGGTCATTAATCTTGTATAACAGTAATTTGGGGCAGCATTGGTTGGGCAGAGGGTGGGAAACATTTAGGACCCTGTGGGCTACAACTCGTAGTGTGTGCGCTTATTTTATTTTATTTTGTTTTATTATATTATATTATATTATATTATATTATATTATATTATATTATATTATATTACATTATATTTTTTTGAGACAGGGTCTCACTCTGTTGCCCAGACTGGAGTGCAGTAGCATGATCTTGGTTCACTGCAACCTCTGCCTCCCAGGTTCAAGCGATTCTCCTGCCTCAGCCTCCAGAGTAGCTGGAACTACAGATGTGCACTACCACGCCCAGCTAATTTTTGTATTTTTAGTAGAGATGGGGTTTCACCATGTTGGCCAGGCTGGTCTCAAACTCCTGACCTCAGGTGATACACCTGCCTCAGCCTCCCAAAGTGCTGGGATTATATTCGTGAACCACCGTGCCTGGCTGTGCACTTATGTTTGATTTTTGCAGAACCACCCTTCCCTAATGGTTGTCTCCTAGATCCAAGGTGACTTTATTCATTTTAGAATGAACTTACCCCATTGATAGTGTAACCAGAGTTGGCATACATCACGATTGGCAGAACCCGGTCATGTTTAGTGAGATGGAAGTGTTCTGGAAACTCCTCCTTCTTGTAGACGTGGAGGTGAGGGTACGCATTCTTCAGTGCCTGGTAAAGGGCTTCCTCTTGCCCCCATTTGGGCAGGGGCTTCCCAAAGCCAACGTAGCCCACAATATCAAACTTGACCAAGTCCCTGAACTTGATGTAGTTGGACAAGGGATCTTGTTGACGTTGGGTCTCTTCTTCACGGTGGTCACCCCATGGTCTCATGTGATGATGATGCTGAGGTGCTCTGCAGGCTGTGCTTCTCTGTGGCTCCCACTAGATACCCGATGGTCCTGCCGATTTGCTGAATCATCAACTTCCTGTTCTCTGCTTCTGGCCCGAATCGATGTCCCACGTTATCTGGCTCTCTGTAGCACAGAGTCACAAAGCCAAAGTCTTCCTTGGTGAACCAGTTCATGACGGTATCGACGTTCTCCCTCCGCTCTGTCTCGTTGCTGTTTGGGTGAGTGTAGGACTCCACAAGGGACCGCTTGACAGCCTCACCCTCGAATTTAGCACCTCCCTTGGAATAGTGGAATGATGCCGCTTTGTTCCCCTGCAAGTACGAGAAGAAAATTCCATCAGGGCCATTTCTTATACCTTTCTCACAATCAGCAAAGCTCAAGATGTCTACATCTGTGCCCCAGTCCAAAGGCATAGAAAATATGTGGTCTTTGAAGTCAGACAGGGTGGAGTTAGATTCTGGGCTTCCCCAGGATCTCATAGCATCTACAACACTGTTAGTTACAAGATGTGCTATTATTTTATGGGCTACTAAGCAGAAAAATGCTGCCAACGAGACCGTGACATTCCAGTGATTGTAAGGTGTATTCCAACTTCAGAGATGGCAAAATGAAAAATAGTTCCTTCGAATAGAAGGAGACAGTAATTTCTGAGTTGTTGGTGGTGAATTTGTGCATGTGTGTTTTTTATATATATACACACACATATATATACACACACATATACACATGTACATGTATATATATATGCATATATATACATACATATATACATATACATGTATATATGTGTATATATACACATACATATATACATATATATGTATACATAGTGGTGCAGGGGTACAATCATAGCTCATTGCACCCTTGAACTTCTGGGCTTAAGTGATCCTGCTACCTCAGCCTCTTGAGAAGCTGGGGCCACAGGCATGTCCCACCACACCTATTTTTTTTTTTTTGAGACAGGGTCTCACTCTGTCACTTAGGTTGGAGTGCAGTGGCACAATCTCAGCTCACTGCAACCTCTGACTCCTGGGTTCAAGCAATTCTTGTGCCTCAGCCTCCCAAGTAGCTGGGATTATAGACATGTGCCACTATGCCCAGCTAAGTTTTGTATTTTTAGTTGAGATAGAGTTTTGTCGTGTTGGCCAGGCTGGTTTCGAATCCCTGGGCTGAAGTGATCCACTTGCCTTGGCCTCCCAAAGTGCTGGGATTACACGTGTGAGCCACGGCGCCTTGCCCTAATTTTTTTTTTTTTTAATATTTGTAGAGATGAGGTCTCACTAATTTGCCCAGGCTGGTCCTGAAGTCCTGGGTTCAAGTAATTCTCCTGCCTCAGCCTCTCAAAGTGCTAGGATTACAGGCATGAGACACCATGCCCGGCTGGTGGTGAGTTTTAAAATCTCCCAGTGTCTCAGTGTCTCAGTGTTTCTACCTGTAGAATGCCAAAAAGTAGATGGCATCTTTGTGAGGATTAAGCAGGCTAGCTTTTTAATTTTATTTTTTATTTATTTATTTTTTTTTGGAGACAGAATTTCTCTCTTGTCACCCAGGCTGGAGTGCAATGGCGTGATCTTGGCTCACTGCAACCTCCGCCTCCTGGATTCAAGTGGTTCTCCTGCCTCAGCCTCCCAAGTAGCTGGGATTACAAAGCCAGCTGGCTTTAAGATACGGTGTTGGGCATCACATTTTGGCATGGAGCAGGCACTCTTTTCTTTGCCCCCAGGTGGGACTAAGCCATCACAAGCCTTCCCTGGTGTGTGCAGTGGGTGATGAGTGCTTGCCTGCTCAGCACCCACTTCCTGGTCGGCTGGGTCACATTACTCTGACTCCTCCTTGAGCTTCAGTCCGCGCCTGGTTCAAGATTATTGACTCAACCCGAGGATCCAGAGGTGGGATGTAGCTCTGGCCTGGCCAGAGGACCGAGGGTGCTGCATGCCATGGCTACAGCAACTGCTTCAGCTTTGGGCTCATGTCCTAGTCAGAGCCAATGAGATGTAATCTTGGGATATCTGCTGGGCTGTTGGGAAGGGGACAGGCTGCCCTGCTCATCCCCATTCCTGATGCTGAGGGATCTGAGAAAATCACTTGTAAAATTTGGGGGTGTTTGGAAGAAGGGGAGATTGATGTCTCTTTCTCTCTACAGACATCTGATCAGCTACAGAGCTTGACTAACCTACCCAGAGGCAGAATGATATGGTGGTTAAAAGTGTGCTCTGGGCCGAGATTTTACCACTGCACTTCAGCCTGGGTGACAGAGTGAGACTCCATCTCAAAAAAAATTAAAAAAAGTGTGCTCTGGGCTGGGCGCGGGGGCTCACAACTGTAATCCCAGCACTTTGGGAGGCTGAGGCAGGAGGATCGCTTGAAGTCAGGAGTTTGGGATCAGACCCTATCTCTAGAAAAATGTTTTTTAAAAATTAGCTGGGTTGGTGGTGAATGCGTCCAGTCCCAGCTACTCGGGAGGCTGAGGCGGGAAGATTTCTGGAGCTTGGGAGTTCAAGGCTGCAGTGAGCTATGATCAGGCCACTGTACTCCAATTTGAGGGACAGAGAGAGACTCCATCTCTCTGAACAACAAAAATGTGTGCTCTGGTGCCGCACTGCCTGGTTAGATCCTTTGTCCACCACTTAGATGCATGTTATATAAATGCTCTCCTCAGTTTCCTCGTCTGTAACTTGGGGACGGCAATGCTGCCCCAAGAAGTGGTTATGGGGACTAAATGCATGTGGGCATATTGGTAAGTATTCAACAAGCTTGATTTTTCCTGGAGAGGGAGAAAGAGCATGCAGTGAGATGGCATGGTCAGGTGCATTGGGACAAGGATTATTTCCTCTGGCTTCTGCCTCCTGGGGGGTACAAAGGAGGGATCTGAAATGTGTCTGCAGACCCCAGAGTTGGGGACTGCAGAGGGAAATTGAGATCAGGGACTGTAGTCTGGCAGAAATGAGTGCAGCATGGGGCATTGTGTTCCTTCCATCAGAGGCATGGGGTGTGTTGCAGACAGTCATGAAATGTGGCTGAATCTTGCAAGGGACCCTCGGTCCTAGGGTTGCTGCTAGAGACAAAGACCCCTGTCAGTGGAACCTGGTGACCTTCACCCTTCTCTGTCAGGCTGCAGACAGCAAGAGATGGCAGCAGATTACACCCAGCAGGAAAAGGGCCATTGCTATCCCACAGGTTGCCATAGGAGGAGATGACATCTCTCCCTCTCCTCCTCCAGCAGTGTCAGCTGGAAAAGAGGTGGGTGTGTGTGCACAAAAGAGTAGACCACAGACCATGCTCCTTCTCCTCCAGCCTGCTGGGGCCCCAAGAGAGTCTGCAGCCCTTGGCCAGGGACCGGCTGACACAGGAGAACAAAAGACCTCAGTCTGGGATAACATGGTGGTGCAGTTGATCCTCTGGAGCTCCCTGTGAGATCAGACTGGAGCCAGTCTCCAGCTGAGACCACATTTCACTTAGCTCCTTCCCTGCCATATCCTGTTTTCCTTACTCCTATCTCCTGAGAGTTCTTCCTGAATGAATTACATGCACTCAATCCCTGCCTCAGGCTCTGCTTTTAGGGAACTTGACCTAAGACAGAAATCTTAGTACTAAATAATTTGCAAGGCCTCAGAAGCTCTGCTATCCATAAGCAGGTGAGATATTACCTTCCCTACCACCTGGCAGTCATAGTCTATGATGAGATTCAGCTTTATGGAAGTGCTTCTCTAAAGAACTTCCCCCAATTTAAGATGATCTTAATTTGCTTACTTGTTTACTGTCCATTTAGCTGCTCTAAAATGTGAGCTCCAAATCAGGGGCCATGTCTGGTTGGTTACTCATTTCCTGAGACCTAGAACGGGCCTAGCTCAGAGCAGGTGCTCACTATTGATGGAATGTATGTTGAAAGAATGCATGAATCTCATCTCCTTTTGTGGGTGAAAAACTCATCCTATTCTCACCCTGATTAACTTTCTTTCTTTCTTTTTTTTTTTTCAAAATGGAGCCATGATCTGTCACCCAGGCTGGAGTGCAATGGTGTGATCTCAGCTAGCTGCAACCTCTGCCTTCTGGATTAAACCAATTCTCCTGCCTCAGCCTCCTGGGTAGCTGGGATTACAGGTGTATACCACCACGCCCGGCTAATTTTTTGGATTTTTAATAGAGACAGTGTTTCACCATGTTGGCCAGGCTGGTCTCGAACTCCTGACCTCGTGATCCGCCCTCTTTGGCCTCCCAAAGTCCTGGGATTACAGGCATGAGCCACCATACCCAGCCACTCTTGATTAACTTAATGGAAATATTTACAGAGATTCTTTCTCTTCTGGGTTCTAGCGTCTTATCTGTTACCTCTGCAGGTAATACATTTTCCTTCCTGATGATAGAATTTCTATGGTTGCTTTCACTTGCAAATCCTCTAATACTTATTTATTCCATTTCTGATTGGCATTAGACCTAATTCTCAATTTTTAGTGACATCACTTCGTTTAACTTACATATAAATCGACTTTGCCTTGAAATGTGACATTGACTAGAAGGATGAAACTTCTAACATGCTGTAGAACATAGTTTGACTGGCTAATTTATTATTTAGAAGAAGCTAATATTGTCATTATGAGGGACTTAGGTGACTCTGAAGAACCAGTTGCATTTCTAATGTTTGCAATGTTAAATCACAGATATTGCCAACGTGAAATAGTTTCCATATGCTGTGTTCTCAATACACACCTTTTCCAAAGATATCCCAAGTTGTAGTCTTAGAAAACTGATTTTTCTTATTTGTTCTCACAGGAATTTGGGGAGCTATGTAGGATCTCCATAAAATGAGCTCCAGAAAGACACATGTGCACACACACACACTCACACATGTACCACACCACACTTGACTCTGTTTATTTGGGACCCATGATTATCAGAAGTGCTATTTTTAACAAATACTTCTGAGAAATAATCTGAACACTTAATTGGATGCAAAAGAGTGCGTATTTACTATTCTACCCTTTAATTAGCATAATCAGTGTTTCCAGCAGCAAAAGCAATTGGAAAATCGCTAGTTTTATTAGGTTCATTATTCTCCCTTAGCGTAGTGTGGCATCAGCATGGCTATTATTCTTAAATTCCCTCTTTAAAACAAGGGCTGGTGCTTCTTACAGGCAATTCCTAACTCTTGGGTTTTGTAGAGGGTCCAAAACTCTTTAGAACCTATAATTCAAGGAAAGGCTCCACTTTGGTTTTGCATTTTGACTGGTCTCTTTGGGTGACAGAATTTATGTCACAAGGTGCACATATTTTGGGGAGGCTCATGGACAGCCCACCCTCTTGTGCTTTGGTAGGAAGTACGTGCAGTTAAGGGGAAGGAGTTAGTTACTCATCTAGGGAACAATTGGGTAGAAAGAGATGGACTCCCTGTATTTGAAATTCAGAACTCAAGCTTGGCTCTAAGTGTTTCCTTGCTTTCCTGTGCTCCATGGGAGTCACTGAGCAGAAGGAAGCAAGTTGCCTGAGATTCCTCAAAGCCCGCAGCCCTTTTGGAGGTTACATTGTTATTCTCAGAGCCTTTAGGATGCATAATAAAGACCTAGCTTGGACCAACATTAGGATGAGTTATCTTGCTATTAACATTCTTTTAGGTAGAAGTTGCTTTTAGGTAGAAGTTGGTCCCATCTTGCTCACAATCCTCCAAAGTTTGGAAGTTACTTTCCAGGAGACTTAGCTTGCACTGAGAGCTGCCCTCCCACCCTCTCTCCAAATTTCCTCTTGGGAGTAGCCTAACAAGGTGCTGTCACAGACCCTTGCCAGCCACGATGACCCCACCCAGACCATCCCTCTGCTGTTTCACTCTTTGATATTCTCTGGAGCTCTCTGGGGAGGGGTGAGACCTGCTGTCTGGTTTGTACGGTTTGACCAGGTCTTACAGTCATGGCTGGCTGCCTTTCTCTGAGAACTGGGACTCCTGAACTTGGTGAAATACCTCAGCCATTGATCATATTAAATTATCGGGCACAGTCATTTAAAATCCGAGTCTGCTCCAGATGGACTCTCTCTCTTTCTGCCCTGACCATGAGGGAGAGAGATCGTGAGAGAGAGAGACCGTGAGAGAGAGAGAGGGAGGGAGAGAGAGAGAGAGAGAGAGAGAGAGACCGTGCCCTGACCTGCTGGACAGTGGAGATGCTCGTGGGCTGTGAGCAAGGGATGCAAAGGCTGCCGGGAATCCCATCTTTCCAGCATCATCTGCCAAGGCACATCAGTTCCTGGGTGTCTTGATGGGTTCTGGCAGCATTACTGTCATTGAAGGAAAACATTTTAGCCATATTAAAGGTGAATGCAGCAATCTCCACACAGGCTGCCTGGAAGGGACGCGGGACAAGGGTAGGTTTTCCCTGTGATGGACAGGATGTAGGCGGCCCTCCCACAGCCCTGCCTGGCAAAGCCGATGTGTCCCCAAAAGGCACTGGGGCCAGCTGGAGTGCTGTGACGACGCGGGCTCACCCGGGCCCTGGGTTCGCTCTGATTGCAGCGGTTTCCTGCCAGCTCCTTGGAGAGCTGGCAGATGACCCAGCCCCACAGCAGGAGCTGTGAATGGCAGAACGAGATACAACAATTTGATATCCACTTGCCAGATGAGCCGGGTGTCGTCAGTCGCCTAGCTCTGCGCCAACCTCTTTTTGCACAAACACTTATGCACAACACTTATGCGCCAACACTTTTTGCACAAACACAAGCAACTCAGCCAGGAGGAAAAGCACTCTGATTATGAATTGAGCAGAAGGAAACAAAGTTCTGCAGATAAACACCAATGAGACAAAAAACCACGAATAAGAAAAATGACAGAAAAGGAGAACCTTCCCAGAAGCCTCCTGCCAGTGAACGGCCACCATAGCAAGAGCATGGAGGCCCTGGGTTTTGAACTGTGAGATAAGGAAGATGATGAAAACCTCCCTAGCAGCCAGGCAAGTACAAGATTCCTTTGAAATCCAGATCTAAGCGTTTTGACCACAGAAGTAATATTATGTCATAGATGAGAGCTGTGAGTTGCTGAACCCAAAGTGAGTTCAAATCCGAGCTCTGCCTCCTGCTACCTGTGTGACTTTGAGAAGTTCTAGCACTGTTTTGTGCCTCAGTTTTGTCATATGTTAAATGGGCATAATCACAGCTCCTGCCTCAGAGTTGTTGTAAATTAATACTTGTAAAGCACTGAAATCATCCTGGTATACAGTAATTGTTATGAACGTTATTTTTTTGGAAGGACAGAACTTATTTTCATGGTCTAATCCTAAAAGCCTAAAAAATGTGAGAGAAGAGGAAAGAATCTAGAGTCTCACCATGAGGGGGAAAAGTAAACTTGAAGCAGGACAGGGTCATTGACAATTTCCTGTGATTCTACAGCTGCCTTTTACACTATGGTAGCTCCTAGCCACTTGTTGTTTAGATTTTGTGATTTAGAAATGAATTAAGGCCGGGCATGGTGGCTAACACCTGTAATCCCAGCATTTTGGGAGGCCAAGTTGGGCAGATCACCTGAGGTCAGGCGTTCAAGATCAGCCTGGCCAACATGGTGAAATCTCATCTCTACAAAAATACAAAAATTAGCCGGGCATGATGGCGCATTCCTGTAATCCTGGCTACTCAGGAGGCTGAGGCAGGAGAATTGCTTGAACCCGGGAGATGGAGGTTGCAGTGAGATGAGATTGCACCACTACACTCCAGCCTGCAGGACAGAGTGAGACTCTGTCTCAAAAAAAAAAAAAAAAAAATTAGTTAAAAGAAAATCGAAATTTCAGCTCTTCATTCTCACTAGCCACATTTCAAGGGCTCAGCAGCCCATGTGGGTGGCTAGCAGCTCCCATGTTGGACAGTGCAGAGTAGAGCAAGTCCACCATTGCAGAATGTTTGATTGGACCATGACTGAATAGTCTAGTGCAGTGGTCCCCAATTTTTTTTAGCACCAAGGACCAGTTTCCATGTATTTGTGGGGGGAAGTTTCAGGATGATTCAAGTGTATTACATTTATTGTGTACTTTATTTCTATTGTTATTAACATTATAATATATAATGAAATCATTATACAACTCACCACAATGTAGAATCAGTGGGAGCCCTGCACTTGTTTTCCTGCAACTGGATAATTCCATCTCTGGGTGGTGGGAAACAGTGACAGATCATCAGGCATTAGATTCTCATAAGGAGCACACAACCTAGATCCCTTCCACATGCAGTTTACAATAGGATTGGTGCTCCTATCAGAATCTAATGCCACTGCTGATCTGACAGGAGACAGAGCTCAGGTGGTAACGCTAGCCATGAGGAGCTGCTGTAAATACAGATGAAGCTTCACTCACTAGCCCACTGCTCACCTCCTTCTGTGCAGCCCAGTTCCTAACAGGCCACAGACCGCTACTGGTCTGTGGTCTGGGGGATGGGGACCTCTGGTCTATTGGATAACACTGGCTTGGAGGGTACTGATCAGCCAAAGAAGGGCTGAGATGATTTGGCCTCCATTAATAAGAATGATGGACTTTTTTTTTTTTTTTTTTTTGAGACAGAGTTTCACTCTTGTTGCCCAGGCTGGAGTGCAGTGGCACCATCTCGGCTCACTGCAACCTCTGCCTCCCAGGTTCAAGCGATTCTCATGCCTCAGCCTCCCAAGTAGCTGGAATTAGAGGTGCCTGCCACCATGCCTGGCTAATTTTTGTGTTTTTAGTAGAGTCGGGGTTTTGCCATGTTGACAAGGCTGGTCTTGAAATCCTGACCTCAACTGATCCACCTGCCTCAGTCTCCCAAAGTGCTGGGATTACAGGCGTGAGACACCATGCCTGGCCAGATGGACTTTTTTTGAGCATTTATTTCCAACCACCTTCCCTGCATTTTCTCAGTTAATCCTCCCAGTGACTCTTTGAAGCAGGGACTATGACAATCTTCATTTCACAGATGGAGCAACTGAGGCACAGAGAGGAAGTCAATGGCCACGGTCGCCCAGCTGAGGAAGGATGGAGCCGGCTGAGATCCTGTTCTGGGGATCTAACTCTGCAGCCTGCATTCTGGGCTGCTGTATTCTCCCATGTTGCTATCTGACGAGCACAGCGTGGGCTCAGAGTACAGACAGGAGGAACCAGCTAATAAGGAGAGGTCTGAGGTGAAGGCTGGTGCCTTGGGGAAGAAGAGAGAGGTCCCATTCTAAAGGGATGGCATTGGAAGCTCATAGTGATAAAGCAAGGCCAACAGGTTTTGGGCCTGGGAGTTAAACATACAGCTCTGGTTTCTGCCTTTTCACAGCGGTGATGAATGGGCACTGAGAGCCTCTCGAGCTAAAGTTGTCATCATTGCTCTTCATAGTCTGAAGGTGCATGAAATGGTCAACTTTTTTCCAAAGGGCTTTTATGCCTAAGTCTGTGGTTAGTGTATAAACAGATATTTACTGAAGTCCTGCTGAGTGCAGACACTGTGGCCAACCCTGACGCTACAGTCGAGATGAAGCCAGTCTCTGTCCTCATGGAGACCTGTCTATTGATAAGAAAACAGAAAGCTCACTGAGCATTGACCCTGTGCCTACTGTTTTTGATGCATCTCTCATTTAATCCTTCTATCAAATCTGTGAAATAAACACATCACCATCATCCCTATTTCACATTTAGGGAAACATATGCTTAGAGAAGGTAAGTAACTTGGTCAAGGTCACACAGCTTCGAACTCTCGTCCCACAGGTGCAGGAATGAGAGGCAGCAGCTGTGGAAGCCAGGGTCTCTGGCAGTCCTTGTCTCTGGGCGGTGATCCAGAGAGAGAGAGAGAACACGATTGTCTCAGCACTGGGTCTTCTTCTGAGTCGTCTTGAAGGAGTAATTCCAGAGCGTCTCGGTGTTAAACATCATGTTGTGAATGACTCTGTGAGCTCTGACCCAGTGACCTTGGGGATAAAGGAGGGGAGGTACGGAGAAACTCTTCGAATGGATGTTACTGGGGTGTCAGTGTTCTTTGAGGGCACAGGCTACGTGTCACCAAATTGAAGGGGTGGCCTGCCCCTCCACCCCTGTGGGTATTTCTAGTCGGGTGGGATGAGAGACAGAGAAAAGAAATAAGACACAGAGTCAAAGTATAGAGAAACAACAGTGGGTCCAGGGGACAGGCACTCAGCACACCAAGGACGTGCACTGGCACCGGCCTCTGAGTTCCCTCAGTTTTTATTGATTATGATTTTCATTATTTCAGCAAAAAGAAATGTAGTAGGAGAGCAGGGTGATAATAAGGAGAAGATCAACAAGAAATATGTGAGCAAAAGAATCTATATCATAATTAAGTTCAAGGGAAGGTACTATGCCTGAATGTGCATGTAGGCCAGATTTATGCTTCTCTCCACCCAAACATCTCAGTGGAGTAAAGAATAACAAGGCAGCATTACTGCAAACATGTCTCGCCTCCCACCACAGGGCAGCTTTTCTCCTATCTCAGAGTTGAACAAATGTACAATTGGGCTTTACAGCGAGACATTCAGTTCCCAGGGGCAAGCAGGAGACAGTGGCCTTCCTCCATCTCAACTGCAAGAGGCTTTCCTCTTTTACTAATCCACCTCAGCACAGACCCTTTACGGGTATCGGGCTGGGGAACAGTCAGGTCTTTCTCATCCCATGAGGCCATATTTCAGACTATCACATGGGGAGAAACCTTGGACAATACCCTGCTCTCAAGGGCAGAGGTCCCTGTGGCTTTCCACAGTACATTGTGCCCTTGGTTTGTTGAGACTAGAGAATGGCGATGACTTTTACCAAGTATACTGCTTGTAAACATTTTGTTAACAAGGCATGTCCTGCACAGCCCTAGATCCCTTAACCCTTGATTTTATACAACACATTTTTTTGTGAGCTTCAAGTTGGGTCAAAGTGGCTGGGGCAAAGTGGCTGGAGCAAAGTGGCTGGGGCAAGGCTACAAATTAGCAACATCTAAGCAAAGCAATTGTTTAAAGTACAGGTCTTTTTCAAAATGGAGACTCTTATGTCTTCCCTTTCTACATAGACACTGTGACAGTCTGATCTCTCTTTCTTTTCCCTGCATTTCCCCCTTTTCTTTTTGACAAAACCTCCATCGTCATCATGGCCAATTCTCGCTAGTCGCTGTCTCTCCGGAGCTGCTGGATATACCTCTGTAGACTAACAATAGAGAGGACAGACATACAAGAATTAGTACAAAATTTGCAATAGTGGAATTTCCAATGGTTTTAACCCAAGTGATAGGGTTAAGATTTGTGAGGCTATCAACAGCTTTTACCATTGCCTCAGTTTCTGGCACCAGATTTAACTGGGCTTTTGATGTTTCAAAAATTTGTTCTTTCAGTTTAGAAATATCTAAGGTAAGATTATCTTCTCTTCCTTGTAGATGGCGTCTACCCATGTCCCAGTGATGTTCAGATTCATTATAGGCTCGAGGTCTAATACAAAAATCTAACGTATTCCAGTCACACTGTAACTGAAAAAGATATTCCAAGCTCATGAGCCTATCTCTCATCCAAATAACAGTTTGTCTAAGATCATTAATTTGATTTGCCAATTTTTGATCTATTTGAGTCTGAGAATTCCACAATTTTGAGGAATTCTTTTGCCCATTATTCACATATTCTGCAGTTTGAACAGAGGAGTGTAAAGCAATTCCAGCAGCCGCAGCAGTAGCTGTGACTGCAATAAGACCCATAATCACTGCAATCAGAGTAAAAATGAATCTTTTAGATCTAGTTAGAACTCCTTTTACTAATTCTGTTAAGATATGTACGGATGGAGAAGCCTCCCACGGTCGATCCATGGACACAGGGATCCACACGCCTTCTCTTGCCCTTACTAACAGAATACCATGCTGTCAATCAAAAGTTGAATCAATACAAGTAAACAATCTACAATTTTCACAGATTATAGTTTGGGAATCTGGTTTAATAGCTATGTTTCCTACAACTAGCATATAAGGGGCTTTTACACAACTTTGCAAAGGAATTGTCAGATTGGAATTTAGGTTAATAGTATAATATGGCTTATGATTTCTTGTTCCCATAACTTGATTTCCAGACCAAATTCTAATGTGGTACGTGGCCACAGTGAGCTTCCATAATTCTGGGTGTTCAGGACCAACAACAGGACTGACTAACTTTGGTCGGGGTGATGGAATCCCCTTTTCACCCCATTTCCATGGATAGGGTGTTTCTAGCCTTCTATAAACCTGGTCTAGCCTTTTAGTTAAATCACTATCGTAGGCCAGATTAGTGGGCCAGACAGATGGAGCCTGTGAACATGAGTGGGTCTGGCCCATACAGTCATAATATAATTGGCCTCGAGGGGCCCAGTCTATAATAATTCTGAATTTATTGTTTTGTAGTACCACAGCAGTATCAGCCACACATTATTCCCAAACTAAGACTTCTGGGTCTCTTGATTCTTCTGGAATTTCATCTGGCATGGTTTCCATTTAGGCCTAAATTTTAATGATCTTTGATAGGAAGAATTCTGTGAATTATTCATTTGTGATCGGAGTGACATTCCACTTATCATATGGTAAGTAAATTTACTGGTGGCACTGACAGTAGGTTCTTCTAACAACCAATTTTGGATTGTAGGCATTAAGCATCCTGGTGCTTTTCCCAGGCAAATAGGAGGATAATGATACCCAATGGAAATGTTTATCATCATTCCTTCTTCTTCAGGTTGGGCAGGGCCACGGTCATCTGTGAGGCCTGGTACCCATGCACTGTTATTAACATATACTTCAATAGGATTATCTATCCAAGTGACTGCCCGAATTAAGGGTGGGAAAGGCACATAGGCCCAGTAAGTATAGTTAGCTCTAGCGGCTCCTGCAGACATAGGGAGACTTACCACCGTTGATACAATCATTAAAGCTGCAAGCAGCATATTCTCTGGAGTTTGTGTTACCCTTGTGTTTTCCAGGCTTTTTTCAGCTAACTGTGTCAGCTTCTTTAGCTGGGCCCAGGTCGGTGGCCCCGCTTTCTTGGTGGATGGCAACTTCATCTGTTCTTCTGATATCACCATTTTGTTCACCCTGCGAGTCGATGATGTTCGATTGCGGGTTCTCTGTCTCTGCGGAGGTGCCTTCCCTTGCATCTCTGATGGGTTCATTGTAGAACTTCAAATGTCTAGTGGGTACCCAAACAGGAAGCTGATTTTCTCCTGGTGAAACACAAACAAAACCTCTCCCCCATGTCATCACCTTATCTATTTCCCAAGTTTTGTTTTTGTTGTCTTTCCACCAAATCAGTTTTCCCTCATGTGGGCTGTTCTTTTTACCAGTAAAATGTTATTCTGCAGAAGTAGTGGTCTGATTTCTATATATATTTAAAACATTTAAAATATAGAATGCTAGATTAAGTTGCATCTGGGGAGTGTTATACTCCTTACTGTCTTTTTCCTTTTTTTGTTTAACCAATTGAGCTTTGAGTGTTCTATTAGTTCTTTCAATTATGGCCTGTCCTTGGGAATTATAAAGGATTCCTGTTGTATGTGTAATTTTCCACTGATTTAAGAATTTTTGAAATGCTTTACTACAGTATCCTGGCCTATTATCTGTTTTAATTTTTTCTGGAACTGCCATGACTGCAAAACAAGATAATAAATGTCTTTTAACATGGGAAGTACTTTCTCCTGTCTGGCAGGTTGCCCATATGAAATGTGAATAAGTATCAACTGTCACATGGACAAATGACAGTTTTCCAAATGAAGGTACATGTGTGACGTCCATTTGCCATAATGCATCAGGACATAAACCTCTAGGATTAACTCCTGCCTCTTGAGTGGGCAGGTGTAAGACTTGACACTGAGCACAATGTTGTACAATATTTTTTGCTTGTTTCCATGTGATATCAAATTTGTTTTTTAATCCTGTTGCATTTACATGAGTCAGGGCATGAAGTTCTTGTGCTTCCATGAAGGCAGATGATACTAGCAAGTCAGCTTGTTCATTTGCCTTAGTTAAAGGCCCTGGTAAATTAGTATGTGCTCGGATATGAGCCATATAAAATGGGAAACTTCTTTTTCTTACAGTTTGTTGTAACAATTTAAACAGCTGATTTAACTGATCATCCACACTATATTTGATTAGGGCTGTCTCAACATCCTTTGTAGCCTGTACTACATATGCAGAATCTGAAACAATGTTAATAGGCTGATTAAATTCTTGTAACACTGAAATGACAGCAACCAATTCTGCTCTTTGAGCTGAGTGATATTGAGTTTCAGTGACTCGTTCTTTTGGCCCAGTGTAAGCCGCTTTTCCATTGCTGGAACCATCAGTAAACACCGTCAGAGCATTTTCTGGAGGTTTTTGTCTGGTAATTTTAGGTAAAATCCAAGTAGTCAATTTCAAAAACTGGAAGATTTTTGCTTTTGGGTAATGATTATCAATAATTCCCACAAAATCAGCAATACTAATCTTCCATGCACCAGAATTGATAAAGGCTTGTCTAACCTGTTCCTTATTTAAAGGAACAATGATTTTATCTGGGTCTTTTCCACACAATTTTACTATTCGTAGTCTTGCCTGACCAATTAATGTACCCATTTGATCTAAGTACAATGTAAAAGTCTTAACTGTACTGTGAGGAAGGAATGACCACTCCACTAGATATGTATTGTGAACAATAATGCCTGTTGGAGAATGTGCAGTAGCAAAAATTAAAAGTTGGAGTGGGGCTAAGTGATCTATTTACTTGTGCTGACTGAATTTTTTCTGCAACTAATTCAATTTCTTTAGTTGCCCCTGGAGTTAATGTTCTTTTACTATTTAAGTCTGGATACCCTCTCAAGATAGAGAACAAAGTTGACATGGCGTAAGTACGGATGCCTAGAGTTGGCCAAATCCAATTAATATCTCCTAGCAATTTTTGAAAGTCATTTAATGTTCTTAATGTGTCTTTTCTTACTTCTACTTTTTGTGGTTTAATTTTTCTCTCCTCTACCTGCATTCCCAAATAATGAAAAGGAGTGGAGGTCTGAATCTTATCAGATGCTATTGTCAGGCCTGCGTTTGCAACCTCTGTCTGCAGAAATGTGTAACAGTCAATTAATTTGTCTCTTATTTCTGCAGCACACAAAATATCATCAACATAATGAATGATATAACAGTCTAAAAACTTGTCTCTAACTAGTTGAAGAACTTGAGCTACAAAAGTCTGACAAATAGTTGGACTATTAAGCATTCCCTGAGGCAACACTTTCCAATGAAAGCTGGTGGCTGGTTCTTTAATATTTATGGCTGGTATAGTAAAAGCAAATTTTTCAAAATCCTGTTTTGCCAGAGGAATGGTAAAAAAGCAATCCTTCAGATCAATTATAATTAAAGGCCAATATTTGGGGATCATGGCTGGAGAGGTCAGCCCAAGTTGGAGAGGCCCCATGGGTTGAATTACTGCATTAGCAGCTCTCAAATCAGTTAGCATGCGTCATCTGCCTGATTTTTTCTGAATTACAAACACAGGAGAATTCCAAGGCGAAAATGAAGGCCCAATATGTCCCTTTTCTAATTGTTCTTTTGCCAATAAGTGTAAGGCCTCCAGCTTTTGTTTTGGTAGTGGCCACTGATTTACCCATATAGGCTTTTCTCTTTTCCAAGTTGATGGAATGGGTTTTGGAGGCTCTACAGTGGCCACCCTTAAAAAGGATACCCTAGTCCTTTTCTTTCTGGATTTCCCTTAGCCTCAATTGGAACTTTAATGCCTTCTCCATTTTTCCCTAGTCCATTGCCAGGGAGATATCCCATTTTAGTCGTGATTTTTTGACTCGTGGAGCTGTATAGAGAGACTGGAATAGTAATCTCTGCATGCCACTGTTCTAATAAGTCTTGGCCCCGTAAATTAATTGGAATAGAAGTAATCATAGGCTGAACTGTACTCTCTTGATTATCAGGTCCTAGACGATGTGAAATCCTGGCACTTTGATACACTTCTGAGGCAGTGCCCACAACAACAATTCCTGTAACAGGCTTTTGTTTAGGCCGATTTTTTGGCCATTGATTTAAGGCAATGAGAGAAACATCAGCCCCAGTATCCACTAATCCTTCAAACTGTTTTCCCTGAATAGTAACTGTACACACAGGTCTATTCTCTGAGAGCTGACTAGCCCAATAAACAGCTTTTCCAGCAGGGTTGGTACTTCCAAACCCTCCTGTTCTTTCTGTTTTGCTATCCCCAATTTTAATATAAGGCAAGAGCAGTAATTGAGCAATTCTATCACCTGGATTGGCACTCCAGGGAACAGTAGAGCTGATCACTAACTGAATTTCCCCTTTATAATCTGAGTCAATTACCCCAGTATGAATTTGAACTCCTTTCAAATTTAGACTAGATCTTCCTAAAATAAGGCCTAACATCCCTTCTGGCAGCGGGCCATATACCCCTGTAGGAGTCTTTTGCGGGGGCTCTCCAGGGAGTAAAGAAATCATTTGAGTAGAACATAAATCTACTGCAGTGCTGCCTGCTGTGGCAGGGGATAATTGTTGTATTGTTGTAATTGGCTGATTTCCTGAAATGGTGGTATTACTGTGGGGGTTGTTGTCCCTGAAAACCCTGAGGAACAAATGACTGAATCGGGAATGCCCCACTTTGTTGCGGGGCCTGGGGCTGGCCCCTCTTCCCATTTCCCAACAATGGCTGTCCATTTTTATCAAATTTAGAACGACATTCCTTAGCCCAATATTTTCCTTTTCCACATCTTGGACACAGGCCAGGTGGCTCTTTTTTTTTTTTTGCTCTGTGTATTTAAGCCTGGGCAATTCTTTTTTAGATGTCCGATTTGACCACAATTATAACATTTTTCCCCAAATGTTTTAACTTGTCCTCCTAAAGCAACCCCTGTAATTGCTTGAGCCAATAACATTGCCTTACGCATAGCTCCTCCAATCCCATCACAAGCCTTCACATATTCTGTAATTACATCAACTCCTGCTGAAACCTTTCCTCTTAATGGCTTTATGGCTGATTGACACTCTGGATTTGCATTTTGATAAGCTATTATTTCCACAGTAACTTTTCGGGCGTTATTATCTGCAATGGATTTTTGAGCTGCATCTTGCAACCTTGCCACAAAGTCTGGATATGGATCTTTAGAGCCTTGTCTGATTGAACTAAAAGCAGAGCAGGAGGTTCCTGGGTCCTGAATCTTTTCCCAGGCCCTGAGGCAAATAGCCCTTAGTTGTTCAGTAGCCTCATTTTGCATTACTGATTGTTGGTTAGTAGTGCCCCAATTTGGACCTGTTCCTAGTAATTGGTCTGCATCTATATAAGCAACAGGATTAGTAGCCTGATTTTTTCATACCTGTTGTTGTACCCCATCAATCCACCAGGTTTTAAACTGTAGATACTGAGAGGGTGAAAGGGAAGATTTAGCCAAAATTTCCCAATTATAAGGAATAAGTCTATTTCCATGAGCAATGGAATCTAATAATGTTCTCATATAAGGAGAGTTAGGTCCATATTGTTTAACTCCTTCCTTCATATCTTTTAACATTTTTGTGGTGAAAGATTCATATCTGGTCTCAGTTCAGACAGACGCTCCTGCTTGACTCCCTTTCCCGGCCGGCATTGTTTGTAACATTCCCGGATATTGCCATGCCTCAAGATCTCCCTGTTTTCTGGCTGTAGCAATGGTCTCATGCAGTGCACTATCTTGTCCACTAGGTGGTACTGTAAGATCAAACGCCATCGCCGTGGGTTGTTGATATAGTGCCTTGCTATTTGGCACAGGACGCACTGCCTGAGATCCATACTGAACCTCTGGAGACGGCGGATACTGAAATACGGCTGGCGGCTGGTGTTGATAAACTACCGATGGTTGGGTTTATTTTCTACTGGCTGGTATTGCGGATACTGTGCCTGGATTGGCATTTGAGATTGTGACATCACAGGCATCTGAACCGCGGGAGAAGGGGTTGGTGGCCATCGTGGTCTAAACTCTGATGGCCCAAATAATTCTGGACCTCCTTCCCCCAATTTTGATGATTCAGGATATATTACCTCCTGTAATTGATTATAGTCAACATTTTGCATTGACCGAACCATTACAGGCTCTACTGCAGTTTTACAATGTGAACTTTCCATTCCTTTCTTAAAGTCTGTTCCTGCCTCTTCTTCACAATCTATTACACAGCTTTCAGGGGCATCAAAGACTGAAACGCTGTCTTCTTCTATTTGAAATGGTTCTAAAGTTGCTTTAATAATGGCCCAATCATTCCATGCTGTAAGTGGGATGATCTTACCTTCCCTAGTTGCTTGTTTTAGTTCTTTGCCAATTTTTCCCAATCTTTTAAATCTAAAATTCCCTGTTCTGGAAACCATGGGCAGAATTGTTCTATTGCTTGAAATAGCGTAACTAGATTTTCTGTAGAAACTTTAACTCCCCCTCTTCTTAAGAGAATTTTAATGAAGCTGAGATAAGAAGCATATTTACTTTCAGTTTGCCCCATTGTTACCCTGGATTCCTCCGAGCGCACAAGCTAACCTCAAGGCTGACTGTGGATGTACTCGGGAATCTCTCGTTGGCTGTCCTCAATGCTCACGTTCTTAAGGTACCTTCACCCTAGAGAAGGGCCCCACATTGGGCACCAGATGAAGGGATGGCCTGCCCCTCCACACCTGTGGGTATTTCTAGTCGGGTGGGATGAGAGACGGAGAAAATAAATAAGACACGAAGTATAGAGAAACAACAGTGGGCCCAGGGGACCGGCACTCAGCACACCAAGGACCTGCACAGGCACCGGCCTCTGAGTTCCCTCAGTTTTTATTGATTATGATTTTCATTATTTCAGCAAAAATAAATGTAGTAGGAGAGCAGGGTGATAATAAGGAGGTCAACAAAAAACATGTGAGCAAAAGAATCTATATCATAAATAAGTTCAAGGGAAGGTACTATGCCTGAACGTGCACGTAGGCCAGATTTATGTGTCTCTCCACTCAAACATCTCAGTGGTGTAAAGAATAACAAGGCAGCATTGCTGCAAACATGTCTCACCTCCTGCCACAGGGCAGCTTTTCTCCTATCTCAGAGTTGAACAAATGTACAATCGGGTTTTACACTGAGACATTCAGTTCCCAGGGGCAAGCAGGAGACAGTGGCCTTCCTCCATCTCAACTGCAAGAGGCTTTCCTCTTTTACTAATCCACCTCAGCACAGACCCTTTACGGGTATCGGGCTGGGGGACAGTCAGGTCTTTCTCATCCCATGAGGCCATATTTCAGACTATCACATGGGGAGAAACCTTGGACAATACCTTGCTCTCAAGGGCAGAGGTCGCTGCGGCTTTCCACAGTGTATTGTGCCCCTGGTTTGTTGAGACTAGAGAATGGCGATGACTTTTACCAAGTATACTGCTTGTAAACATTTTGTTAACAAGGCATGTCCTGCACAGCCCTAGATCCCTTAAACCTTGATTTCATACAACACATGTTTTTGTGAGCTCCAGGTTGGGTCAAAGTGGCTGGGGCAAAGCAACAAATTAACAACATCTAAGCAAAGCAATTGTTTAAAGTACAGGTCCTTTTCAAAATGGAGTCTCTTATGTCTTCCCTTTCTACATAGACACTGTGACAGTCTGATCTCTCTTTTCCCTACACAAATAAAGAACCCAGTAACTTTTCTCATTGCTCAGGAGATTGAAGGGCTAGGAAGAAAAGATGTTAAGTTATAAACATGTTTCAGTTTTGTTACCACTTGAACCAATTTATGTTTTGAAGAGGAAAGAGTCTTGCCTACAAAGTCAGCCCCTGGGTTTTCCTTCTGCTTATGGAATCCAGGCAATGGGCAAAGAGAAAAAGAAAACCAAGGAATCAGCCAGATGCAGTGGCTCATGCTTGTAATCTTGGCACTTTGGGAGGCTGAGGCAGGTGGACTTCTTGAGTCCAGGAGTTCAAGACCAGCCTGGCCCACATAGTGAGACCCCGTTTCTACAAAAAATACAAAAAGTTGCTGAGCATGGTGGCATGCACCTGTAGTCCCAGTTACTTGGGAGGCTGAGGTGGGAGAACTACTTCAGCCCAGGAGGTTGAGGCTGCAGTGAGCCATGATCGTGCCTCTATTCTCCAGCCTGGGTGACAGAGTGACGCCCTGTCTCAAAAGAAAACAAAAAAGATAAGAAAAAGAAAACTAGGGAATCTGGACAGAATAAGTTTATATATATAATAAAGAACTGAGATAGAACTGGGTTGACTGAATAATTATTTGAATTGCTTTTGAGTGAATTTTTCCTATTGGAGTCTACCTTTGTTTTTGTGTGTGTGTTTGTGTGTGCCCTTTTTTTTTTTTTTTGGTTTAGTTTTGTCTTTGTGTTTTTTTGAGACTGGGCCTTGCTCTGTTGCCCAGGCTGCTGGAGTGCGGTGGCACGATCTCAGCTCACTGCAACCTCTGACTCCTGGGTTCAAGCAATTCTTCTGCCTCAGCCTCCCCAGAAGCTGGGACTACTGGGCATGTACCACCAAGCCCAGCTAATTTTTGTATTTTTAGTTGAGATGGGGTTTCACCATGTTGGCCAGGCCTGGTCTTGAACTCCTGGGCTCAAGTGATCCGCCTGCCTCAGCCTCCCAAAGTGCTGGGATTACAGGTGTGAGCCCCTGCACCCAGCTAGAGCCTACCTTTCTTTGAATTCATTGCAGTGCAAAGACTGGGACATGTGGAACTCCAGGTGTATATGGGTTATGTAGAGACGCTAGGGGCTGATTAAGGAAGGAAAGATATGAGAAGCCTGCAGAGCATGCTTTCCCAGACTGTATGGGCCCTGGGAAAGGAGAAGTGGACAGAAAGGGAACACTAGGTGCCCTGGAAGAGAAGATTCATCCAAGTCATCAGGGAAGTTACTAAAGCAAGGTAAAAAATGCAGAGACGGGGACAAACACGCTTCTCCCAAGTCCTTTCTGTCCGCTCAGTCACCTCTATGCTTACTTTTCTTTCCTGTAAGTAGTGTCATGCGTTTTCTTCCCATTCCTAGTCACTCCTAGTCAACTAACTCCTCTCTTTACCATCTTTTCATCAGAACTTGAATCCTCCTCTCCTTTATGTATTAGTGATCATGTTTCTCCGTAATACTGCTAGAAACAAGAATTGAAACCTGGAAAACCTGCATTTGAGAACCAGATCTGCCTCTGCTAGCTATTTGAGAAGTGATTTTGTTCCATTCTTTTTGTTGTTGTCGAAACAGGGTGTCATTCTGTCGCCCAGGCTGGAGTGCAGTGGTTCAATCTTGGCTCACTGCAGCCTCAACCTCCTGGGCTCAAGCAATCCTTCCGCATCAGCCTCCTGAGTAGCTGAGACTACAGGTGTGTGCCACCACAGCTGGCTAATTTTTAATGGTTTTTTTTTGTTTACTTATTTTTTTTTTGTAGAGATGGGGTCTTCAGTGCCCCATTGCTCAAACCTCTAGGGGAGCATGCAGACAGGCAGCGAGCCCCATGGCAGTGTCCAGGGGTGAATGTTTATAGTTGAAGCACCAGTGGGCGTGTGTTACAGGGTGTTCTTTTAGTTTAGCCATCTGTAGGTAGCTTGTGTTAGTCGGCTCAATTAGACCTCCGCCTTATTGCAAGGACAGAGGGCTCTCTTTGTCCTGGGGTTCTTGCCTTGGTGTACCGAAAGTGGTGCAATCTCAGCTCACTGCAAGCTCCGCCTTCCGGGTTCATGCCATTCTCCTGCCTCAGCCTCCCGAGTAGCTGGGACTCCAGGCACCCACCACCACGCCCGGCTAATTTTTTTGTATTTTTAGTAGAGATGGGGTTTCACTGTGTTAGCCAGGATGGTCTGGATCTCCTGACCTCGTGATCTGCCCGCCTCGGCCTCCCAAAGTGCTGGAATTACAGGCGTGAGAGCGCAAGGTTTTATTGAGTGGAAGTATCTCTCAGCAGATGGGGGAGCCAGAAGGGAGGTGGTTTACCCCTGGATTCGGGCGAGTGGCCTGACTCTTCTCTGACTGTCCCAGCCAAACTGCGTTGTTCTGCAGTCAGTGGCCTGCGGTGTGCCGGTGCCCATTGGTGCGTTCCTCTTGATGTCCAGCGCCCTTGTGTTCCTCCGCTGATGTGCTCCTCTCGAAGTCCAGCTGCCTGTGTGTCTGCCTGCTAGGGTCTCAGGGTTTTTATAGGCACAGAATGGGGGTGTGGCAGCCAGGGTGGTCTTGGGAAATGCAACATTTGGGCGGGAAAACAAAAATCCCTGTCCTCACCTAGGTCCATGGGCACAGGCCCTGTGGTGAAGCCCTAGCCAGGGACCACACCCTCCTCTACCCAGTACTTCCCTTCCTCACTTCCATATCATTTAAAGGGACCACATTCTTCCCTTCCGAGCACTTCCCTTCTGTATCACAAAGTGCTGGGATTATAGGCATGAGCCACTGGTCCCAGCCAATTCCGTTCTTTTAATGCAAAGTAGAAAATTGGTGTTCAGAAAGGCCTGCCCTATCCACCTCAGGGAGTTGCTATGAAGATCAAATTAGATCATGTGCAACAGAAGTTTAGAAAAGATTCCAAAAGCACTGTGCAACGAGAATGTATTTTTAAACTCCACTGAGTGGACTTAAAACTATGTTTTTTTTTTCTTTCTTTCTTTCTTTTTTTTGTTTGAGACAGAGTTTCACTCTTGTTTCCTAGGCTGGAGTGCAACGATGCCATCTTGGCTTACTGCAACCTCTGCCTCCCAGGTTCAAGTGGTTCTCTGCCTCAGCCACACGAGTAGCTGGGATTACAGGCGCTCACCACCATGTCTGGCTAATTTCTTTCTTTCTTTTGTTTTTGTCTTTTTAGTAGAGATGGGGTTTCATGTTGTTGGCCAGGCTGGTCTCAAACCCCTGACCTTAGGTGATCCACCCACCTTGGCCTCCGAGAGTGCTGGGATTAAGGCTTGAGCCACCGCACCCCACCTGTGTTTCTTTTTTAAGCAAGAAAACAAATGTCTCTCCCCAGCGCTCACTAAACAAATCCCTCTGTTTTTCTTTCCATAGGATTCTTATCCTTCTTGCCCCACTGCAAACAATCTATTTTCTTTTGGCCCTTCCGTCCATCTGTGAAAGGGTCAGGCTTTCTAGCTAACCCTTCATCAAATATTTTTGATGACCACAGTCAAGACAGTACTTATTATTTTTTTTTGAGACAGAGTTTCGCTCTTGTTGCCCAGGCTGGAGTGCAATGGCGCAATCTCGGCTCACTGCAACTTCTGCCTCCAGGGTTCAAGTGATTCTCTTGCCTCAGCCTCCCAAGTAGCTGGGATTACAGGTGCACAACACCACGCCCATCTAATTTTTGTATTTTTAGTAGAGATGGGGTTTCTCCATGTTGGTCAGGTTGGTCTCGAACTCCTGACCTCAGGTGATCTACCCACCTCTGCCTCCCAAAGTGCTGGGATTACAGGGGTGAGCCACCCTGACTGGCCAAGACAGTGCTTATTAATGCCTGAGATGCATTCAGGAGCACATGAGCTGGCTGTGACTGTTCTAACAAAGTTCCCCAAATGGGTGGCTCAGGACAACAGAAAGTCATTCTCTCCAGTTCCAGAAGCTTGGTGTCTGAAACGGGCAGGGCCGTGCTCCCTCTGAAGGCTCTAGGGATGAATCCTTCCTTGCCTCTTCTGGCTTCTGGTGGTTGCTGGCAATCCTTGGCTTGTGGCCACATCATTCCATTCTCTTCCTTCATTCTCACGTGGCCTTCTCCCCTGTGTGTCTCTGTCTCTTCTTATCTTTCCATGAGGATGCCATTATTACTGGATTTAAGGTCCACGCTATTCCAATATGACCTCTTTGTAATTAGATCTGCAGTGACCCTATTTTCTTTTCTTTTTTTTTGAGATGGAGCCTTGCTCTGTTGCCCAGGCTGGAGTTCAGTGACACAATCTCAGCTCGCTGCAACTCTGCCTCCTGGGTTCAAGTGATTCTTCAGCCTCAGCCTCCAAAGTAGCTGGGATTACAGGTGCATGCCACCATGCCTAGCTAATGTTTGTGTTTTTAGTAGAGACAGGGTTTTGCCATGCTAGCCAGGCTGGTCTTGAACTCCTGACCTCAAGTGATCCTCCTGCCTCAGCCTCCCAAAGTGTTAAGACTACAAGCATGAGCCACCATGTCTTGCCCCTATTTTCTAATAAGGCCACATTCTGGGATTCCTGGTGAATGTGAATTTTTGGAGGACAGTATTCAGTCTGGCAAAAGGCAGAACATCCTCATTTTCTTCCCTACCTCAGAAATAAGGAAGTTAACTTCGACCCCTCGGAGAGAGAGAGAGGCTTCCTGAGCTTCCAACTATCAATTATCCAAATATTAGTCACAGAAGAGCACTAAGGGTTGTGCACAGCACGTGGCCAGCCCGTTCTCAGAGTCTGTCAAGTTTAAGGTGAACGCTAATCCTGAATGAGTTTTAAAATGTATTTGGCATATCCTGGTCATTGTAAAATATTCTCACATTGTGATGGCTGGGGCTTCCCTCTCAGGTGTAATCTACGAAGTCAGAGGTGACACAGCCTGGGTGAGGTGGGCCAAGCTGGGAACTGGGTTAGGAGGGAGGCTGGGGAATGATCTCCAAGGTCTCAGATCCCAAACTGGCTTTAGCCTGATTCATCCAGAGGGATCTCATAAAAAACGCACATTCCGGGGCCCAACCCAGACCTAATGAATCAGAATTACCTGGGAAGAAGCCTGGGGAGCTCTGTTTTCAGAAGCAGCCCAGCCGAATCCTACGGTCAGACAGGGCTAGGAAACCGAGCTCAGTCTAGGGCGGTAGTTCCCAAACTCATCTGTGCTTCAAAAAATACAGATGCTGATGTCCAGGCATGGTGGCTCATGCCTATAATCCCAGCAGTTTGGGAGGCTGAGGCGGGAGTATCGCTTGAGCTCAGGAGTTTGAGACGAGCCTGGAGAACATAGGGAGATACTGTCTCTATAAAAAATTTAAAAATTAGCCAGGCGTGGTGGTGCCCGCCTGTGATCCCAGCTACCGTGGAGGTTGAAGTGGTAGTGTTGCTTGAGCCCAGGAGTTGGAGGCTGTAGTGAGCTATGATTGTGCCACTGCACTCCAGCCTGGGTAACAGAGCGAGGCCCTGTCTCAAAAACAAAACAAAACAAAAAACGGATGCTATGTCCCATTCCGGAGGTTAGGGTTCAATTGTTCTTCGGTGTGGCCTGGGTTTTGGAAGACTTAAAAAAAAATCCCAGGTGACCCTAAAGTGTAGATGAGTTTGGAAACCACACATTTAAGGCACACTTGAATGGGGGAGCAGTGAGGTGGCGCGGGCTAGCCGGCCAGAACCCAGGGGTGGGGCAGTAGGAACCAGCATTGCAGAGGCCATTGAGGCTGGGAAGCATAGTGTCTGGGGCCCATAACAATGCTTGGACATGAATGCTTTAGACCCAAGACAATTGGCTGCTAAATGTGCAAACTGCAAGGCTGAAATGAACGCATGTTTAATGCTTTACAACACTGTCAAGGGATCAGCTGCAACTCCGTTCTGAGGGCGTGATGCCTGAGATATGCCTGTAATGGGGGTGGATTTTAATGAATTTAATATGGTGTGGAGTCGGGCCTTCAAGAGTAAAGAGGTCAGTTCTAAGTTGGTTGCAGGGGTCTGGGCAAAGGTCTTAAAACCCCATGGTGAGCAGATGGCCAATCCTGAACACCCCAATTTTAAAACAGGGCTTTTTTTCCAAGAGACTTTTTGAAAATAGCTCCTATTTTGAGGGGAGGAACCCTGGCAGGAGAGAGCGAGAGTTAAGCCCAGCTGAGAGGGGGTTGGCAGGCAGGGGACTGCCTGGTCCTCACTGAAGCTTGATACTCAGGGTGAGCTTCCTAAACCAATGCAGATTTGCTGGCCCACTGAGCCTCCCAGATGAGAACCTGCATTTCAACAAGGTCCTCGGTGCAGCAAAGTTTGAGATATACTGGGCTAGAACACCCAGGGGACACAAAGGTTCTCTGAAAACTAAGGAAAATAGGCAGGGTGTGGTGGCTCATGCCTGTAATCCTTGTATTTTGGGATGCCAAGGCGGGCGGATCACCTGAGATCAGGAGTTCGAGACCAGCCTTGATCAACATGGTGAAACACCATCTCTACAAAAAATACAAAAATTAGCTGGGTGCGGCTGGGCACAGTGGCTCATGCCTGTAATCCTTGATTACAGTAATGCCTACTTTGGTAGGCTGAGGCGGGCAGATCATGAGGTCAGGAGATCGAGACCATCCTGGCTAACACGGTGAAACCCTGCCTCTACTAAAAATACAAAAAAATTAGCCGGGCGTGGTGGCAGGTGCCTTTAGTCCCAACTACTCGGGAGGCTGAGGGAGGAGAATGGCATGAACCTGGGAGGTGGAGCTTGCAGTGAGCCGAGATTGCACCACTGCACCGCAGCCTGGGCAACAGAGCCAGACTCGGTCTCAAAAAAAAAAAAAAAAATTATCTGGGTGAAGTGGCAGGTACCTGTAGTCCTAGCCACTTGGGGGGCTGAGACAGGAGAATAGATTGATCCTGGGAGACGGAAGTTGCAGTGGCCCGAGATCGCACCACTGCACTCCAGTCTGGTGGCAGAGTGAGACTCCATCTAAAAAAAATAATAAATAAATAAATAAAAAATAAAAATAAATACTGGGCTAGAAGACCCAGGAGACCCGAACATTCTCTCAAAACTAAGGAAAATAATCTAGGTCACAAATATATTCTCTTTCTCCTTCTCCCCATTGCCCCCCTTCACCAGGAATCTTTATAGACTCAAATCGAGTTGATGTTCTATAATCAATTCTAGTCACTTTTATTTATATTTATTTATTTTAGAGATGGGGGTCTCCCTATGTTGCTCAGGCTGGTCTCAAATTCCTGGGCTCAAGTGATCCACCCACATCGGTCTCCCAAAGTGCTGGGATTACAGGCATCAGCCACTGCACCTGGCCGTCACTTTTATTTTTGATGTTCAAATTATAAGCTAATGCCTGTGAGACCATAGATTCTTTTTATGCACTCAATACATTTTTGTGTTTACCTTACATTTGTATTATGGACAAATTCTGTTTTTTCCACTTGTTTCTATTTGATAATGAAGCCCTCTGTGCCTATCACCAGCCTCAGCCGCCATCATCTCATTACCAAGCTGGGTTATTTTGAAGCAAACATCTTCTAATATTTAGCCGGCGTTCAAATTTCCCTAACCATCCTAAATGAATGTTTAGAATAGTTGTTTTATTGGAAACAAGGTCAAAACAAGTACATTTTACATTTTTAGGCCAGTCTTGAAAGTAAGTGTAAAACCTTGTGTGGGGTAGGAGGTGGGACTAGCCTCTCAAGGTGGGGCCAGGATACCAGACCCAATTGAGGACTAGCTAAGACAGATTCCACAATGAATAACACCAGGAGGTGGGAATATTAAGGTCTATTGTGAAGGATGGCTACCACAATTATTTGATCAACTAGTTATCAACCCTGACTGCAGCTGAGAGAGATTTGTTTCCGCTTTTTTTTTTTTTTTTTTTCAGAGACAGGGTCTTGCTATGTTGCCCAGGCTGGACTCAAACTCCCGGGCTCAAGTGATTCTTCTGCCTCAGCCTCCTGAGAGCTGAGGCTACAGGTGTGTGCCACTGTGCCTAGCAAGATATTAAAAAATACGTATGCCCGGACACCACTCTAAACCAACTAAATTAGAATCAGATATAGTGAAGTCATTAATCATTTTGCTCCTGGGTCTTTATGATAGTTTTATTCCTGGGAAACTCTTGGGAATGTGGTAGAGAGAGGGAAAGAAATGGGAAAATAAGATTTTAAGAAGTGTTGCTATGCATTATGAAAATAATTTTTCTTTGGTGTTTGTCTTGAGGGACGTCGGTAAACATTTCAATTGCCTTTCAGTATGCTTGGATGCTGGAATGATGGTTCTTTGAATGCAGCATCAAACTGGCATTGGGCCACATGGCAGCCAGCGTGAGCCTTTATGCCACATTTATAAAACATGAATGTCATGAGACCACTCTCAGGGACCTTACAATTTGGAGGGTTAGGTCAGATCCACAAATCTCTTCTATCTCATGGTAAAGGAAACCTGGCGTGTAGCAGGAGATGGCGTGATAGCCATAACATATTGCATGATCAGTATTTGTATTCTTCTTAGCAATATTAAACTTTTTGACCCCCTCCATTGTGTCATCAATTTGCTTAATACAGTTTCTGCCTCAGCGTCAGTTTTTAGGACTGGCATAAGCTGTTTGAAATCCAGGCACATACCCACCTGTCATCTTTGGCCTAGTTAACACCTCCCCTCCCTGAGTGGTGATTTGGAGAACCTGCTTGTTCCTCATCCCACTGATCCCAAACCCAGGACACCCCACAGCTGCTGACCAGGATTAAACCTAACGGAGATTTAATGCCTTTCTTCTGATTCTCAGGGACTTACATTCATTCACTTAAATACTTGCAGAGTCAGCCAGGTGTGGTGGCTCACACCTGTAATCCCAGCACTTTGGGAGGCCAAGGTGGGTGGAACCGAGGTCAAGAGTTCGAGACCAGCCTGGCCAACATGGTGAAACCCCATCTCTACTAAAAATACAAAAATTAACTGGTGTAGCAGCGCGTGCCTGTAATCCCAGCTACTCAGGAGGCTGAGGCAGGGGATTTGCTTGAACCTGGGAGGTGGAGGTTGCAGTGAGCCAAGATTATGCCAATGCACTCCAGTCTGGGCAGCAGAGTGAGATTCCGTCTCAAAAAACAACCCAAAAACTTGCAGAGTGAATTCAGGAAACCATGAAGTCCAGAGTTTGATCCAATCCCTTCCTTTTTCTCTTTCTCAAATATTTTGAGCCAGGTACTATTCTAGATTGTCTTGTGATATTTAAAATCTAGGAGAAGGCAGGAGAGAGAACTAAGAACAGAGAGCATGTTCTGAGATGTCTGCTGTCTTTGCAGTTACCTTCCCTCAATTTCCCTACTCATTGGCCATGCTAGAAAGCAGGTCTTGGTGCCATATTTGTACCATGGTACTTCCCCTCCCTATACTCAATTGGTTGTCCAGAAGCCCAATTATCACTCTCTCTCTGTCTCTCTCTCTCTCTCCCTCTCCCTCTCTCCCTCCCTCCCTCCCTCCCTCTCCAAGATATCCAGTAACAGACTGATCAGCTGGTGGTGGGTTCTGCTGGCTGCCATGATGGGCCGCCAGCAAAAAGGGAAAATTGGTAGTGAGTGAGAGAAACAGAGATAAGAAAGTCCACAGGGCTGATAAGAAAGACCAAGGGCTGCCGGGAGTGGTGGCTCATGCCTGTAATCGCAGCACTTTGGGAGGCCAAGACGGGTGGATCACGAGGTCAGGAGATCGAGACCATCCTGGCTCACACGGTGAAACCCCATCTCTACTAAAAATACAAAAAATTAGCCAGGTGTGGTGGCGGGTGCCTGTAGTCCCAGCTAATTGGGAGGCTGAGGTGGGAGAACAGCGTGAACCCTGGGAGGTAGAGCTTGCAGTGAGCTGAGATAGCACGACTGCACTCCAGCCTGGGCGACAGAGCAAGATTGCGTCTCAAAAAAAAAAAAAAAAAAAAAGAGACCGTGGGCTTCTGAGAGCCAGAAAGAGGCATTTTGGTTTCTGTAACTGCAGTTTCCATTCTCTCATGGCCTCTCATTTGTTTCTTGTGCCCATGAGTTTGCCTATTAGAGATAAGGTGTGCTCCTTTCCCTCCAGCTCATGCAAATGGGTTTCTGTTACTTACAATCATTGTTCCCTGATATGGATGGTGACTGATGCTCTACTAAATGCTGAAAAAAAGCAGAGTGGAAGCACAGAAAAGCGGGCTTCTCTGAGGAGGTGACGTTAGAGCCCAGTTGGAAGGCAGGAGTAAATGTGCACTGTGATTTTTTAGGATTAAAACCAAGTATCTCACTGCTTGGGCACATGTAGATAGAGGTGATTTAACAGTAAACTGTCCCAGTTGTATCCATTGTCAGTTACCTCACCACAGGGATTATGTAGCCATGAGTTTGGTTAGTGCTTATTTATTTTAGGTTGTTGTTTTTCCAAACCTCTTAAACGATAGGCGTTTGGAACAGGTGACAGCATCGTTCATTAATGTTGTGGACAAACCACTCTTTTATTACTCAAGACGGTAATTTTTAAAGAAAAAGAGGTTTAATGGGCTCACAGTTCCATGTGGCTGAAGAAGCCTCAAAATCATGGTGGAAGGCAAAAGGCACATCTTACATGGTGGCAGACAAGAGTGATGAGACCTATTTTGGTCATTGTTCACTGGCCATAGAATTTACTTCTATATTTTGAATTAAGACAAGAGCCAGGCACACAAGACGGTTACAGGTCTGCTTTTTATTTTTGATGATGATGATGATGATGATGATGATGATGATGAAATGGCTGACATGGTTCATGACTTGCTTTTTCTCATCATCTCAGAGCTAGATTTTTGGCTGGACTATTGGCTTGGGATAGATGAAAATCATTCCTTGTATCCCCTGATCTTAAAGTCAAGACTGAAGCAGCCTCCAGACACAAGCCTTCATGGGGCTTCAGACACCATGAGGAATGGGCGTCCCTGCAATATCGTCATGGCTGTCAAAAGTGTTATTGGAGCTGGGCAAGTGGGCGCTCTCCTGTCATTCCATCCTGCTTAGATTTCCCATTCAACATCAATCTTATTTCCTTTTTTTTTTTTTTTTTTTGACAGAGTCTCACTCTCTCTCCTAGGCTGAAGTGCAGTGGTGGGATCTCGGCTCACTATAGTCTCCACCTCCCAGGTTTAAGTGATTCTTTTGCCTCAGCCTCCGAAGTAGCTGGGATTGCAGGTGCACACCATCAAGCCTGGCTCATTTTTTTTTTTTTTTGTATTTTTAGTAGAAACAGGGTTTCGCCATGTTGGCCAGGTTGGTCTTGAACTGCTGACCTCAAGTGATCCACCTACCTTGGCCTCCCAAAGTGCTGGGATTACAGGTGTGAGTCACCGTACCTGGCCCCATTTCCTCTTATACCATAAGTCATTGCCTGCAGATGTGTTTTCTCCATTAGTTTGCAAAAGCTTCCTGAGAGTAGGTCTGTGCCTCATTTATTCTGGAATCTTCCTGGCACAAAGCACAGGGCTTTATCCTCAGTAGGCATTCAACAAATGTTTAATTTCATTCAACAGCTCCTCTTACCACTGCCCCCACCTTATTTGCAGGTGACTAAGTATAATCAGAACAAGTAGGTATCATAAGATTTAGTCCAGAGTCAATTTGGGAAGAAATTACTTTAGTGATATGAAAAGAAACCATGCTATTTAGTCAGAATACTTCTGAGAGTATCCCCTGTCCAAGCATTTGCTGAATTTCTATCTACTAGTTTTCAGGTGGAACAGTATGGTTGCAGAGAGTCCATTTGGACATAGATACACTTTCATGCATTCATGTCTTTAACAATAATTTGTGGCCCTACTGTGTTTGTTCACTAACTCCTTCGAACCTACCATATAAGCTATATGTGTATTTTCCTTGTAATTTGGGAGGTCCAATGCTTCATTAAGCTCACATGCCTGAAACTAATGAAGAAACTAGCTCGTTAACCAGCTAGTATAAAAAGAGCCACCAAAACAAGTCAATCATCCGCCTTAAATCAGCCCAGTACTCCCATCTTGAGCGGAGAAGCCCATTCTGAATCACATTCAAGACACTGATGGAAAAACAGCTCTCTCTGGGTATCAAAACCACGCTCACTCCAAATCCTCCTCCCCAGAGTTCTCCTCATTGCTCACCCACTGAACCCAGAACAAACCAGAAGTGCTTGAAATGAGGACGGGTAGCTCCGTGTACCAATCGGAATTTAAAACTATGTCAATTCCTGCTATAGAAATGAGGCTTCTCCCCAGGACCAGCATTCCACGAAGGCAGCCCTTTTCTAGATGGAGAAAACAGAACCTGAAGGCACCCGTTTCCCTAAACTGCTCTCGCTCATGTGTAAGTACAAATGAAAAATGCTGACGCTGCTTCTGTTGGCATTGCTTTATAATTACGGCCATCAATAAATCATTTTATCCTTGAACAAGACTAGAGAGTGACCCGAAGGCAGAGGCATGATTCCTTAGGAATTAGGCCAACAGAGAATGGGCTATCTCTCTTCCCACCTCTTCTCTTACTCTGCTGTCAGAAACAGAAAGGTTCTCTGTGAGTAGCTGGGAGCAGACGGCCGCACTTGAGTTCCATCAGGGGGTTCTGTTGACACAGTTTTACCCCAGCCTGCCTTGATGGCCACTGCCACACAAGCTGCATCTGTTCTTTCTTCTGCACCTTTTGTTACTTCGTTGTTTTTCCTCTTTCTAGTGTAGTGAGCTGAATGGTGGCTTTGCACGAGATATATCCAGATCCTTGTGCCTAGAATCCGTGGAGGTGGCATTATTTGGAAAAAGGGTCTTTGCAGATGTAATTAAGTTAAGGATCTTGAGATGAGATTAACCTGGAGTATTTTAGGTAGGCTGTACATCTAATGACAAGTGTCCTTATAAGAGGACACTTTTGTCGGGGCACAGTGGCTCATGCCTGTAATCCCAGCACTTTGGTAGGCCGAGGCGGGTGGATCATCTGAGGTCAGGACTTTGAGACCAGCCTGACCAACATGGAGAAACCCCATCTCTACTAAAAATACAAAATTAGCCGGGCATGGTGGCGCGTGCCTGCCATCCCAGCTACTGGGGAGGCTGAGGGAGGAGAGTTGCTTGAACCCAGGAGGAGGAGGAGGCAGTGAGCTGAGATCATGCCATTGCACTCCAGCCTGGGCAACAAGAGTGAAAATCCATCTCAAAAAAAAAAAAAAAGAAGAACACTCTTTTTCATGTGCATCCGTGTGAAGAGACCACCAAACAGGATTTGTGTGAGCAATAAAGCTGTGTATTTCACCTGGGTGCAGGCAGGCTGAGCCCAAAAAAGAGAGTCAGCGAAGGGAGATGGGGTGGGGCTGTTTTATAAGATTTGGGTAGGCAAAGGAAAAAGGGGTTGTTCTGTGGCAGGCAGGAGTGGGGGTCACAAGATACTCAGTAGGGGAGCTTTTGAGCCAGGATGAGCCAGGATAAGGAATTTCACAAGATAATGTCATCAGTTAAGGCAGGAACAGGCCATTTTCATCTATTTTGTGGTGGAATGTCATCAGTTAAGGCAGGAACCTGTCATCTGGATGTGTACGTGCAGGTCACAAGGGATATGATGGCTTAGCTTGGTCTCAGAGGCTTGACGTTCCTGTCTTCTTATATTAATAAGAAAAATAAAACGAAATAGTGGTAAAGTGTTGGGACGGCGAAAATTTTTGGGGGTGGTATGGAGAGATAATGGGCGATGTTTCTCAGGGCTGCTTTGAGCGGGATTAGGGGCAGCATGGGAACCTAGAGTGGGAGAGATTAAGCTGAAGGAAGATTTTGTGGTAAGGGGTGATATTGTTGGGTTGTTAGAAGAAACATTTGTCATTTAGAATTATTGGTGATGGCCTGGATACAGTTTTGTATGAATTGAAAAACTAAACAGAATAAGAGAAGGAGAAAAACAGGTATTAAAGGACTAAGAATTGGGAGGACCTAGGACATCTAATTAGAGAGTGCCTAAGGAAGTTCAGCATAGCCTTGCCAGCAAAGATTATGTATTTAAGAGTTAAGAGTGGCGGTTTGGGGATAGTAACAGTAGATATCAGCTGTGATGGCTTGGAGAAACAGTGTAAACCAGCAGTGTAACAAGAGCAGGACATGTATGAGTTGTTGAGAACGATGAATAGGAGTATGACTAGACAGAAGATAGTAGGGATGACAAGTTTTTTGGGGCACAGTCCAAGTTGGTCTGGTGTCTGGAATGAGACTGGGGCCTAATAAAAAGGAGCGTCTATATAGGAGCTCAAATGGGCTGTACCTTGTAGCATTCCAAGGACAGGCCTGACTTCTGAGAAGGGAAAGTGCTAAAAGTATTGTTCAGTCCTTTTTTAGTTGGTGGCTGAGCTTGGTGAGGTGTGTTTTTAAAAGACCATTAGTCTGTTCTACTTTCCTGAAGACTGAGAACTGTAAGGGATATAAAGATTTCACTGAATACTAAGAGCCTGAAACAATGCTTGGCTGATTTGACTAATAAAGGCCGGTCTACCATTGGACTGTATAGAGGTGGGAAGGCCAAACTGAGGAATTATGTCTGATAGAAGGGAAGAAATGACCGTGGTGGCCTTCTTAGACCCTGTGGGAAAGGACTCTACCTATCCAGTGAAAGTGTCTACCTAGACCAAGAGGTATTTTAGTTTCCTGACTCGGGGCACGTTGAGTAAAGCTAATATGTCAGTCCTGGGTGGGGGCAAATCCCTGAGCTTAATGTGTAGAGAAGGGAGGGGGCCTGAATAATCCCTGAGGAGTAGTAGAATAGCAGATGGAACACTGAGAAGTTATTTCTTTGAGGATAGATTTCCACAATGGAAAGGAAATAAGAGTTTCTAAGAGGCGGGCTAGTGGCTTGTACTATAGCATAGCCTGCCTTTGCTGGTGTGTGGCGATTAGGCCTGGTGGAACTGACATCAATAAACTAAGTGTGATCAGGATGAGAAACAGGGAAGAAGGAAATGTGGGGAAATGGCGAGAACATCAGGTGGATCAGAGAGATACAGTCATGAGGGTCAGGCGTGGTATCAGGAATAATGTGGGAGGCCGGATTGAAGTCCGGGCCAGGAACAATGGTACTTATGGGAGACTTAACAAAGAGTGAGTACAGCTGAAGGAGCCGGGGAGCAGAAAGTATATGCATCAGGTGTGAGGAAGAAAATAGATTTTGGAAATTATGAGAACTGTAGAGAGTGAGTTGAGCATGGTTTGTGATTTTAAGGACCTCTAAAAGTATTAGGGCAGCAGCAGCCACTGCATGGAGACATAATGGCCAGCCTAAAACAGTAAGGTCAAGTTGTTTGGACAAAAAGGCTACAGGAGGCAATCCTGGTCCTTGTGTAAGAATTTCGACTGCACAGCGCTGCACTTCGGTTGTGTGTAATGAAAAGGGTGGGGATGAGTCAGGGAGAGCTAGGGTGGGGGCAGTCTTTAAAGCTGTCTTCAAGGAACAGAAAGAGGGGTGGGGAAAGGATTTAAGATCTATGGGGTCAGCTAGGTTTACTTTTTTGAGTTTATATAATGGTTTTGTTAGGATGGCAAAACCAGGTATCTAAAGGTAAAAGTATCCAACCATGCCCAGGAAGGAAAGGAGTTGTTGTTCTGTAGCTGGGGTTGGGGTTTGAGAGATTAGTCGGACACGATCGTCAGGGAGAGCACGTGTGTTCTTATGAGAATTATGCTGAGATAGGTAACAGATAAGGGAGAAATTTGGGCTTGAGTGAAGTAATGGGGGCTGTCTGTGAAGCTTGGCGTCAGTACAGCCCAGGTAATTTGCTGAGCCTGATGGGTGTCAGGGTCAGTCCAAGTGAAAGTGAAGAGAGGCTGGGATGAAGGGTGCAAAGGAATAGTAAAGAAAGCAGGTTTGAGATCCAGAACAGAATAATGGGTTGTGGAGGGAGGAATTGAGGATAGGAGAGTATATGCGTTTGGCACCTTGGGGTGGATAGGCAAAACAATTTGGTTGATAAGGCATAGATCCTGAACTAACTTGTAAGGCTTGTCTGGTTTTAGGACAGGTAAAATGGGGGAATTGTAAGGAGAGTTTATAGGCTTTAAAAAGCCATGCTGTAGCAGGCGAGTGATAACAGGCTTTAGTCCTTTCAAAGCATGCTGTGGGATGTGATATTGGCATTGAGCGGGTTAAGGGTGATTAGGTTTTAATGAGATGGTAAGGGGTGCATGGTCGGTCGCCAAGGAGGGAGTAGAGGTATCTTCTACTTGTGGGTTAAGGTGGGTGGCAATGAGATGTAGCTATAGTCCAGGAATAGTCAGGGAAGCAGATAATTTAGTTAAAGTGTCTCGGCCTAATAAGGGAACTGGGCAGGTGGAGATAACTAAAAGGAGTGCTTAAAAGAGTATTGTCTAAGTTGGCACCAGAGTTGGGGAGTTTTAAGAGGTTTAGAAGCCTGGCCGTCAATACCCACAACAGTTATGGAGGCAAGGGAAACAGGCCCTTGAAAAGAAGGTAATGTGGAGTGGGGAGCCTCCGTATTGACTAAGAAGGGGATGGACTTACCCTCCACTGTGAGAGTTAGGTAGAGCGTCTGTGATGGTCCTGTAGGCTTCCGAAGTGATCGATCAGGCAGTGTCAGTCTTCAGCTGCTAAGCCAAGAAGATCTGGGAAGGAGTCAGTCAGAGAGCCTTGGGCCGGAGTTCCAGGGGCTCTGGGAGTGGCTGCCAGGTGAGTTGAACAGTCCAATTTCTAGTGGGGTCCTGCACAGATGGGACATGGCTTAGGAGGAATCCCAGGCTGTGGGCATTCCTTGGCCTGGTGGCCAGCTTTCTGGCACTTGTAGCAAGCTCCTGGGGGAGGCGGTTCTGGAGGAACGCCTGGCCACTGCGCTTTCAGCGTTTGGAAGTTCTTGTGTGCTGGAGATGTGGCTGGGGTTTGTCTCACAGTGGAGGCAAAGAATTACAACTCAGAAATATGTTGCTTCTTGGCTGCCTCTACTCTATTATTGTACACCTTGAAGGCGAGGTTAATTAAGTCCCGTTGTGGGGTTTGAGGGCCAGTATCTAATTTTCAGAGCTTTATTTAATGTCGGGAGCAGATTGGGTAATACAATGTAGATGAGAATAAGACGGCCTGTTGACCTTTCAGGGTCTAGGGCTGTAAAGCATCTCAGGGTTGCTGCCAAACGAGCCATGAACTGGGGTGGATTTTTATATTTGATGAAAAAGAGCCTAAATGCTATCTGATTTGGGATAAAGAAAAAGGAGCATTAACCTTGACTGTGCCTTTAGCTCCAGCCACCTTATTAAGAGGAAATGGCTGGGCAGGTCGAGGAGGGCTAGTCATGGAACTAAACTGTAAGCTGGAGCTGGTGTGAGGAGGGGAGGTGATAAAAGGATTATAGGGTGGAGGAGTGGAGGCTGAGGAAGCATTGGGGCCTAGCTCAGCCTGGCGAGGAGGGGAGAGGTCAGATTAGTCTTCAGAAAAGGAAGATTAGAAAGACTCAGTGACGCTTGAGGTTGGGACTGAGGGGACAGGTGGGATGGAAAGAAGGAAGATTTGGGATGAGTTGCACTAGGAACAGACTAGGGAGGGACCGACGTGTAAAAGAATGCCTGGACGTCAGTCCCCTCAGACCGTTTGCCCATTTTACTACAAGAAATATCTAGATCTTGTAGGATGGAAAAATTGAAAGTCTCATTTTCTGGCTATTTGGAACTACTGTCGAGTTTGTATTGGGGTCAAGAGGCATTGTGGAAGAAAATAAGGCATTTAGGTTTTAGGTCAGGTGTGAGTTGAAGAGGTTTTAGGTTTTTAAGAACACAGGCTAAGGGAGAAGAAGGGGGAATGGAGGGCAGAAACTTGCCCATAGTGAAGGAGGCAAGCCTAGGGAAAAGAGAGAGTAGAGACACAGAGATAAGGGGTGGGGGGGTTCTTGCCTTCCAGAAAAGCGAGAAAGGGGTTGGGGTGCAGAAATAAAGGGTTGTAGTGCAGAGCTAAGAGGTCAGAGCACAGAAATAAGGGGTTGGGGTGCAGAGATAAGAGGTCCGGTCACGGAAATAAGGGATAGGGTCACAGAGATAAGAGTTCGGGGCATGGAAATAAAGGATCGGGGCACAGAGATAAGAGTTTGGGGCACGGAAATAAGGGATCAGGGCACAGAGATAAGAGGGTCTCCTGTCCCTCCCCCAGAAAAGCGGGACTTGCCACTAAGGGTGAAGGACCAAGGCAGGCGTCCCTGCGTGGTCTGACACCAGGCCGGAATTTTGGCTCCACGGATAAAACGTGTCTCCTTTGTCTCTACCAGAAAATGAAAGGAATTGAAATTAAGAGAAGGGAGAGATTGAAGTGTGGCGCCAAGATTGAAAGGAGAAAGAGGTTGAGGGATAGTGAGGGAGGTTGGAGAAGAGAGTAAAAAGAAGCCGCTTACTGGATTTGAAATTGGTGAGATGTTTCTTGGGCTGGTCAGTCTGAGGACCTGAGGTCGTAGGTGGATCTTTCTCACAGAGCAAAGAGCAGGAGGACAGGGGATTGATCTCCCAAGGGAGGTCCCCCCCACATCCGAGTCACAGCACCAAATTTCACATGGGTGTGTGTGAAGAGACCACCAAACAGGGTTTGTTTGAGCAATAAAGCTGTTTATTTCACCTGGGTGCATGTGGGCTGAGTCCGAAAAGAGTGAGTGAAGGGAGATGGGGTGGGGCCATTTTATATGATTTGGGAAGGTAAAGGAAAAAGGGGGGTTGTTCTCTGGCAGGCAGGAGTGGGGGGTCGCAAGGTGCTCAGAAGGGGAGCTTTTGAGCCAGGATGAGCAAGGAGAAGGAATTTCACAAGACAATGTCATCAGTTAAGGCAGGAACTGGCCATCTGGATGTGTACATGCAGGTCACAGGGGATATGATGGCTTAGTTTGGGCTCAGAGGCCTGGCACTCTTCTCCAGAGGAGGAGACCGAGACAGAAGAGAAGAGGAGGAGGCAAGGTGATCACAGAGGCAGAGATTGGATCATGCGGCCACAAGTTGAGGAATTCTGATAGCCTCTACAAGCTGGAAGAGGCAAGGAATGGATTCTCCCCTAGAACCTCTGAAGGAGCATGGTCCTGCTGACATTTGATTGATTTTGGACTTCTGGCCTCCAGACATTTTTTTTCTTTTTTTTTTTTAGACAGAGCCTTGCTCTGTTGCCCAGTCTGTAGTGCAGTTGCACGATCTCGGTTCACTGCAACCTCCACCTCCCGGGCTCAAGCCATTCTCTAGCCTCTGCCTCCCAAGTAGCTGGGCTACAGGTGTGTGCCACCATGCATGGCTACTTTTTGTATTTTTAGTAGAGATGAGGTTTTGCCATATTGGCCAGGCTGGTCTTGAATTCCTGGCCTCAAGTGATCCACCCACCTCAGCCTCCCAAAGTGCTGAGATTATTTAGGTGTGAGCCACAGCACCAGGCCCAGACTTTGTTTGAAGCCACCCATTTCATGGTTCTTTGCTGCAGTGTTTGTGGAATATGAATGCACTCATGCTGTTGGTTGAACTTTGCTGACCTTGTGTCTGTTATTCCCTGGCAGTTCTACAGGGCCTGGAGCTGATACGAAAAACCTCCCTTCTTTCCCAAATGGTCCCCAGCTTCCCCGTTCACTGAAGGCCCTGCAGTCGGGAACAGTCAGGACTTTGTACCCAGTTGTTTTGGGTGTTTGGCCGACCCTTCCTCTTGTGTGATTCATGGACCCGCAGCATTGCGTCACCTGTGAGCTTTTGGAATTGAAGACTCTCAGGGCTCACCCGGGAGGACGTGCTGGGCCAGAATCTGCATTTTAACAAGATGCCCAGGTGATTTGCGTACACGTTCAGATCTGAGAAGCGCTGGTAGGAGAGGCTTTAAGGTGGTAATTAGATCTTTTCTCCACCTGCAAGAATCTTAGTTTCTTCATGTTAAATCAATTAACTGTGCCAATGTCATGGGTGTTATAAAACAAAACAAAATCCTTACATCAAGAATGCACCCTGGTGTGTTATGGATGTGGGTGAAATGAAATGTCTGGAATTTGCTTTAAAATATCCTAAAATAGCAAGAAGGAAAAGAAAAGCGGGAACTGGAATGAGATTGGCGAAATGTTGACAAGTACTCACAGTGGGATGATGGGTGCATGGGGGTTCATGGTGCAATTCTCTCCCTGCTTTTTGTGCGTATGGGAAATTTCCATAATGAAAAGTTAGAGGTCGGGCACGGTGGCTCATGCCTGTAATCTCAGCATTTTGGGAGGCTGAGGTGGGTAGATTGCTTGAACCTAGGAGTTCAAGACCATCCTGGACAACATGGTGAAACCCCATCTCTACTAAAAATGCAAAAATTAGCCAGGCATGGTGACAACATGCCTGTAGTCATGTTGAGGCACGAGGTTGAGGCATGAGAGTCACTTGAACCCAGGAGGCGGAGGTTGCAGTGAGCCGAGATCGCACCATTACACTCCAGCCTGGACGACAGAGTGAGACTAGGTCTCAAAAAATTTTTTAATTTTCTTTTTTTTGAAATGGAGTCTTGCTCTTTTGCCCAGACTGGAGTGCAGTGGCATGATCTTGGCTCACTGCAAGCTCCACCTCCCGAGTTCACTCCATTCTTCTGCCTCAGCCTCCAGAGTAGCTGGGACTATAGGCACCCACCACCATGTCCGGCTAATTGTTTGTATTTTTAGTACAGATGGGGCTTCACTCTGTCAGGATGGTCTCGATCTCCTGACCTCGTGATCTGCCCACCTTGGCCTCCCAAAGTGCTGGGATTACAGGCATGAGCCATCGTGCCCGGCCTTAATGTTGTTTAATTTTTTTCTTTGTTGAGACGGGATCTCACTCTGTAGCCCAGGCTGGAGTGCAGTGGTGTGATCCTGGCTCACTGCAGCCTCTACCTCCTGGGTTCAAGCGATCCTCCCACCTCAGCCTCCCGAGTAGCTGAGACCACAGGCATGTATCACCACACCTGGTTAATTTTTTCCCTTTTTCTAGAGGCAAGGTCTTGCTGTGTTGCCCAGGCTGGTTTTGAACTCCTGAGCACAAGCAATCTTCCTGACTAAGCCTGGGAGTAATCCCAAAGTGCTGGGATTACAGGTGTGAGTCACTCTATGCAGCCTCAACTGTTTTTCATGACTCCACTTTTTCTCCCCTCTTGGAAATGAGTAGTCTTTGAGGGAATGTCATTTTGTCTCAATCTCTGGTTTCTTTGCTCAGTGCAGCTGTGTTTGGGGCTTTGTTGATCTCCAGGCCTTTTTCAGCAGCGTTGTCCCTGGAGAGCAGGATGGGAGCTGATGGCTTCTCAGCATCTTTTAACTCAGTTTAAAGATGACTATCAACAACATCTAGTCAGCATCTGTTGCTCTCAGCAGCTGGGACTTCATTTCCTTTCTCTTTCTCCACCTCTCTAACCTCTTGAAGACTCTGTCTTTGTCAGGGGTACAGCATCACCTGTGTGGCCCTTAGGCTCTCTTACATACATGTGATCTGTGTATTATGTCTTTACTTCAGGGCTTCTCAGCCAGGGGGTGATTTTGCCCCCCAGAGAACATGTGGCCATGTCTGGAGACAGTTTTGGTTGTTGCGGCTGGAGGAGGTGGTGCTCTTGGCATCTAGTGGGTAGAGGCCAGGGATGCTACTAAACATCCTACAATGCCCCGACAACTCCCACTAAGACAGAATAATGATCCAGCCCCAAATGTCAATAGTGCTGAAACTGAGAGACCCTGATTCCATCTTAGAGATCATCCAAGCACACTTGGCCAAATTGTTTTTGCTACTGTCCCATGAAGAAAAGGCAGACTCATGACTGATGGCAACATCGATGGGAATTTTGTTTACCTCTTCTTGGTGGACTTTGGGATACGATGACTTACCATTTGTGCAAGTTGTGCATTACATACCTCCAGGGGGCAACACCCACATATTTATGAAAATGCCACCCCAGGAATTGCACAGTACATAGTCTACGTGGCAATAAGCAGTTGCTCTGGTTTTGGGGTTGCCCTGGGCTGCTCTGAAACTTGGAGGAATTTTATCTCTGGCCATTAGAGGCCCTGAGCATGACATTGAGTATCCTTTCAAGAAAGGAGAAATGTTGAACAGAGAGGACCTCATTTTTATAACTCTTGACCATCATCTAGTTACGGAGCATCCACTTTTCACCCGTGGGCCATATCCACTCGCCGGATGTAAAATGATCAAATTATAATATCATGGCTTACACTTTTGATAGCTTCTGCCCGGAACATGGCGGTAAGAGCCTCTCATTTTCAATTGATTCATTGGGGGAGAAAATATACAAGGCTGCCCTAAGACTTTCTATGACACACCATTTGCTTGACGGGATTTCTTTAGTTTCGGTAGCATAACTTATTCTAACTGGTCCTCAATCACTTTGCTATAAAACCTGAGATTGTGAAAATGTTCATTTTCATTACCAGTGATGGAGCAGTAAGTACAGAGTTCTGCAGAGGGAAGGAATCGAGAGATTTAAACTAGCAGAATGAGCTGCTCACCCTCAGAATTGCTTTTAATCTTGGTGAGAACTGAGGGGAATTTCGACAGGGTTCAGTGGGACTGCGGGAAGTGGGGCTGGGAGATGGTTGTTTGCACGTGTGGTCAGCAAATCCAGTGAGGGGGTCCATGTACTGTGGGTAGCCCCACAGATGGAGTTGGGATTGCCCTGGACTGAGTACTGGGTCATCAGACTGCAAATCGCCATTCTCAAGACATCGAGGCCCAGGCTGGTGCAGGAGATGCATTGCAGTGTGTCAGCCTTTCTTCCATCGCTCCTCTCCAATGACAGTTCTCGATTTTCCACCGAGGAGTCACTAGTACCCCACGGCATGTGTGTGACTGGCCACTCCCCACCCTGATCTGGGGCTGGGGCATGTGGTCCCAGCCTGGATGTCAATATCCTTCCACCACCCTGGCCACAGTGATTGGGTCTGAGAAGCAGATTAGCCAAAGGAGAGACAATCTTGGAAATTTCATGTTCATGCTTAAGAAAGTAAAATGGAAAGCGGGGGGAGGGTGAGGGGTCATTCTGATGATATAGTTTGAGGACCTGGATGTAGCCACACCTGTAGCTGTCAACTCTGTGCCACAGTACTGCTTTTTTTTTTTTCCTTCAAATTTAAATACTTTCTAGAGGCAAGGTCTTCCTATGTTGCTTAGGCTGGTTTTGAAAAGTCCCTTTCGGGGGGATGCTTTCACTGCTTCACTTCCTTTCTATGACAGCTCAGGGAATCAGAAGACAAGGGAGATTTTTTTTTTTTTTTTTGAGACAGGGCTTGCTCTATTGCCCAGGCTGGAGTGCAGGGGTGCAATCACAGCTCGCCACAGCCTTGATCTTCTGGACTCAAGCGACCCTCCTGCTTCAACCTCCTGAGTAGCTGGGACTGTAGGCGAGTAGCACCATGCCCAGCTAATTAATTTTTTTTTTTTTTAAATGAGATCTCCCTATGTGACCCAGGCTGGCCTCAAACTCCTGGGCTCAAGTGATCGTCCTGCCTTAGCTTGCCAAACTTACAGGTGTGAGCCCCCAACACCAGTCAACACTGTGGTCTTATGACCTGGTGTCCCCCTAGGCCCTGAGCAATGATCCTCCTGCTTCAACCTCCCAAAGTGCTGGGATAACAGATGTGAAGCAGCATGTGTGGCCCACATAGTATTCTTATGGGTTAAATTGAGTCCTCCTCAAAAGATGTTGAAATCCTAAATTCTAGCAGCTCAGAATGTGACCTTATTTAGAAATAGAGTTATTGCGGGTCGGGCGTGGTGGCTCAAGCCTGTAATCCCAGCACTTTGGGAGACCGAGGCAGGTGGATCACCTGAGGTCAGGAGTTTGAGACCAGCCTGACCAACATGGAGAAACCCTGTCTCTACTAAAAATACAAAATTAGCTGGGTGTGGTGGCGCATACCTGTAATCCCAGCTACTCGGGAGGCTAAGGCAGAAGAATAGCTTGAACCCAGGAGGCGGAGGTGGCATTGAGCTGAGATCACACCATTGCACTCCAGCCTGGGCAACAATAGTGAAACTCCGTCTCAAAAAAAAAAAAAAAAAAAAAAAAAAACCAAATAGGGTTATTGCAGATGCTATTGATTAGAATGAAGACATCCTGGAGTAGGGAGGGCCCTAAGTCAATGACTGGTGTCCTTATAAAAGAGGAGAGGACACGCTGAGTCACAGAGACACAGGGAAGAAGGCCATGGATCCGACGGAAGATTGGACTGATGCGTATGCAAACCAAGGAACACTGAAGACTGCCAGGAAACCACAGGAAGCTAGGACGAGGCAAGGCAGGACTCCCCGACAAGTGCAGGAGGGAGTGTGGCCCTGCTGGACCTCCATTTCAGACTGCTGGCCACCAGAACCACAAGACAATTTCTCTGGTTTCAAGTCACCCAGCTTGTGATACTTGGTTGTGGCAGCCCTAGGGAATGAATATAAGTAGTTTCTTTTTTTTTCCTTTTTTTGAGACGGAGTCTCACTCTGTCGCCCAGGCTGGAGTGCAGTGGCACGATCTCAGCTCACTGCAAGCTCCGCCTCCTGGGTTCATGCCATTCTCCTGCTTCAGCCTCATGAGTAGCTGGGACTACAGGCACCTGCCCCCAACCCAGCTAATTTTTTGTATTTTTAATAGAGACGGGGTTTCACCGTGTTAGCCAGGATGGTCTCCATTTCCTGACCTCGTGATCCGCCTGCCTCAGCCTCCCAAAGTGCTGGGATTACAGGCGTGAACCGCTGCGCCTGGCCAAATATAAGTACTGTTAAATTAACCCTCCTTTTCTCTGCATCTTCTTCTAAATCACCATTTTTGCCTAAGCAACAGCTAGGGTCTAATATGGATGTGACGACTCACTTCAAAGTGGAGGAAGCCCCCATGTGCACCTGAAGCTCCTGCTGCCTTGGCCCTGGGCTCAGAGACTGGACCATCATTCTGGAGGCTTGCTGGAGATCTGAGACAGGGCAGCATTCTCTGTTGCCTTTAAACAAAGGCTGGTGCTCTCCCAGGCAAGTGAGCTCCACCGAGGATCTATTTGGAAGGCAGAATTCTGAGATGACCCCTTAGATTCCTGCCCTGGATAAATGCCAGGTGTAATCTCCTCTCCCCTGGAGTGAAGGCAGGACCCCTGGCTTGCTTCTAATCTATACCTATGGAAAAGTTGAAGGGATTTTCAGATGTAACTAAGCCCCTACTCCGTTCGCTTTGAGTTAATCAGAAGGGAGTTTATTCAGGGTGGGCCTGATATCTTCAGGTGAGATCTTCAATGAGGTTCTGGAGGAGAGAGACTCTTTCCTCCTGGTTTTTGGTTTTTGTTTGTTTGTTTGTTTGTTTTTGAGATGGAGTCTCACTCTGTTGCCCAGGCTGGAGTGCAGTGGCATGTTCTCGGCTTACTGCAACGTCTGCCTCCTGGGTTCAAGTGATTCTCCTGCCTCAGCCTCCCAAGTAGCTGGGATTACAGGCGTGCGCCATCATGCCCGGCTAAGTATTGTATTTTTAGTAGAGACGGGGTTTCACCATATTGCCAGGCTCGTCTCGAACTCCTGACCTCAGGTGATCCACCTGCCTCGGCCTCCGAAAGTGCTGGGACTACAGTCGTGAGCCACCATGCCCGGCTGGTTTTGAAGAAGCCAGCCACATGAGATCCACAGTTGCATGGAAATAAATTCTGCCAACAACCATGTGAGGTTGGGAGAAGACCGCAAGCCTCATATGAGACACTAATTCCAGCCGACAACTTGATCACAACCTTGTAAGGACCTGAGCAGAGCACCCAGCTAAAGCTGCACCCCCAGACTCCTGACCCACAGGAAAGGAGAGGTAATAGATGGGTGTTTTAAGCTGCTAAATTTGTGTTGATTTGTTATACAGCTTAGAAAATAAATACATCATTCCATGTTTAAAAAATCATAAGCTAATTACACCATTCGAATTTTTTTTTTTTTTTTTTTTTGAGACAGAGTCTCACTCTATCGCCCAGGCTGGAGTGCAATGATGCAATCTCGGCTCACTGCAACTTCTGCCTTCGGCGTTCAAGTGATTCCCTTGCCTCAGTCCCCCAAGTAGCTGGGACTACAGGCATGCACCACCACACCCAGCTAATTTTTGTATTTTTAGTAGAGATGGAGTTTCACCATGTTGGCCAGGCTGGTCTTGATCTCCTGACCTCAAGTGACCTGCCTGCCTCAGCCTCCCAAAGTGCTGGGGTTCGCGGCATGAGCCACCGCACCCGGCCCGACACATCATTCAATTTTAAGAAACTTCCAGGTGCTGTGGTCAAGCCCTTCTTGTGTGGCATGGAGGTGGGGAGAGATGGGTTGGAAGATGACTGGATGGGGGCATGGAGCTAGGTGGGAAGAGGAAAAGTGTCTTGAAGGAAGTAAGTCCCTTCAGATAAGGGAGGGAGAAGCTTGATTAATATGCAGACTTGCACAGTCCTTCAGTCCTGGGGATACTAGAGGAGAGACAGGTCTTGCCTTGTATTTGAGAGTTGCCATCCCAGGCAGAGGCCCTACTTCCACCTTCTTGCAGGTGGGGCTGGTGGGCACATACTTAGAGGAGAAACGAACTTCCTTTGTAAGCATGTGAAAAGTTTCTGGAGTGGAGAGATGATGAAGCAGGATATTTGGAGTCAAAAGCCAATGTTTTTATTTCATTTTTTATTTTTTACTACACTTTAAGTGTTAGGGTACATGTGCACAACGTGCAGGTTTGTTACATATGTATACGTGTGCCATGTTGGTGTGCTGCACCCATTAACTCATCATTTAACATTAGGTATATCTCCTAATGCTATCCCACCCCCACCCCATAAAAGGCCCCTGTGTGTGATGTTCCCCTTCCTGTGTCCATGGGTTCTCATTGTTTAATTCCTAGCTATGAGTGAGAACATGTGGTGTTTGGTTTTTGCGATAGTTTGCTGAGAATGATGGTTTCCAGCTTCATCCATGTCCTTACAAAGGACATGAACTCATCATCTCTTATGGCTGCATAGTATTCCATGGTGTGTATGTGCCAAATTTTGTTGATCCAGTCTATCATTGATGGACATTTGGGTTGGTTCCAAGTCTTTGCTACTGTGAATAGTGCCACAATAAACATACGTGTGCATGTGTCTTTATAGCAGCATGATTTGTAATCTTTGGGTATATACCCAGTAATGGGATGGCTAGGTCAAATGGTATTTCCAGTTCTAGATCCCTGAGGAATCGCCACACTGACTTCCACAATGGTTGAACTAGTTTACAGTCCCACCAACAGTGTAAAAGTGTTCCTATTTCTCCACATCCTCTCCAGCACCTGTTGTTTCCTGACTTTTTAATGATCGCCATTCTAACTGGTGTGAGATGGTATCTCATTGTGGTTTTGATTTGCATTTCTCTGATGGCCAGTGATGATGAGTATTTTTTCATATGTCTTTTGGCTGCATAAATGTCTTCTTTTGAGAAGTGTCTGTTCATATCTTTTGCCCACTTGTTGATGGGGTTGTTTTTTTCTTGTAAATGTGTCAGAGTTCATTGTAGATTCTGGATATTAGCCCTTTGTCAGATGAGTAGATTGCAAAAATTTTCTCCCATTCTGTAGGTTGCCTGTTCACTCTGATGGTAGTTTCTTTTGCTGTGCAGAAGCTCTTTAGTTTAATTAGATCCCATTTGTCGATTTTGGCTTTTGTTGCCATTGCTTTTGGTGTTTTAGACATGAAGTCCTTGCCCATGCCTATGTCCTGAATGGTATTGCCTAGGTTTTTTTCTAGGGTTTTTATGGTTTTAGGTCTAACATTTAAGTCTTTAATCCATCTTGAATTAATTTTAGTATAAAGTGTAAGGAAGGGATCCAGTTTCAGCTTTCTCCATATGGCTAGCCAGTTTTCCCAGCACCATTTATTAAATAGGGAATCCTTTCCCCATTTCTTGTTTTTGTCAGGTTTGTCAAAGATCAGATAGTTATAGATGTGTGGCATTATTTCTGAGGGCTCTGTTCTGTTCCATTGGTCTATATCTCTGTTTTTGTACCAGTACCATGCTGTTTTGGTTACTGTAGCCTTGTAGTATAGTTTGAAGTCAGGTAGCGTGATCCGTCCAGCTTTGTTCTTTTGGCTTAGTATTGACTTGGCAATGTGGGCTCTTTTTTGGTTCCATATGAACTTTAAAGTAGTTTCTTCCAATTCTGTGAAGAAAGTCATTGGTAGCTTGATGGGGATGGCATTGAATCTATAAATTACCTTGGACAGTATGGCCATTTTCACGATATTGATTCTTCCTACCCATGAGCATGGAACGTTCTTCCATTTGTTTGTATCCTCTTTTATTTTGTTGAGCAGTGGTTTGTAGTTCTTCTTGAAGAGGTCCTTCACATCCCTTGTAAGTTGGATTCCTAGGTATTTTATTCTCTTTGAAGAAATTGTGAAAGGGAGTTCACTCATGATTTGGATCTCTGTTTGTCTGTTGTTGGTGTATAAGAATGCTTCTGATTTTTGCACATTGACTTTGTATCCTGAGACTTTGCTCATGTTGCCTACCAGCTTAAGGAGATTTTGGGCTGAGACAATGGGGTTTTCTAGATATACATCATGTCATCTGCAAACAGGGACAATTTGACTTCCTCTTTTCCTAATTGAATACCCTTTATTTCCTTCTCCTGCCTGATTGCCCTGGCCAGAACTTCCAACATTATGTTGAATAGGAGTGGTGAGAGAGGGCATCCCTGTCTTGTGCCAGTTTTCAAAGGGAATGCTTTCCAGTTTTTGCCCATTCAGTATGATATTGGCTGTGGATTGTCATAGATAGCTCTTATTATTTTGAGATGCGTCCCATCAATACCTAATTTATTGAGAGTTTTTAGCATGAAGGTTGTTGAATTTTGTCGTAGGCCTTTTCTGCATCTAATGAGATCATCATATGGTTTTTGTCATTGGTTCTGTTTATATGCTGGATTTTGTTTATTGATTTGTGTATGTTGAACCAGCCTTGCATCCTAGGGATGAAGCCCACTTGATTATGGTCGATAAGCTTATTGATGTGGTGCTGGATTCGGTTTGCCAGTATTTTATTGAGGATTTTTGCATCGATATTCATCCGGGATATTGGTCTAAAATTCTCTTTTTATTTTGTCTCTGCCAGGCTTTGGTATCAGGATGATGCCGGCCTCATAAAATGAGTTAGGGAGGATTCCCTCTTTTTCTATTGTTTGGAATAGTTTCAGAAGGAATGGTACTAGCTCCTCCTTGTACCTCTGGTAGAATTCGGCTGTGAATCCATCTGGTCCTGGACTTTTTTTGGTTGGTAAGCTAGTAATTATTGCCTCAATTTCAGAGCCTGTTATTGGTCTATTCAGAGATTTAACTTCTTCCTGGTTTAGTCTTGAGAGGGTGTATGTGTCAAGGAATTTATCCATTTCTTCTAGATTTTCTAGTTTATTTGCATAGGGGTGTTTATAGTATTCTCTGATGGTAGTTTGTATTTCTGTGGGATTGGTGGTGATATCCCCTATATCATTTTTTATTGCGTCTATATGATTCTTCTCTCTTTTCTTCTTTATAGTCTTGCTAGTGGTCTATCAATTTTGTTGATCTTTCAAAAAAACACCTCCTGGATTCATTGATTTTTTGAAGGGTTTTTTGTGTCTCTATTTCCTTCAGTTCTGCTCTGATCTTAGTTATTTCTTACCTTCTGCTAGCTTTTGAATGTGTTTGCTCTTGCATCTGTAGTTCTTTTAATTGTGATATTAGGGTGTCAATTTTAGATCTTTCCTGCTTTCTCTTGTGGGCATTTAGTGCTATAAATTTCCCTCTACACACTGCTTTGAATGTGTCCCAGAGATTCTGGTATGTTGTGTCTTTGTTCTCGTTGGTTTCAAAGAACATCTTTATTTCTGCCTTCATTTTGTTATGTACCCAGTAGTCATTCAGGAGCAGGTTGTTCAGTTTCCATGTAGTTGAGTGGTTTTGAGTGAGTTTCTTAATCCTGAGTTCTAGTTTGATTGCACTGTGGTCTGACATAGAGTGCAATTTGTTATAATTGCACAGAGACGGTTTGTTATAATTTCTGTCCTTTTACATTTGCTGAGGAGTGCTTCACTTCCAAATATGTGGTCAATTTTGGAATAAGTGTGTTGTGGTGCTGAAAAGAATGTATATTCTGTTGATTTGGGGTGGAGAGTTCTGTAGATGTCTATTAGGTCCGCTTGGTGAAGAGCTGAGTTCAATTCCTGGATATCCTTGTTAACTTTCTGTCTTTTTTGTCTGTCTAATGTCGACAGTGGGGTGTTAAGATCTCCCATTATTATCGTGTGGGAGTCTAAGTCTCTTTGTAGGTCTCTAAGGACTTGCTTTATGAATCTGGGTGCTCCTGTATTGGATGCATATATATTTAGGATAGTTAGCTCTTCTTAGGATAGGATAGTTATATCTTCTAGGACAGTTGAATTGATCCCTTTATCATTATGTAATGGCCTTTTTTGTCTCTTTTGATCTTTGTTGGTTTAAATTCTGTTTTATCAGAGACTAGGATTGCAACACTTGCCTTTTTTTTTGTTTTCCATTGCTTGGTAGATCTTCCTCCGTCCCTTTATTTTGAGCCTATGTGTGTCTCTGCACATGAGATGGGTTTCCTGAATACAGCACGATGATGGGTCTTGACTCTTTATCCAATTTGCCAGTCTGTGTCTTTTAATCAGATAATTTAGCCCATTGACATTTAAGGTTAATATTGTTATGTGTGAATTTGATCCTGTCATTATGATGTTAGCTGGTTATTTCGCTCGTTAGTTGATGCAGTTTCTTCCTAGCCTCAAGGGTCTTTACAATTTGGCATGTTTTTGCAGTGGCTGGTACCAGTTTTTCCTTTCCATTCTTAGTGCTTCCTTCAGGAGCTCTTGTAGGGCAGGCCTGGTGGTGACAAAATCTCTCACCATTTGCTTGTCTGCACGGATTTTATTTCTCCACTTATGAAACTTATTTTGGCTGGATATGAGATTCTGGGTTGAAAATTCTTCTCTTTAAGAATGTTGAATATTGGCCCCCACTCTCTTCTGGCTTGTTTGTAGAATTTCTCCTGAGAGATCTGTTGTTAGTCTGATGGTCTTCCCTTTGTGGGTAACCCGACCTTTCTCTCTGGCTGCCCTTAACATTTTTTCCTTCATTTTAACTTTGGTGAATCTGACAATTATGTGTCTTGGAGTTGCTCTTCTCGAGGAGTATCTTTGTGGCATTCTCTGTATTTCCTGAATTTGAATGTTGTCCTGCCTTGCTAGATTGGGGAAGTTCTCCTGCATAATATCCTGCAGAGTGTTTTCCAACTTGGTTCCATTCTCCCCGTCACTTTCAGGTACACCAATCAGATGTAGATTTGGTCTTTTCACATAGTCCCATATTTCTTGGAGGCTTTGTTCATTTCTTTTTATTCTTTTTTCTCTAAATTTCTCTTCTCACTTCATTTCATTCATTTCATCTTCCATCACTGATACCCTTCCTTCCAGTTGATCAAATCAGCTACTGAGGCTTGTGCATCCATCACGTAGTTCTTGTGCCTTGGTTTTCAGCTCCATCAGGTCCTTTAAGGACTTCTCTACATTGTTTATTCTAGTTAGCCATTCATCCACTCTAGTTAGCCATTCATCTAATCTTTTTTCAAGGTTTTTAACTTCTTTGCCATGGGTTTGAACTTCCTCCTTTAGCTCGGACTAGTTTGATCGTCTGAAGTCTTCTTCTCTCAACTTGTCAAAGTCATTCTCCGTCCAGCTTTGTTCCATTGCTGGTGAGGAGCTGCGTTCCTTTGGAGGAGGAGAGGCACTCTGATTTTTAGAGTTTCCAGTTTTTCTGCTCTGTTTTTTCCCCATCTTTGTGGTTTTATCTACCTTTGGTCTTTGATGATGGTGATGTACAGATGGGGTTTTGGTGTGGATGTCCTTTCCGTTTGTTAGTTTTCCTTCTAACAGTCAGGACCCTCAGCTGCAGGTCTGTTGGAGTTTGCTGGAGGTCCACTCCAGACCCTGTTTGCCTGGGTATCAGCAGCAGAGGCTGCAGAACAGTGGATATTGGTGAGCAGCAAATGTTGCTGCCTGATTGTTCCTCTGGAAGTTTTGTCTCAGAGGAGTACCCAGCCATGTGAGGTGTCAGTCTGCCCCTACTTGGGGGTGCCTCCCAGTTAGGCTACTCGGGGGTCAGGGACCCACTTGAGGAGGCAGTCTGTCCATTCTCAGATCTCCAGCTGCGTGCTGGGAGAACCACTCCTCTCTTCAAAGCTGTCAGACAGGGACATTTAAGTCTGCAGAGGATTCTGATGCCTTTTGTTTGGCAATGCCCTGCCCCCAGAGATGGAGTCTACAGAGGCAGGCAGGCCTCCTTAAGCTGCAGTGGGCTCCACCCAGTTCGAGCTTCCCAGCCACTTTGTTTACCAACTGAAGCCTAGGCAATGGCGGGCACCCCTCCCCCAGCATTGCTGCCACCTTGCTGTTTGATCTCAGACTGCTGTGCTAGCAATGAGCGAGGCTCCATGGACGTAGGACCCTCCGAGCCAGGTGCGGGATATAATCTGGTGTGCCATTTGCTAAGACTGTTGGAAAAGCACAGTATTAGGGTGGGAGTGACCCGATTTTCCAGGTGCCATCTGTCACCCTTTTCTTTGACTAGGAAAGGGAATTCTCTGATGCCTTGTGCTTCCTGGGTGAGGCAATGCCTCACCCTGCTTGGGCTCACACTCAGTGTGCTGCACCCACTGTCCTGCACCCACTTTCTGACACTCCCCACTGAGATGAACCCAGTACCTCATTTGGAAATGCAGAAATCACCTGTCTTCTGCGTCACTCATGCTGGGAGCTGTAGACTGGAGCTCTTCCTATTTGGCCATCTTGGCTCCACCCCCACTATTATGATTCCTACACAGAGTCCTTTGCTTTCCAGCAGCCTCCTCTCCCTCCTTTTTAGGTCGGAATCCCTCTATTTTAGTGGCCACTGGGATTCTGAAATGACCAGGTCTTTGTCTCAGAGACCTCACACATGCTGTTCCCTCTGCCTGGAACACTTTTCCTTGCTCTGGTCCCCTGAGATCTCTTTCAGCTCAACTGCCTCATGCTGTGAGAGCCCCTTTCTCCCTCTCTAGGTTGAAGCCAGTTTACCCCTGTAGTCTGTGCCTGGAAAACTCATTTTCCTCCTTGGTACCTCCCGAGCTGTCATAGGATGTATGTGCCTGTTAGGGTGTCTGGTGTCTGTCTCCCCGACTGGACTGCATGCTCCTGGTGAGCTGGAGGGACTGGACTAGCACAGGCCAAGTCCCTGGGGCTGGAGGGAGCAGGGCAGAAGGCACAGGCAAAAGGCCTTTGTGATCTGGGGGGAAGTGAAGGAGAGGGAGAGAGATGAGAGAGGCTGGCAGAAGATGGGCTAGAGGCCAGGCTGTGTGGGATCTTTTGGGCCACAGAAAGACATTTGAATTCTCATGTAAGAGAACCAGGACACCATTGGAGTGTATGAGTCACCTCATCTAACTGAGCTCTGTAAATGTCAATGTTTTATTATTTTTATACAGTTCTTTAAAAGTGATTTTAATTATTTACCTTTTTATTTTTATTACTTTTATTAGTTTTTCTGAGACAAAATCTTGTGCTGCTGCCCAAACTGGAGTGCAATGACATGATCTCAGCTCACTTCAACTTCCACCTCCTGGGTTCAAGTGATTCTCCCGTATCAGACTCCCGAGTAGCTGGAGTTATAGGCGTCTGCCACCACGCCCAGCTTATTTTTGTATTTTTAGGAGATATGACGTTTCACCATGTCGGCCAGGCTGGTCTTGAACTCCTGACCTCAGGTGATCCACCCACCTCAGCCTTCCAAAATGCTGGCATTACAGGGGTGAGCCACCATGCCTGACCTTATTTACTTTTTTAAAAAAGATCAGGCCAGGCACGGTAGCTCACTTCTCTAATCTCAGCAATTTGGGAGGCTGAGGCGGGATGATCGCTTGAGGCCAGGAGTTCACAATCAGCCTAGGCAACATAGTGAGACACCCCTGCCCCAATCTCTAAAAAAGTGAGAAAATTAGGCACGGTGGTTGGTCTGTATCCCCAGCTACTGGGGAGCCTGAGGTAGGCAGGACTGCTTGAGACCAGGTGTTTGAGGCTCCACTGAGCTGTGACTATGCCATTGAGCTACAGCCTGGGCAACAGAGTGAGACCCCGGAGCCGCCTCAGCCTCCCTAGAGCTGACCGAGCTCTGCTTCTTATTCCGGGAATGACGGGCACTGGGGCTTTGATGGGCATTGGGTGAAATGGGCAGAGTGGCGCTTACCCGGGATGGCGGTGAAGTGGGACGGGGAGGTCATCGTGACAAGGGGCGGCATGAGGTACTGGGCCTTGACACCCTCCCTGGCCAGACGGTCCAGGTTGGGGGTGTGCATATTCCTGATCCTAGTCCCAGCGGAAGCCCTGGAAGGAGATCAGCAGCAGCTGTGTGTGCTCTTCCTCCCTGGGACGGGGTGGCCGCCCAGTAGGACAGGCGGCAGCAGCAGCAGCAGCAGCTGGAGGGCCCCGAGCCCTGTCATCCCACGAGCACCTGTTATGCACTCCTCACAGAGTTCATGGGCTTCTCCGTCTTTAGTCCGTTGTTGAACAAAGTCCACGTTAATAATTCGGCCCAACTCTGTTGTGGGACAAACAACCCGGAGTGTAGCAAGGTGCCGCATATTTGCAGGACAGGATGAAAGCGTTCTGGAGATGGATGGGGGACATGGCTGTACAATGTGGTGGATGCACTTAACGCCACTGAATTTTTCCTTTGAAAATGGCTAAAATAATAGATTTTGTATGTATTTTACCACAATAAAAAATCAAACTGGCCGGACATGGTGGCTTACACCTGTAATCCCAGCACTTTGGGAGGCCGAGGCGGGTAGATCATTTGAGGTCAGGAGTTCGAGACCAGCCTGGCCAACATGGAGAAACCCCATGTCTACTAAAAATGCAAAAATTAGCAGGGCGTGGTGGTATATGTCTGTAATCCCAGCTACTTGGGAGGCTGAGGCAGGAGAATTGCTTGAACCCGGGAGGCGGAGGTTGTGGTGATCTGAGATTGTGCCACTGCACTCCAACCTGGACGATGGAATGAGACTCTGTCTCCAAAAAAAAAAATAATAATATAAATAAATAAATAAATAAATAAATAAATAAATAAATCAAACCATGTGAAATATTTTCGACTCTTATACTAATTCCAACATTTTGAAGATCTGGGGAGAACAAACTAGATTGGTGCTTTCCTTGGCTTAGTATGTCCTGTTTTTATAGGGAGAGCAAATTATTGTTCACCAGCACTATTAAAATAGCTACAACAGGATGGGCATAGGGGCTCACACCTGTAATCCCAGCACTTTGGGAAGCTGGGGTGAGAGGATCGCTTGAGCCCAGGAGTTCAAGATGCCAGCCTGGGCAACATGGTGAGACCCTGCCATTACCAAAAATACAACAACAACAACAAAAATAGCTGGGTGTGGTTGTGTGCACCTGTAGTCCCAGCTACTTGAGAGGCTGAGGTGGGAGGATCACTTGTGCCCAGGAGGTTGAGGCTGCAGTAAGCTGTGATTATGCCACTGTACTCAGCCTGGGTGACAGAGTGAGACCCTGTCTCAAAAAAAAAAAAAAAATGCTGTAGTGGGCTCAGTGATCATGAGGCCAGGCACTGTACACATATACATCATCTCATTTTTTCTCTTGTTTAAAATTATTTTTCCCTCTAATCCCCATGTGAATCAACATTTTCTTCATCCTAGGAATTTATTAGTTGAAAATTTCACATAAGAATTAAAAATTGCCTGGCGTGATGGCTTACACCTGTTATACCAGCACTTTGGGAGGCTGAGATGAGAGAATCGCTTCAAGACAGGAGTTTGGGCCAGTCTGGGCAATATAGTGAGAATGTGACTCTATAAAAAAATTAAAAACCCTGGGTGTGGTAGCGTTCACCTGTAGTCCCAGCTACTTGGAAGACTAGGTGGGAGGATTGCTTGAGCCCAGGACGTAAAGGCAGCAGTGAGCTATGATTGTGCCATTGTACTGCAGCCTGGGTGATGGAGTGAGACTCTATCTATAAAATAAAAGAATAAAATTGTGGTATAATATATGCAACATTTACCATTTTGTGCATCTGAAAGTGTACAATTCAGTGACATATTGTACATTTATCATGTTGTGCAATTATCACCACTACCTAGCTTCAGAGCTTTTTCAACACTTCAATTGGAAGCCTCATATCCATTCAGCCGTCACTCTGCATACCCCCTCCTGCAGCCCCTGGAAACCTCTCATCTACTTTCTATCTCTGTTGATTGGCTTAGTCTGAACATTGCATATAAATGGAATTGTACAATATATGACCTTTCATGTCTGCTTCTTTCACTCAGCATGTTTTTAACGTTCATCCATATCACAGCATGGATAAGTTTTATTTTCTTTTTAGACCCTATCTAAACAGAAAAAAACATTGTAAAACAAAAACAAAAAAATATATACGATGGAGATCAGATGAGTCCTGCAAAGCTGATAGTATTTACTATCTAGCACTTTACATAGAAGCTTGCCTACCTCTGAATGATATGCAGGTACAGGGATGACATTTATCTTGGCACTTATAGAAAGACCTGGAAGTTGTATAAAGACGTCATCATTGGATTTCCAGTAACAAGAAGCGGCAAGACATGACGGTGTGTCCCGGTGTTCAGGTGAAGTTTAGGGAAGGTCTTGTCTTGACGAGGTCGGATGTGACACCCAGATGAGATAACCCTATTTCCCCTGCTGAAATTGCCTGAGAATTTCGTTCCAGTTATTTGCGTAGGTTGATTCTTTCGGTGGGGGTGGGCTGGGTGAGGAGGTGAAGTGTCAGGGGAGTTCTACTGTGTATTTGCACAACTTGGCTTTCTTTTCACTTGGTGTGGTGTTTTGCTGTATGAGGAATTTCATAGAATTTTGTGATGAGTATGCAGCGTAGTGGTTTGAATCCTGCCAGGCCGGGGGTCATATCTCAGCTCTGCAACTCATTATCCGTGACGCCTTGGGGCAGGTCCCATAACTCTCCAAGCCTCTGTTATATACTCCATGGGGTTGTGAGGTTCAGATGAAATAATGCATGCTGGCAGGAATGGTTACTGCTCATGGGATTTCCATGTGCTCCCCGTATTCCCCAGACCCCCAGTAGTTAGATGGATCCATGCCAGGGTCCACTGCTCTATAAGTGGAAGTCACTGACATCACCTCTAGTCTACAGCTTTTGAGGGCTTGGGAATAACTATCTCATCCTCTCATCTCCTGGTGCAGTAACTATGGGAGAATCCCTGCATTAAGATGGTAGAATTTCCATTATCCTAGGTCTTTGAGTGGCCATATGGAGCACACCATAACCAGCCAACCCATTGTGGACATGGAATGTAAGAAATCAACCTTGGTTGCTAAGCTGCTGAGACTCTGGGGTTAATTTGTTACTGCAGCATAACCTAGTCCATCCTGATACATGCAGCATGCAAACCACTTACGTTGACCCTTAGCCATGGTAAGTGCCCCACAGATGTTGGTTACTTTTGGTAGGAAGATAGATTGCCTCTGAAAGTTTTGTTAGCTGATCTCATGATGCCAATGTTGCTATTTTTGGTATTTGGATAAATTGGACTTGGCTCTCCGTCCAGCATGTGGGAGAGACAGATGACTGAGAGACAAGAAAGCGCTATTATCTTCAGTTTGTGTCCTTGGATACCCTTGGTGGCAATGAACAATGTATGCTCCTCTGAGAAAACTGGACCTAAAGGAGAATGGGAGGTGATACCAGAATTGGGAATGTCCAAGGACCCAGGCATTCCCTGGTCTGGAGACCACTTTGAGTCCTTGGTTGGGAAGATTCTCCAAGGGAACATAAATGCTTTTACTATCTAGCTTGTCTCTTTGAGAATTAAAACTCTTTTTTTTTTTTTATTCCAGTAGCTTTTGGGGTAGAGTTTGGCTCTTTGAGAATTGCATACTAATTAATTTTAGGGGTCATCCGTACACATCTCTATATTCCTGAAACACAGTAGAAACAGCCAGCAGTCAGGCAACCATCTACCATGACCACTAAAACATCCCCAAAGTGAAACACCAGATGTGATCTGCTAGGTTTAGTGGAGGTGGCTGGCTCGAGAGTTGATTATATTCGTTATCGTCACTGTGGTGATTATGACCACAACATTTTGATGCGTCTTCGTCTTCTTCTGGTGAGTTGCAGTTTGGAAGGAATAAATCCATTATTCTTTTTTCTTTCTTTCTTTTTTTTTTTTTTTTTGAGTCTTGCTCTGTCGCCCAGGCTGGAGTGCAGTGGTAACATGTCAGCGTACTGTAAACTCTGCCTCCCAGGTTGAAGTGCTTCTCCTGCCTCAGCATCCCAAGTAGCTGGGATTACAGGCGCCGACCACCACACCTGGCTAATTTTTATATTTTTAGTAGAGACGGGGTTTCGCCATGTTGGCCATGCTGGTCTTGAACTCCTGACCTCAGGTGATCCACCTGCCTCAGCCTCCCAAATTGCTGGGAGTACAGGTGTGAGCCACCACTCCCGGCCCCATTATTCATTTAACCAGTATCTATTGAGCACGTTGGGTACGGTGGAGGATGAACTGCGGGGGAGAGAGGAAGCCTCCTCCTGCCACTATGTTTTCAAGTTGTGCTAATACTCCACCGTGGGACACTCAGGCTTGTGGGTCCCAGAGCTCCAGAAGCATCTCCCAACCACACCATCCTGACCCAGGTTCTACTGAAAAATACATGAGTCTAGCAGAGCCATCTCTGACACTTCCCTTCTTTTGAATGGCTGATCTGTCAGTCATGGGGAACCCTTATTAAAGTGCAGTGTGCTTTGTGAAACTTGAGGTTGATCAAAGAATACCATTAAACTTTGTTAAGAAATCTACATATTGATGACATATGCAGTGGGGTGGAGGTGGGGAAATTCCCAAATACATTTTAGAAAATTATGTCAGAAGGAGGTAATAGTCAGACTTGTGGTTGCCAGTGACAGAAACTCATGTTACTAGTGTGGAGTGGAAAAGGGATCATGTTTTGGTCTGCACTCCCCAACCCCAACCGCAAGCAGATCCTGAAAGAGGGACAGGATTGCAAGTGGATTATTTAGGAGATGATTCCAGGGAACACCAATAGGGGAGTGAGGAACTGATTCATGAAAAGGCAGGAGGCCACACTGTGGGCTTCAGTAAGCAGCTTACCACTCCAGGCAACTAGAATTTGACCCTACTGGGGACCTCTGGGAGGTGATGTGGAATACATTTCAAAGTTGTTCCATCCAGGGGGCGAAGATATTGAAGTATTTATAGCCTGGCTCCCATCTGTCACTGGCTGAGGACTGGTCCCAGGGCATCAACTCTGGCTTCTCTTTTTTCTTTTTTTTTTTTTGAGACATAGTCTTGCTCTGTCACTCAGGCTGGACTGCAATGGTGTGATCTCGGCTCACTGCAACATCTGCCTCCAGGTTCAAACGATTCTCTTGCCTCAGCTTCCTGAGTAGCTGGGATTACAGGCTCCTGCCACCATGTCCCGCTAATTTTGTTATTTTTTGTAGAGACGGCGTTTTGCCATGTTGGTCAGGCTGGTCTTGAACTCCTGACCTCGTGATCCACCTGCCTTGGCCTCCCAGTGTTGGGATTACGGGCGTGAGTCACTGCACCCGGCTTCTTTGGCTTTTCTGACATATTGCATGCCTGACTTTGAAAAAACTCTCAGGTGAAAGTCTTGGTTGTATGCAGTAGCAAGTATGGACTAGATTGATAAATACCAAGGGGCTTACCACAAGATCTCTCCATCTCTGGATGGAGACACCATCAGATCTCTCTCCATCTCTGTCTCTAGCTTTGTCTGCATACTGGCTTAATTTCTTCTTGCTCAAGCCTTTTCTCCATAAGGCGAGATACGTGGCCACAAAAACTCCTCTATTTCTCACTACACACAGTTCCTGTCATCACAGAGAATGATTAACTTGGTCTGGTTCCAGTTTGGAAAAATATTCAAGGGAGGAATTCTGATTGGCCAATTTAGGCCAGATGTTCATCCCTGGACCAATCAACTGAGGCCAGAGGGGTGGAGTCACGTGAGAACATGGCAGCCCCCATGAGAGCCACGTGACTGGAGTAGGAAGTGTGAGTCTCCATAGAGGGGAGGGCTGCTAGGCTGACAAGGCAATAGATGTCTGCAGTGAAAGGAATAGATTAGGAGATATATTCTGTTAAACCTGTTAATTATTAAAAAAAGAAACTTTCAATATACAGTTAGAGTATACATGAGCCAGTGGCTCACGCCTATAATCCCAGCACTTTGGGAGGCTGAGGTGGGCAGATCAGAGGTCAGGAATTCGAGACCAACCTGACCAACATGGTGAAACCCCGTCTTGCGCACCTATAATCCCAGCTACTCAGGAGGCTGAGGCAGGAGAATCGCTTGAACCAGGGAGGTGGAGGTTGCAGTGAGCTGAGATCACGCTACAGCATTCCAGCCTGGGCAACAGAGTGAGACTCCCTCTCAAAAAAAAAAAAAAAAAAAAAAATTGTGGTTCCTTCAGCATGATTTATCAGAAAGGAAAAACTTACCATATGTATATTTCCTATGCACAGGCTACTGCTGTGAATTCAAATTCTTAAATTCCAAAGATTATGTTTCTCAAGACACATAATCTGTGTTAGAATCTGCTTATAATGAGGCTGAAGTTGAGTAAGAAGAGAACTGGCATTTAGGACACTACTTTTCTTCTGTCAAGTACTGTCAAGTTTACTTTCTGCCTGGAAGTAGATGCACCTCAAGGGAGGGTTACATGTAAAGGTGTGTGTGTGTGTGTGTGTGTGTGTGTGTGTGTGTGGTAGTTTCCAAAGATGGGTACAACTTTCTGCAAACGCTCGTGCAGTGTAATTGAACCAATCTTTCCTTTAAGAGGTAGAGTTTATATTCCTCTACATGAATCTGGGCTGCCTATGACTTGCTTTGGCCAGTGGAATGCAGCCAAAGTGATGGTGACCAACTTCTAGCCGTGAAAGGAAAATAAACCTTGGGGCCCCAAGATCACTAAGCTAGGCCGGGCTCGGTGGCTCACGCCTGTAATCCCAGCACTTTGGGAAGCTGAGGCAGGCGGATCACCTGAGGTCAGGAGTTCCCAGCACTTTGGGAAGCTGAGGCGGGCAGATCACCTGAGGTCAGGAGTTCAAGACCAGCCTGGCCAACACGATGAAACCCCGTCTCTATTAAAAAATATGAAAATTAGCCAGGTATGGTGGCAGGCGCCTGTAATCCCAGCTACTCGGGAGGCTGAGGCAGGGAAAATTGCTTGAACCCTGGAGTTGGAGGTTGCAGTGAACCGAGATCGCACCACTGCACTCCAGCCTGGGCAACAGAGTGAGACTCTGTCCCAACAACAACAACAAAAAAAGTTATTAAGCTAAAGAGAAAAGTCAAGCTGGGAACTGCTTAGGGCAAACCTGCCTTCCATTCTATTCAAAGTCACCCCTTTGCTCACTGAGATAAATGTATATCTGATTGCCTCATTTGGAGAGGCTAATCAGGAACTCAAAAGAATGCAACCATTTGTCTCTTAACTACCTATGAACTGGAAGCCCCCTCCCCACTTCGAGTTGTCTCACCTTCACCTGGAGTTGACCCGCCTTTCCAGACTGGACCAATGTACATTTTGCACATATTGATTGATGTCTCATGTCTCTCTAAAATGTATGAAGGCAAGCTGTGTCCCTACCACCTTAGGCACATGTTGTCAGGACCTCCTGAGGCTGTATCACAGGCGTGCATCCTCAACCTTGGCAAAATAAACTTTCTCAATTAACTGAGACCTCAGATTTTTGGGGTGCCTGTAGTCTTAGGCCTTGAGAGTCCTCTTGTAGTTTCCATATTTTTGCCCTCTTGGATGCTGGCACCAAGCAAGCCTTGGCTATCCTGCTTAAAGGGCCATTTGGGGAGGGGCTCTGGAGGGCGAGGGGCCAGATGGAGGAAAACAAGTTTCCCCGGCTGACAGCCAGCACCAACTGCCAGGCACATGTGTGAGGCTGTCCTGGATGTTCCACCCAGCTGGCCCTCCAGCTGCAGGTAGCCACACAAATGAGCCCAAGTTAAACCAGACAGGAAGTCCCCATGCAACTCACATGGTCATGAGCAATAATGACTTGTGGTGGTTTAAAGTTTCTAATTTTAGGTGCAATAGGTAACTGAAATAGCCCACAAGGGTGTGAGCCTGTGGAGGGTGCATTTCCCACTTGTTGAAGCTTCTCAATTTCCAGGATCCAATCCGGATAAGACTCTTTTTCTCAGTGTCCTTGATGGAAATGGCAATGAACTTTTTGCAGATTGGACCATCTCAGGGGAATCCCAAAGATCGGAAACTATTTTCTTTCTTAGAATCTTCCACACAGCATTGAGCCTTAGGAATTTCTAAGAAGGATCTGAAATGAAAAACATCTTTTGAAAAGGTATTTGTATAGCTTCACTTCAGCAAGATTCATGGTGGGTGTTAGACTTAGTGCTGGTGTTAAGCCAAACCATGTTTTTCAAAGACTCATCTGGCCTCAAGGTTGGCAGGATCAGAGTGGCCTCCCAGGATCTATCACATCCTCAGAAGAGTTGGTTCAACTGGCATGTACCCAGATCTCTTTGAACTAGTATGATACTCCCTCGAGTCAAAGGCTGCTATATCACATCTCCTTTAAGTCCCCCTAAGTACGACCCCAGAAGCATTGACAAAGTGTGCTATTACTAAAGATTTCAGGAGGACATAAATGAAGAGATTAAACTGAAAGGTACCAAAACTTCCATCTTTGCTAAAGACCCTCATCCAGGCTGGGTGCGGTGGCTCATGTCTGTAATCCCAGCACTTTGGGAGACCAAGGCGGACGGATCACCTGAGGTCGGGAGTTCAAGACCAGCCTGATCAACATGGAGAAACCCCATCTCTATTAAAAATACAAAATTAGCCAGGTGTGGTGGCACATGCCTGTAATCCCAGCTACTAGGGAGGCTGAGGCAGGAGAATCGTTTGAACCTGGGAGGTGTAAGTTGCGGTGAGCTGAGATCGTGCCATTGCACTCCAGCCTGGGCAACAAGAGCAAAACTCCATCTCAAAAACAAACACAAAACCCTTATCCAATGGTCATGCCACTCTATCTGGCCATGTAATTTCTCCACCTGGCTTTCTGTAGCAACAGCCTTCTGAGGAACCTCACTCTGCCGGTCAAAACCCCTTCAACTTGTACCCTTCATCAGCAAAGTTCTTAGCTCAACATGTATGCCTCTGGGGGAACTCATCCACATGCCATTTAAGGATATTTCCAGCAACATCATCTTCACTACCCCAGGATGGCATTTTAGAGTGGATGACTTGCCTGCTGGATGTGTTGTTCTTGAGCGAGTTTGAGAAAACGCTACACTTTGAGATGAATTAAGAGTCTGTTTACTTAGCCGGCGGCAAAGAAACGGCTAACGTTTAAAGTTCTCTCGGCTTCGAAGAAGGGGCTAAGATTTTCTTTTATACTTTGGTTTAGAAAGGGGAGGGGGTTCTAGTTAAAACAATTTTACATAAGTAAAGTAGACAAAAAAGTTAAAAGGATAAATTGTTACAGGAAAGTAAACAGTTTTAGGTCTAGGGCCTTTAACACTATTATAAGGTGATAGACGCGGGGCTTTGGGCGTTATCAATCGGATGAATTCCTGGGAACTGCGGATATTGCTCGCCACAGTATCTTATCAGTTAATTGCATTCTTCGATGTGCTGGGAGTCAGCTTGCACAAGTTAAGTCCCTGAGGAAGGGGCTGCCAGTGAAAGAGCCAAGATGGAATCTGTCTGGCTCTCTTAGCTAAGGGAGAGTCAATTCAGGTGGAAACAAGGCTAGGTCATTAAAAGAAAGGGAGAGTCTAAAAACAGGGTGAGTAAAAACATGGTTGGGCATTACATTCCTCACTTGTGTTTTTGGGGAATCAAATCGTTGATTCTTCAGTTATAAAAAGGGGGTTATTTTGAGTCTTCAGATACATAAGTTTGACAGAAGCTATTCGTTGTTTTACAAAATTAAGAAACTAACTTAATATACAATGCCCCAAAATTAGACTTATTAGTAGGATGGGGAGGGGGTCCAGCTAACTTAGTAATTAGAGTGGTTAGCTATGGGTTCTAGTTGAACATGCGTTGATACTAGGGGATGTTACTTTCTTGTTCTTGTTGGCGCTTTTCTAGATTTTCTTGCACTTTTTGGAGTGTATCTTTTATGACTAAGAAAGGTGGAGGAACAGTTAAATCAACTTTGTCAGGGTGTTCCTGGAACATAGGGTTACTTAGATCAGTTAAAGGCCTGATTGACTTGGGTGGGCTTTATGAGACTAGGGTTTTTTTGGATGGTGAACATATACTTAACATTAAATCCTGGGATATAAAATCTTAATGTTCATGACATGCCATGATACTATTGAGTTGAATTAAGGTCATGGACAGTTAGAGGATTACAGTTTTTTCTAGTACATAATTTAGGATGAGAAGCACGAGTTATGGAAAGAGTTGAAGATCTGGTTGATCTTTTAGAGTAGGTGGCTAAAGTTACACATGTCTAATCAGGGCAGAAAAACTGATAAGCATCTTGACAGCTAGCGTCAGGGTGATTTCTAGGACAGAGGTAAAAGTCAACATTTTGGAGTCTTTTTTTCTGCACTTTTGGAGCTTCTGCAATTAGTTTGGCTCTTGGAGTGTCTGAATCTTGCTGCAAGGTCGACACTTCCTGCTCCTGGGACTGGCAGATGGTGTTGTTTTTGTGGGTGTGGGCTGGCTTTGGGAATAGTACAAATAAATCAACTGCAAAGGAGACTTCCTTGGAGGTACGGACCTTCTAAGTGGTGTTTGCAAATACACGTCCTGTTGTGAAAGAGGTGAGGAGAAAGGAGTAGGAAGGCACAGAGGATGTAACTGGCAAAAACAAATAAGTGAGGTAGACAAAAAGAATGAATCTAATGGCTTCACCTGACTTAGGTGCAGTTTTAAGGGGCCTGACTTAGGCCTGGGGACTTATGTTTTGAGCTGGGCTCTGTTGGACTTTTTGATGCGGGAGTGATGAATCTAGCAGGAATGCCGCCTACTTTCAGAGCAGTTGGAGTCGTGAGGATGACGGTGTGAGGTCTTTTCTAAGCAGGAGTGAGTCTTTCTTTTTGGAACTTTTTAACAAATGCTAGGTCTCCTGGCTGGAATGAATGGCAGGACTTTTTCTGGTCAGGAATTGGATTGGGAAGGGCTCCTCAAACAAGTGGCAGGATAATATCTTGTACCTGTTGGAGAGAATATAGGTACTGTAATAAATTAGTTTGTGATATTTCTGCTAATTTCACATCTCTTCACTTAGGCAAGAGAGGCAGCGCCTTCTTATACATGATTTCAAAGGGTGAGAACTTAGCGTGGTAAGGGGTGCACCTTACTTTAAGTAGAGCTAAAGGAAGGAGACTTACTTAATTTACACTGGTTTTTAAGATTTTGTAAGAGTGTTTTTTAGGGTGTGGTTCATGCGTTGTACTTGCCTGGAGCTCTGAGGTTGATAGGCACGATGGAGCTTCTATTGAATGTTTAAGGCCTTACTGACTGACTGAGCTATAGGCGACGTGAAGGCTGTTCTATTATCAGACTTTATGGCAGCAGGCAGCCTATACTGAACGATGATTTCATTGTGTAAAAACTTAACTACTGTGTTGGTGGTTTCGTTTTCGGTAGCAAATGCCTTAGTCTATCTGGAGAAGGTGTCTACTAGTACTAGAAGGCATTTGTACTTAGCCTGGTGTGGTTTGACTTCTGTAAAGTCAATTTCTTACTTTTTTCTTGGCGAGGTTTTTCAGAGACAGTGGCCTGGGCTGGGTTTAGGACTTTGTTTGGCATTTACTTGGGCGCAGGTTGTGAACTGGAGAGCTGCTTAATCTGTTAGGCTTTGAAGACGGGGGATCTTAAAATGGCTCCGCAGGAGCTGAGGTAGCTTTGCTCTTTTTAAGTGGGTGGTAGACTGTAGGTGACGGACTAAATTTTCTTTAAGGGTTCAGGATATGAAGCGTCTAGAGTCAGGAAGAATCTACTAACTTTCCTGATTTTTATTGACTCTGAGATCTGAAGCCAGTTTTTTGTTGTTGTTGTTGAGTGTACGGGATTGTCAGGCAGATCTGGCTGTGGAAAGGAGACTGTGGGCAGCAAGTTTAGAGGCGTGACTGAAAGTCTCGCTGCGACCTGAGCTGCTGAATCAGGTTTCTGGTTACTATGGGCAACGGCCGTGTTTTCTTTTTGATGTCCTTTGCAGTGGATCACAGCTACCTGCTGAGGTGAGTAGCCTGCTTTCCTGGTAGATGGCTTTATGTACATGCACAGTAGCAAAGGCGTACTTGCTGTCAGTGTAAATGTTAATACGTTTATTCTTACTTTATCAGAGAGCCTGAGTGAGGGCGATGAATTGAGCCTTTTGTGCTGAGGTGTTCGCTGGTAAAGCTTGAGCTTACAACACATCTGTCTCCGTGGTAACAGCTGCACTGACTTTTCATACTTCCTGCTTGAGGAAGCTGCTACTGTCTGTGAACAAGGCGGCATCTGCCTTTTCTAGGGGCACAGCTTGAAGATCAGATCGGCCAGTTTCGATAGTTTCTAACAGTTCTTGACAGTCATGAGCAGGAATAGTGCAGTCTGAGTCAGAAAGTAGTGTAGCTGGATTGAAACACTTTGTGGGAGAGAAAGTCAAACGAGGCTGATCTAACAGTAAACTTCGATACTGCAAGATGCGAGCATTTGACATCTATTTGCCAGAAGCATTTTGTAGTAAGGTCTTTAAGGCGTGAGGAGCTGTAAGTGTTAAATTTTGGCTTAGAGTTAACTTATCATCTTCTTGGGCCAGGCTTGCTGTAGCCGCTATGGCTCGCAGACAACTTGGCCATCTAGAGGCCACAGGATCTAGCCTCTTAGATAAATAGGCCACTGGGCGTCTTTAGGGTCTTAGAGTCTGAGTAAGCACGTCTTTAGCAACTCCTTGGCTTTTATGGAGATATTAGGGAGGGCTAAAGCAGGGGCTTCAGTTAATGCTAAATTAACAGGCTATTTCATTCTGTACTTCTTGGATAGCTGCCACTAAGATTTTTGTTTGTCTTTTGAATGCTTTATCAGCGGCCTTTTCAGCTGCCTGTGTTGCTTGTTTTTGTTTTTTAAACTTTTGATTGTCAAAAACTTTTTGGGCTATTTCTAAAAGCTGACTGATATTTATTCTAGCAAATCTTTTTAGTTTTTGGAGTTTCTTTTTAATATCCGGGGCTGCCTGAGCCACAAATGCTAAATGAAGAGCACGGCTATTTTCGGGAGCTGCCGGGTCCAAAGGGGTGTAAATCCGATAAGCCTCCTGGAGGCGCTCTAAAAACGTTCTTGGTGACTTATCGGGCCTTTGGACAACTTCGGTCGTCTTAGACAAGTTTATGGGTTTCTGAGCGGCTCTTTTAATACTTGCGAGGAGATACCGGTGAAAATCGTCTAAAGCTCCCTTTCTACTTGAGGAATTTGGGTTCTGGTTAGGCCGGGTAGAGGGAAAGACCTCCTCAAGGAGGTCTCTAACTTCTTCTTCCGGTCCGTTGGCTGATGTGAGGAAGTACTTTTTGGCTTCTTTTTGGATACGTTCCTTCTTTTCAGAGGTGAAAAGGGTTAAAAGGAGCTGTTGGCAATCATCTTAGGTGGGCGGGTTGAGTCCGGAGTACAGACTGTCAGAGAGGTCAAAGCCTGGGGCTTTTCAGAGAAGGGAGGATTATGGGTTTTCGAATTATATAAGTCAGAAGTAGAAAAAGAACACAAACTAAGAAGGGTGCTGAGCGCTCGTCACCTGGAGGGACTTGTGCCTCTCTCAGTGGTAGTAGAGGGGCTACTTCTTCCTGCCACGGTCATGATTGAGAGGCAATGGGTGGCGAGCCTACAGGGGACGTCGTCGAGCAGACATGGGATAACTTTAAGGGAGAAGGCTGGTTGTAAGGCGGTGGGACTGGGTGAGGGAGACTCTCCTCTTCTTCAGAGGGAGGCAGTACAGGGGGAGCTGAACCGGCTGAGGGTTGAGGCGAAAATGCGGTCTGGCTTAGGAGGACCTTGGAGGTAGAATTATGAATGGCGCATGAACGGAGCCATGGAGGGGGCTCCTGACTAAACTTAGCTATTGATCAATGTAGGGAAACTGATCAGGGTGGCTAGGAGTTTCAGTAACAACCTGCCACACAGCTTGAACAATTGTGAGGTTCAATGGCCCTTCAGGGGGCCACTCGACTCTAAACTTTGGCCATTTTATTTTGCACAGTGTCTGGAGCTTGCCTTTTTTAAGGCGGACTTTATAATCCTCTGAGGAACTGAGAGGAAAATTCTGCAGCATACATTGGAGAGGGCTTTAACTTTACAAGGCTGGGAGGAAGTGTTTCTTTCTTTTTTTTTTTTGAAGGCAATTTAATAAGATTGGAGCATAGATATTAAACTTAGCATGGACAGAGAAACTTATTTCTTGGGGGACTGGAGTAGTGAAAGAACAGTATAAATATGACTAGAAAGAGCAGAAAAACTTACAACAGCTAATACTACTTGCTACATTGCTGTAGCTTTAAGATTGAGGGAGGAGGACTAGAGCCAGCCTGAGATCTTCTGGGTCAGTTTGATCTAGGCGTTCTTCTTCTTCTTCTAGATCTGCACTTTAAATACTTTTGGTGTCTTTATGACTTAAACGCAAATAGCCTAAACTTAGCTTTTTCTTTTAAGGGTTTAAAGAGTGAGAGCAGAGCCAAGTCCTGGAGACGGTAAACTTGCTGTCGCACCGTAAAACGAGATGTGCGGGATAGGGGGCAGGGACAAGGTGGAAAAGGACTACTCTGATCATTTTGAAGATGGGAGAGTAGCCACAGAGGAACAGAGTAAGAATCTTAACGAAGTAAAGCAGTACGGGCGTACGTTTCTTTACACAGTGTTTTACTTAAGGGCACAGGAAAAGTTACAGAATGACAAGAGAGGTGAGCAAGGAAATCTGCAGGGTGGCTGTTTTGAACTCACTACTGGTTTATTTAGAGGAGGTCTAATCACTTGGACGAGGAGTATGGCGATCTAAATACTTACAACTTTCATGGTGCTAGAAATCTTAATCAGGCAAATGTTTTTCACACTTGTTCTTGTAACAACACTTGACTTGCTTCTGGCAGAAAAGACAGGACTGTGGTGGTCAGCCTAAATGATTGATGAGAAATTTAACCTCCTGTGACAAAAAATCAGCACTAAGGACTTTGAAGAAGTTTTTACTTAGACGTCTTGGGCAATATCAACGTCTTGACATGCAAAACTTTGACAACTACTAACAAGACAATAGACACTGAACAGAACAATCAATATAAAACAAACAGTTGACTTTAGGGCATGTAAACAGTTATGACAGTTTCTTCCTTTTTTTTTTTTCTTAGACAGACAAGGAGAGGGTTTCCTGTGATGGGATCAGTCAGATGCCTGCCTGGCCACTCCCCCTGAGGGGACCTGGGCTCCTCTTACCATTGGCAGGCCGGTATAAACTTGCGGCTCAGATCAAGCTATGCCTGATGCTGCCTTAAGCCTTATGAGGTCGCCAAGGAACCGCAGGTGAGGGTCTACTTGAACTCCGTAGCTTTCGCCGTGGAGCTACAAACTGGAGGACAAGCGCAAGCCCTTGTCCTCCCTCATTCATTCATTATTCACACAGAGTATATAACAGTTTTTTTTTCTTTCTTTCTTGGAGATTCTTCAAGAAACTTGAACAAGAGAAAGATGAGAGATATAAAAAGAGAGAGAGAGAGTGACCGGTCTGCCAGAAACCAGGACTCAGTCCTCCAGCATCCTGGGATGTGGACTGAGTCAAGGGAGGGTCCCTGTCAGGGCCTCTTCCCTCCTAGAAAGAGACACAGAGGTGCCTAACAGAAAGCCAGCGCTCTACCTTCTAGCGTCCTAGATAAACAGGCAGAGTCAAAAGAGGGACACCCTCGTCAGGGCCGCTTCCCTCTTACTAGAACTGAAGTCAAATCTGACCTACCTGACCTTGGGGTCAGAAGTCGAGGACTCAGAGGTGGAATTTTTATGGTCACCCACACGGTAGTCGATCCGCTCTCCTCTGGAAGACGGTCACCTTTCGAGGACCTGAAAATTTTTTTTAGGTGGCACCCCCCAACAAGCCGGCCGTCCTTCTGGGGGAGCCCGGAGCGAGCCCGGCTCTCGCCTCATGGCGTTTCTCGCTGGGGCCTCCAAATGTTGTACTTGAAAGAGTTAGAGAAAATGCCACACTTTCACATGAATTAAGAGTCTGCTTATTTAGCTGGCGGTCAAGAAATGGCTAACTCTTAAAGTTCTCTTGGCCCCGAAGAAGGGGCTAGATTTTCTTTTATACTTCAGTTTAGAAAGGGGAAACGGGTCTAGTTAAAAGAATTTTACAGAAGTAAAGTAGGCAAAAAAGTTAAAAGGATAAATTGTTACAGGAAAGTAAACAGTTCTAGGTCTAAGGGCTTTAAGACTATTACAAAATGATAGACGTGGGGCTTTAGGCATTATCAATCGGACAAATTCCTGGGAACTGCGGATATTGCTCGCCCCACAGTATCTTATCAGTTAATTGCATTCTTGGATGTGCTAAGAGTCAGCTTGCACAAGTTAAGTCCTTGAGGAAGGGGCTGCCAGTGAAAAAGCCAAGATAAAAGCTGTCCCCAGTGTTAGAGGTGGGGCCTGGTGGGAAGAGATTGGATCATGGGGGTGGATTTCTCATGAATGATTTAGCGTCATCCTTTTGGTCCTGTCCTTGCAATAGTGAGTGAGTTCTTGCAAGATCGGGTTGTTTACGAGTGTGTAGCACCTCCCACCTTACTCTCTTGCTCCCGCTTCACCTTCTGCCATCATTGTAAGTTTCCTGAGGCCTCCACAGAAGCTCAGCGGCTGTCAGTGTCATGCTCCCTGTATAGCCTACAAAACTGTGAGCCAATTAAACCTCTTTTTTTAATATATTACCCAGCCTCAGGTATTTCTTTATAGCATGAGAGAACAGCCAAATCCAGCAGCCATAGACAATATGTAGCAAATGTGCATGGCTGTGTTTCAATAAAACTTTATTGACAAACACATGTGCAAAGCAGGTCAGATTTGGCCCATGGGCCATAGTGTCCCAACCTCTGCTCTGGAATATTCTCTTCAGCCTGGATGGACAGCCCTAGGTTGGTTTTTTTTTTTTTTTTTGAGACAGTCTCACTTTTGCCCAGGCTGGAGTGCAGTGGTGCAAGCTTTGCTCGCCACAACCTCTGCCTCCTGGGTTCAAGCAATTCTCCTGCCTCAGCCTCCCAAGTAGCTGGGATTACAGGCACCTGCCACCACACCTGGCTAATTTTTGTGTTTTTTAATAGAAATAGGGTTTCACCATGTTGGCCAGGCTGGTCTCAAACTCCTGACATCAGGTGATCCACCCACCTCAGCCTCCCAAAATGCTGGGATTACAGGTGCCCGCCACCACACTTGGCTAATTTTTGTATTTTTAGTAGAGATGTGATTTCCCTATGTTGCCCAGGCTGGTCTCGAACTCCTGATCTCAAGTGATCCACCTGCCTCGGCCTCCCAGAGTGCTGGGATTACACGTGTGAGCCACTGCAGCTGCCCTCTAGATTTTTCTTTTTTTTGACCATTGCTTATTTGTTTTGACTTTCATTTTCTTCCCCATTGTGGTAGTCATTTTCTGAATGCCTGTTAGTTTGTCCATCTCTCTCCTCTGTAGTCCCTAGAGTCAGATGAACTCCTCTGCAGGTGCAATGGTGTAACACTCTCTAGTGCTGAATTTTGAGCAGGAGAAAGAGAGCAAGAGTGACTAGTACCTTTGGAAACTCTGGCCTCCTGAGAATTTGGTGTCTTCTCTGCAAAGGTTGCAAACCTGTTAACCCACAGGCCGGAGAGAGAGACAAGCCAGAATCATGATCTGTTGAGCTTGAGTTTAATATTTGATGCACAGAGATCACTGAGTTTTTTGATAAGAATTAGAGGGGGAAGAAATGGCCACAGAGAACAATTTCTATCTCCAGGTGAGGATTCAGGAGATAATTCTGCAAACAGAACTTCCTGAGAACTGAGATGGGGGAAATCGCTGGTATTAGAAGAGTGAAAAGGTAAGTAATTAAGGCTACGACTGTGCTCTTAGATGCAAAAGAAGAAAATGAGAGTGCCAGGCATGAATAATGAGAAATCTTTGATGGAATTAGCCATGCAGAACAGATAATAAATGCATCCTCATTCTTCTCATAGTCAAAAGTTTTTGCTTAAGCTGGATGGGAAAAAGAGAATCCCATTTCACTAAGTATAAAAGACGGGATTTTAGAGAAGGTCTCAGAAGAAAGAGATGTGGGGGTTTGGTGAAACTCACCAGAGGCTGAACCCTCTCCAGCATAACACAGGGATTGGGAGGAGCGGGGCAGCATTAGGCCAGGTGCATAGCCCAGTGCTGCTCTCTCTGGACTTTCTGCTCTCTCTGGTCTTGTTTGCTAGCTGAGCTCATCCATTTACGTAATTTTCAGTGCCATTTCTCAGCTGATGAGTCCTGAACTTTTGTCTTGAGGCTAGACTTCTCCTTCAAACAGCAGTCTTAAACACTCAACTTCTTTTTTTTTTTTTTTTTTTTTTTTTTTTTTTTTTTTTGAGACGGAGTCTTGCTCTGTCGCCCAGGCCGGACTGCGGACTGCAGTGGCGCAATCTCGGCTCACTGCAAGCTCCGCTTTCCGGGTTCACGCCATTCTCCTGCCTCAGCCTCCCCAGTAGCTGGGACTACAGGCGCCCGCCACCGCGCCCGGCTAATTTTTTGTATTTTTAGTAGAGACGGGGTTTCACCGTGTTAGCCAGGATGGTCTCGATCTCCTGACCTCATGATCCACCCGCCTCGGCCTCCCAAAGTGCTGGGACTACAGGCGTGAGCCACCGCGCCCGGCCAACACTCAACTTCTTTTTTGTTTTTTCCATTTGTCAACTCGTGAACACCTCAACCTTGTTACATCCAAAGCCAAACTCATGGCTTGGATTGGTAGGTGATGGCTGTAATCCCAGTGCTATGGGAGGCTGAGGTGGGAGGATTACTTGAGGCCAGGAGTTTGAAGCCAGCCTTGAAAACACAGTGAGACTCCCTATCTACAAAAAAAAAAAAAAAAAAAAAAAAAAAAAAAAAAAAAAAAAAAAAAAGCTAGGCATGGTGATGTGCATCTGTAGGATCTGTAGTCCTGCTACATGGCAGGCTGAGGCAGGAGGATCACTTGAGCCCAGGAGTTCGAGGCTGCAAAGAGCTATGATTGCACCAGTGCACTCCAGCCTGGGTGACACAGCCAGAGACCATGTCTTAAAGAAAACCCAAAGCCAAACTCTCTTTTTCCTCCTCCTTCTCCATGGGTTCTGTTCATGCCATCTCTGTTCTGCAAATGGCACCACCCCCTGCTGAGCTGCTCAAGGTGGTCATAACTCATGTGTTGTGCTAACTCTGCTTTTGCTCTCTTCTCCAGTCAGCAAGTCCTGTGATTCTAAACTTTATCCAACTTGTCCACTCTCTCTAGCTTCACTGTCATTATCTTTGCCTAGGACACCACTATCTCAGCTGGGCTACAGCAGCCTCCTAACTGGTCTTAACTGGTACTCTGCACCTGCTCTCCATGCTCAGCAATCCATTTCCTACCTGGCAGCTTCAGTGATCTTAAGGTGTCCATTGAGTCTCATCCCTGCCTTTCCTGCCCATGGTACATAGAATAAAATCGAGACCCCGAGTCTTCTGCCTGTTCCTGCCACCTCTCCAGCCCTCTCCTATCTCCTGCCCTTGGCCTACTCTATTTCAGCCACTATGGCCTCCTTTTGTTTTCTTGGACTTTCAAACCTTTTTCCACAACAGGGCCTTTGCACTTACTGCTTCAGCCTGGAATGATTTTCCTCTGCACCTCCCCAGATTAGACCATCCTTTAGGTCTCAGCTAAAATGGTGCTTCCACAGACAGCTCTTTCCTGACCCCTTTATAAAGTGGACTTCCCTGCTCTTCTCCACCTTAACCTCTTATTGTTTCTTGTTGTGGGAAGTCAGGGACCCCAAATGGAGAGGGACTGGCTGGAGCCATGGCAGAGGAACATAAATGGTGAAGATTTCATGGACATTTATCAGTTCCCAAATAATACTTTTATAATTTGTTATGCCTGTCTTTAATCTCTTAATTCTGTTATATTCATAAGCTAAGGATGTACATCACCTCAGGACCACTGTGATAATTGTGTTAACTGTACAAATTGATTGTAAAACGTGTGTTTCAACAATATGAAATCAGTGCACCTTGAAAAAGAAGAGAATAACAGCAATTTTTAGGGAACAAAGGAAGACAACCATAAGGTCTGACTGCCTGCTGGGTTGGGCAAAAAGAGCCATATGTTTCTTCTTGCAGAGTCTATAAACGGATGTGCAAGTAGGAGAGATATCGCTAAATTCTTTTCCTAGCAAGGAATATTAATAGTAATACCCTGGGAAAGGAATGCATTCCTGGGGGAAGGTCTATAAATGGCCGCTCTGGGAATATCTGTCTTATGCGGTTGAGATAAGGACTGAGATACGCCCTGGTCTCCTGCAGTACCCAAAGGCTTACTAGGGTGGAGAAAAACTCCGCCCTGATATACCTGTGGTCAGACTGGTTCTCTGCTCTTGAACCCTGTTTTCTGTTGTTTAAGATGTTTATCAAGACAATACATGCGTGAATGAACATAGACCCTTATCAGTGGTTCTGCTTTTGCCCTTTGCTTTGTGATCTTTGCTGGACACTTATCAGTAGTTCTGCTTTTGCCCTTTGTCCTGTTCCCTCAGAAGCATGTGATCTTTGTTAGACCCTTAGTAGTAGTTCTGCTTTTTACCCTTTGAAGCATGTGACCTTTGTACATACTCCCTGTTCTTACACACCCTCCCCTTTTGAAGCCCTTAATAAAAACTTGCTCATCTGAGACTCAGGGGGAATCACGGTCCTACTGATGTGTAATGTCACCCCCAGCAGCCCAGCTGTAAAATTCCTCTCTTTGTAGTGTCTCTATTTCTCAGCTGGCTGACACTTAGGGAAAATAGAAAGAACCTACATTGAAATATTGGGTGCAGGTTCCACCTATACTTCTTTCATGGATTTACTTATTTTTTATTTGTCCCCCTCTGTATCCTAGAAACTCCTGGAGGGCAGAGGCATGCCTGCCATCTTCATCAATGCATTACCACCACCCAACACTATCGGGGGACCTGCCCTGATAATCAGGTAGGTTCTTTTCTATTTTCCTAAGCGTCGACTGGCTTGAGAAATAAAAGGACAGAGTACAAAAGAGAGAAATTTTAAAGCTGGGCGTCTGGGGGAGACATCACACATTGGTAGGATCTGTGATGCCCCACAAGCCACAAAAACCAGCAAGTTTTTAATAGGGAGTTTCAAAAGGGGAGGGAGTATACAAATAGGTGTGGGTGACAGACATCAAGTACTTAACAGAGTAATAGAATATCACAAGGCAAGTGGAGACAGGGCAAGATCACAGGACCACAGGACGGAAGTGAAATTAAAATTGTTAATGAAGTTTTGGCACCATTGTCGTTGATAACATCTTATCAGGAGACAGGGTTTTGAGATCAACCTGTCTGACCAAAGTTTATTAGGTGTGAATTTTCTCTTCCTAATAAGCCTGGGAGTGCTATGGGAGACTGGAGTTTATTTCACCTCTGCAATCTCGACCATAGGAGACAGGTACGCCCCACGGGGCCAGTTCAGAGACCTACCCCTAGGTGCGCATTCTCTTTCTCAGGGGCGTTCCATGCTGAGAAAAGGAATTCAATGATATTTCTCCCATTTGCTTTTGAAAAAAGAGAAATATGGTTCTGTTCTGCCCGGCTCGCCGGTGGTCAGAGTTTAAGGTTATCTCTCTTATTCCCTAAACAATTGCTGTGATCCTGTTCTTTTTTCAGGGTGCCCACATTTCATATTGCTCAAACACACATGCTGTACAATTTGTGTACTTAACGCAATTATTACAGGTCCTGAGACGATATACATCCTTCTCGGCTGACAGGATTAAGAGATTAAAGTAATGACAGGCATAGGAAATCACAAGGGTATTGATTGGGGAAGTGATAAGTGTCCATAAAATCTTCAAAATTTATGTTTAGAGATTGCAGTAAACACAGGCATAAGAAATTACAAAAGTATTAATTTGGGGAACTAATAAATGTCCATAAAATCTTCATAATCCACGTTCTTCTGTCATGGCTTCAGCCGGTCCCTCCGTTTGGGGTCCCTGACTTCCCGCAACATCTCTCCCTTTCTTTTTATGTAAATGTTCCATGGCGATGAAGGCTTGTTCATTCTCTCGATTTTGACACAGTATTATTTGACTGGTACGGCACACTAAAAGCAAGCCGATTAAGCAGAGAAACATAATTCCAAAATTTACTATAGTGGAGCCCCCAATAGACTTAATCCAAGTTGTGGGGTTTAATCCATAAAGATTTTCTGCCACCTGATCTAACGTCTGAGCTCCAGGCATGATGGATAAGTGAGCTTGGGAGGATTCAAAAATTTGTTTTTTTAATTTAGTTGTGTCCAGTGATAAATTATCTTTTCTACCTAGAAGGTGTCCTTTGACCATTTCCCCATGAATGATCAGTCTTGATATAGGAATACGGGGTGATGCAGAAATCCAAAGTATTCCAATCGCAGTGCATTTGCATGCGATGTTCTAGACTCACTACCCGATCTCCAAGCCAAATAACAGAGTGTCTTAAATCATTAATTTGATTTGCCAATTTTTGATCGATGCCTTGTTGAGAATTCCACATTTGGGTGGAATTGGCTTGCCAATCATTAACAAAATGAGCTGTTTGAGTAGACTGGTGTAATGCCATTCCGGCAGTGGTGGCCATTGCAGTGACTGTAATTAGGCCCATGGTAACAGCGATTAAAGTGAAAACAAATCTCTGAGATCTTTTTAGAATGCTTTGTACCACTTCATTAATTAAATGTATTGAGGTGGAGGATTCCCAAGGTCTAGGTAAAGTTATCGGAATCCAGATTCCTTCTTGAGCTCGAACCAACATTACACTTTTCCTGGAGTCAAAATGGGAGTTAATACAAGTGTATAGATGACAATTGACGCATTGGACAGTTTGATTATTCATCCAAATTTTGATATTTCCTACCAATAGCATGTAAGGAGGCTTAACACAACTCTGTATGGGAACAGTCAGGTTGGAGGTAAGTAAAGCAGAATGTCTGGGTCTACAATGATACTGAGAGTGGGACGGTAGTGGGAACAACAGTCAAAATAGTTTTTCCTTCCCATACTCGCAGTTCAGACATGGCAATAGCCAATTTCCAAAATTCTGGGTGTTCTGGGCTCAGAATAGGGAGTATCATACGAGGCCTGGGGGGGTGGTAATGCCTTTATCTTCCCATTTTAAGGGAAAGAATGAGCTGGTCCTTGTATGCAAAGTAGAATGATTATTCTCTTTCTCCTGGTAAGAAATAAAATAAGTAGCCTCCAGGCATTCCCTTCCACGGAGGAGCAATTGTTTTTGAAATAGCCCTTTGGTGCCCAGTCTATTACTAAACCATATGAGTCATTTTTCAATATTACTGCATGTGAGTTAACACAATCTTCCCAAATTAAAGTTTTAGATGGGCCCTCAAAATGTTTAGGGCATGGTTTTCCTGCAGGTTTATATTGAAAGTATGCGGTACCTCCCATTACTCCTCCTTTCATTTGTTTTAAAGGAGAAAGGGAGAGGCCAGAGACCAAATGTCCCATTTTATCTGTAGCAGATGTTTCTAAAAGATAAGCAGCCCAGAACTGAGTTTCTAGATGGATGCAACCAGGTGCATGTCGGAGGCACAGAGGTGGGTATTTCTAACCCATGGTAACATTAAATGCAGTGCCTTCTTCTCCTGGTTGAGCAGGGCAAGGGTCGTCTATGGCTCCAGGCATCCACACACTATCGTTAGTGTAGATTTCTGCGGGAGCATCTATCCAGGTGAGAGGATGAATGAGTGGAGGAAAAGGCACATAAGCCCAATAAGAATAATTCTGTGTAGCAGGTAAATCAGTGTGAGAGGAAACTGGTGAGACAGAAAGTATAAGGAGGAGAATCATTAAATAAAACCTAGTGTAAGCGAGATGGAGTGCTGAAGGAGAAAGAGAAGAACAGAGGGATGTTATTTTCAGGCTAATAGAAATGGTGAGATATTTAGGTTTGTAAGGAGAAAAAGAAAGGTAATCAGGAGAAGTGTGATTAGTTAGATGGGTCTCCAATGCCATCAGGGAGGACTGATTTACACCCATTGTGATTTGGTGTGCCTGTTTCTGAGGAGTCGGCACAGATCTCACCACATCTGAAGGCAGTCTCTGACACAGACGTCTCTTCACTGTGGTTTTGTCAGTATTCACAAGAAGCTTGAGTCTTCTGGTAGGTACCCAGACAGGGGATTGATGATCTCCTGGTGAAACACAAGCATATCCTCTTCCGCAGGTTAAGTAGAATAAGAGACAATATTTAAAGGTTTGGGGAAATCTTGTAAGGCAGTAATCACAGCAATTAACTCCGCCTTTTGAACGGAAGTATAAGAGGTAGAAATAAGTTTGTCTGCAGGACCTATATAGCCAGCACTGCCTTACTAGAGCCATCAGTGAATACTGTAACGGTCTCAGGAATGGGTTGATTTTTGGTTAATAGAGGAACCACCCAAGACGTTATTTTTATAAAATCAAACAATTTGTTTTTTTGGATAATGATTGTCAATAACACCAATAAAATCAGCCAAGTGAATTTGCCACAGTACAGAATGTTGAAAGGCAGCTTGAACTTCGAGCTGATTTAAAGGAACTACAATTACATTTGGATCAAATCCAGAAATTTGAAGTATTCTGCACCGAACCTGTCCAATTAATATGGCTATTTGGTCTAGATAAAGTTTTTGACACAGAATGAGGAAGAAAACACCACTCCACTAAATCATTATGTTGAACTATTAGTGCAGTAGGGGAGTGTAATGAAGCAAAAACCAGAAGCTGAAGAGGCTGAAATGGCTGTACTCTAGATAACTGGGCAGTCTGGATTTTTTCCTCTACAAATTCCAGATCTAGTAAAGCCTCAGGGGTCAAAGTCCTAGGGCTGCAGAGATCAGAATCTCCCCGCAGCATAGAGAACAAGTTAGACAGGGCATAGGTCGGAATGCCTAAAGTAGGTCTTAAATAATTAATGTTACCCAAAAGTTTTTGGAAGTCATTTAAAGTTTTTAAAGGATCTCTCCTAATTTGAACTTTTTGAGGTTGTATACATTTTTTATCGACCACCATTCCTAAATATTGAACAGGAGTGGTCTGTTGAATTTTATCCTGAGCAATGTGTAATCCAGCCTCTGTAACACAGCGGCTCAAAATTTGGTAACAGTCAATTAATTTTTTATCAGTGGGGGCAGAAATTAAAATATCATCAATATAATGAAGAATATAGGCGTCGGGAAATCGGGCTCAAACTGGTGAAAGCTCTTGTCCAACATAAAGCTGGCAGATTGTAGGGCTATTTAGCATTCCCTGAGGAAGTACTTTCCATTGATAACGAGCTACAGGCTCCTGATTATTGATAGATGGTACAGTAAAAGCAAATTTTTCACAATCCGATTTATGTAAAGCGATATGAAAAAAAAAAAACTCTTCAAGATCACTAACTATGAGAGGCCAATCTTTAGGTATTAAAGCAGGGGCAGGCATGCCGGGTTGGACGGCCCCCATAGGTTTAATTACAGCATTAATGGCCCTTAAATCGGTTACCATCCGCCATTTGCCTGATTTCTTTTTTACTAGAAACACAGGAGAATTCCAAGGGGAAAGAGAAGGTTCCACATTTCCAAGCTGTAACTGCTCAGAAACCAATTGATTTAAAGCCTCCAGTTTTTCTTTAGAAAGCGGCCACTGCTGAATCCCAGGGCCACGTGTCTTATCTCCTTTGTTTAAAAGGATATTAGGTAGTAAAAGCAATTGAGCTTGTTTAACATAGTAAAAGAAACAGGAGCTTGGGCTGGGGAGTGTAATTTCTCCCAAGCTCTCATACACACTTTTGTTACTTGTTCTGTGGTAAGAGTATCAAAGTTTAATTGGGCATAAGCATCAGAGAAACTATCGGAGCCTGTGAGCTGAGCCTGAGTAATTAGAATGCCATTACTCCGATTTAGCTGAGCCTGTAAACAGGCCTCCTCTGACCACCAGGCTGAGATGGACTTAGAACAGCTTTTTGCCAAAAGATCACAGTCTAAAGGAAGCAAAACGACCTCAGTATAAAAAGTTTGCAATGCCATTTGAACATGAGGAAACGTAGGACCATACTGAGTACAAGCATCCTTAAATTGTTTTTAAAAAGGTAAGATTGAGCGGCGCATATCGACGCAGACTGGTTGAGGAACTGAAACGACAGGAGGGTGAGGGGTTGTAGTGGATGGGGGAGGGCCCGGAGAATGACAGGTAAATTGTAGTTTGGTCCCAGAGCCATTAGTTGATGCTGGAGGTTTGAAGAGAGAAGAATTAGCATATTTATGGTACCGGGCTTTGTGATTCACAGCCGCAGGAGTTTGAAGTACCGGCTTTTCATGAGAAGAAGAAAAGCAGGGGGTAACTTTAAGCCAAAGTTACCAGAGTTAGAAATCGAATTTTCAGAATCGTTAGGTAGGGGAGGGGTAACTGAAGGGAGAGTCTGAACGAAGGCCATGTGCGAGAGGAAGGTTGAGAAAAAGGCAGAGAAACTGAGGAAAAGGCAGAAAACTGTGGCAACTGCAGGGGGTCACGAGATTGGCAAGCCACGAAGATGGCACGCACCAAGCACCCCAAACAGTGATGGGAACACAATACCCGGCCGAGACCAGTTTTCGGAATGCTTTACGAACACTATCACACAATTTTATATACACGGTTCCTTTTTCAGGAAACCAAGAACAATATTTTTCTACTGCCCTGAATAGAGTGATCATATTTTTCATGGTTACCTGTTTTAACAGGAGTTTGTTAGATTACACATTACCCATAGTTAACCCAGACCTTACACAGATTACTCACCACTCGTCGGGGAGTTGAACACGCTTATCTGTGGACCAAGCCGATTGACGTTTCACCGCACCTACCAAAGGGAATCCGGTTCCCTCATGCACTTAGGAAAAAAGAAAGACCACGTGGGCGCCAGATATCGGGAGACCTGCCCCGATAATCACGTAGGTTCTTTTCTATTTTCCTAAGCGTCGACTTGCTTGAGAAATAAAAGGACAGAGTACAAAAGAGAGAAATTTTAAAGCTGGGCGTCCGGGAGAGACATCACACATTGGTAGGATCCGTGATGTCCCACAAGCCACAAAAACCAGCAAGTTTTTATTAGGGAGTTTCAAAAGGGGAGGGAGTATACAAATAGGTGTGGGTGACAGACATCAAGTACTTAACAGGATAATAGAATATCTCAAGGCAAGTGGAGACAGGGCGAGACCACAGGACCGAAGTGAAATTAAAATTGCTAATGAAGTTTTGGCACCATTGTCATTGATAACATCTTATCAGGAGACAGGGTTTTGAGATCAACCGGTCTGACCAAAGTTTATTAGGTGGGAATTTTCTTTTCCTAATAAGCCTGGGAGCGCTATGGGAGACTGGAGTTTATTTCATCTCTGCAATCTCGACCATAAGAGACAGGTACGCCCCACGGGGCCAGTTCAGAGACCTACCCCTAGGTGCGCATTCTCTTTCTCAGGGGCGTTCCATGCTGAGAAAAGGAATTCAGCGATATTTCTCCCATTTGCTTTTGAAAGAAGAGAAATATGGTTCTGTTCTGCCCGGCTCACCGGCGGTCAGAGTTTAAGGTTATCTCTCTTATTCCCTGAACAATTGCTGTGATCCTGTTCTTTTTTCAGGGTGCCCACATTTCATATTGCTCAAACACACATGCTGTACAATTTGTGTACCTAACGCAATTATTACAGGTCCTGAGACGATATACATCCTTCTGGGCTGACAGGATTAAGAGATTAAAGTAATGACAGGCATAGGAAATCACAAGGGTATTGATTGGGGAAGTGATAAGTGTCCATGAAATCTTTACAATTTATGTTTAGAGATTGCAGTAAAGGAAGGCATAGGAAATTACAAAAGTATTAATTTGGGGAACTAATAAATGTCCATAAAATCTTCATAATCCACATTCTTCTGTCATGGCTTCAGCCGGTCCCTCCGTTTGGGGTCCCTGACTTCCCGCAACACAGCACAGTGCCTGGCACAAAAGAGTTGCTCAATAAATAAATCAGGATGAATAGATAAATACACGGATAGGCACTTTGAACTACAGATGAGCTTAAATACTTTGTGTTTTTCTTAGTCAAACATGTGCAATTAAGCATGTGATAAATGTTATGATGACCACACCTGTGTCTTGCCTGACGTTCTTTGCAATCACTAAATGAAGTCAATTGTGCCTGTTTTGACAGTTCTATTTTCAACCTAATGATCTGTTTATTTTAACTTCTGGCTGTTGGCTTTGTTTGGGTGTGTTAGCCTGACAAAGTGGTAGATATTAGTATTTGCTGTTTTGTTTAAATGTCACGAAGTTTAAAAATGCCTTTGCTTTTGGTAAGAAACCCTAGTTAGGACACTCTAGTGGTCAGGATGATTTGGGTTCTGGTGCAGTAACAACAATCCCCAAATCTCAGTGGCTCCATGCAGTGAGGTATTTGTTTGTTTGTTTTTGAGACAGGGTCTCACTCTGTCACCCAGACTAGAGTGCAGTGGTGCAATCTCAGCTCACTGCAACCTCTGCCTCCCAGACTCAAGTGATTCTCCTGCCTCCTGAGTAGCTGGGATTACAGGCCCCTGCCACCACTGTCTGGCTAATTTTTGTACTTAATAGAGACAGGATTTCACCATGTTAGCCACGCTGGTCTTGAACTCCTGACCTCAAATGATCCACCTGCCTTGGCCTCCCAAAGTTCTGTAACGACAGGCATGAGCCACCATGCCTGGCCACAGTGAGGCTTATTCTTGGTCACGTTGCATGTCTGGGCTGTGTTAGGGCATTGTGTGGTGGTCTGTTCATTGTGTTCACTCAGGGATCCAGGCTGACAAAAGCCCCATCTCTGCATGTGTCCTTGATCACCACTTCAGGGGAAAGGGAATGTGGTGGATCATAGAGCCTCTTAACACTTCCACCTGGAGGCGATTCAAGTTGCTGCTGCTCATGGTTCATTGGACAAAACGGATCACAGAGTCATGGGCAACTTCTCTGTGCCTGGAAGGGGAAACAAAATATGAATAGCCACATTGATTTTCCCTAGATATTACACAGAAGGCCTCATTTAAACACAGTTACTTATTTGTGTTTTGAAGCTAATTGTAGTCCATCAACCTTCACAGAAGATATGTGCACTTCCAAGCTATTATTAAGCACAATTTTTTTTTTTTTTTTTTTTTTTTGAGACAGAGTCTCACTCTCTTGCCCAGGCTGGAGTGCAGTGGCATGATCGTGGATCACTGCAACTTCTGCCTCCTGGGTTCAAGTGATTTTCATGCGTCAGCCTCCCAAAATGCTGGGATTACAGACACCCACCACCACTCCTGGCTAAGTTTTGTATTTTTAGTAGAGACGGGATTTTACCATGTTGGCCAGGATGGTCTCGATCTCCTGACCTTGTGATCCACCCACCTTAGCCTCCCAAAGTGTTGGGATTACAAGCATGAGCCACCATGCCTGGCCCATTTAACTTCTATATTACTTTCCTGTTGGTGGATTTACCAGTGCATACTGAGCAGCTTAAAGCACCATCCAGTTATTATCTGTTTCCATGAGCCAAGGGTCTGGGCAGGGTTTAACTGGGTCTTCTATTCAGGGTCACAATACGGCAACCAGAGTGTCAGCTGGGGTCTCATCGGATGCTCAGTGTCCTCTTCCAAGCTTATTCAGTTTGTGGACTGAATTCAATTTCTTGCAATTGTTGAACGAAGGCCCTTAGCTCCTAGAGCTGCCACCTCCAAAGACAATTCACAGCATGGCCATTTGTGTCTCCTTGGAGGCTAAGGGTTGAATCTCTGAAACTTCACCTTTAAAAGACTCACCTGATTAGGTCTGGCCCACCAAAGATCATCCTGCTTTGGATGAACTCAAAGTCAGCTGAGCAAATGTGCTTAACACAGCAAGTGTGACCATAATCACATTTGCAAAATTCCTTCCCCTTGGCCAAATCACAAGCTCTGCACACACTCAAGAAGAGATGATACAGGGAGCAGATATAAGGGAGTGGGTCTCTTGGGGGCTGTCCTAGAATTCTGCCCATTACAACTTCCTTTCTCAATGAACAGCAGGCCTGGGGAGAGACGATCACGGATGAGAGCAGCCCACAGGGTGTGAGCGCCAGGTGCTGGCGTAGGATGCAGGAGGCTGCCAAGCAAGTATGAAAAGCCTTCTGTGGGCTGGGTGGAGTGGCTCACACCTGTAATCCCAGCACTTTGGGAGGCTGAGGTGGGTGGATCATGAGGTCAGGAGATCGAGACCATCCTGGCTAACAAGGTGAAACCCAGTCTCTACTAAAAATACAAAAAATTAGCCAGGCGCGGTGGCGGGCGCCTGTAGTCCCAGCTACTCGGGAGGCTGAGGCAGGAGAATGGCGTGAACCCGGGAAGCGGAGCTTGCAGTGAGCCGAGATTGCGCCACTGCAGTCCGCAGTCCGGCCTGGGCGACAGAGCGAGACTCCGTCTCAAAAAAAAAAAAAAAAAAAAAAAAAAAAATAGCTGGGAGTGGTGGCACACGTCTCTAACAACCCAGCTCCCCAAGTGAGCAATTCCTGTCCCTTTTAAGGTCTCACAACTCTAAGGGGGTCCGTGTGAGAGGGTCGTGATCGTGAGAGAGTCGTGATCGATTGACCAAGAAGGGAGTATGTGACTGGGGACTGCATTCAGCAAACCCCATCTCTACTAAAAATAGCAAAATTCAGCAAAGCCTCAGGATAAAAATCAATGTGCAAACATCACAAGCATTCGTAAACACCAATAACAAACAGAGAGCCAAATCATGAGTGAAATCCCATTCACAATTGCTTCAAAGAGAATAAAATACCTAGGAATCCAACTTACAAGGGATGTGAAGGACCTCTTCAAGGAGAACCACAAACCACTGCTCAAGGAAATAAAAGAGGATACAAACAAATGGAAGAACATTCCATGCTCATGGGTAGGAAGAATCAATATCATGAAAATGGCCATACTGCCCAAGGTAATTTATAGATTCAATGCCATCCCCATCAAGCTACCAATGACTTTCTTCACAGAATTGGAAAAAAACTACTTTAAAGTTCATATGGAACCAAAAAAGAGCTGGCATTACCAAGTCAATCCTAAGCCAAAAGATCAAAGCTGGAGGCATCACGCTACCTGACTTCAAACTATACTACAAGGCTACAGTAACCAAAAAAGCATGGTACTGGTACCAAAACAGAGATATAGACCAATGGAACAGAACAGAGCCCTCAGAAATAATGCCACATTATCTACAACTATCTGATCTTTGACAAACCTGACAAAAACAAGAAATGGGGAAAGGGTTCCCTATTTAATAAATGGTGCTGGGAAAACTGGCTAGCCATATGGAGAAAGCTGAAACTGGATCCCTTCCTTACACCTTATACAAAAATCAATTCAAGATGGATTAAAGACTTAAATGTTAGACCTAAAAATCATAAAAATCCTAGAAGAAAACCTAGGCAATACGATTCAGGACATAGGCATGGGCAAGGACTTCATGGCTAAAACACCAAAAGCAATGGCAACAGAAGCCAAAATTGACAAATGGGATCTAATTAAACTCAAGAGCTTCTGCACAGCAAAAGAAACTACCATCAGAGTGAACAGGTAACCTACAGAATGGGAGAAAATTTTTGCAATCTACTCGTCTGACAAAGGGACCTATGACTTTCTTATAACCAAGAGAATATGGCAGAGGTGATGGGATGTAGTGATTATGTCAGATAGGATGTTAAGTTGTCTTGCTAGGAGGCTATCTTGCTGGCTTTGAAGATGTGAGCTGCCATGTCATGAGTGGCCAGATGGAGAGGCCCATGTGGCAAGAAGCTGAGGACAGCAGGAACCTGGGGCCCTGAGTCCAGCAGCCTGCAAGGAACTGAATGCTGCCAACAACCAGATGAGACGGGAAGCAGATCAATCACCAGTCAGGCCTCCAGATGAGAACTGAGTCCTGGCTGACATTATGGTTGCAGCCTTGCACTGAACCCAGCTGAGTCACGCCTGGATTCCTGACCCACAGAAACCACATAGTGATAACTGTGTGCTGTCTCAAGCCACAAAGTTTGCAGTAATATTGTTGCACAGCAATAGATAACTAATATAAAAACTGTCCTACATCATGTACATTACTGAGCAAAATGTAGAACCTGGATTTAAGCTCTGATTTCAGAGTTGTGGTCTCAGTCTCCCCAGGGAGACCTGTCCTGGGAGACAGTTATGCCAGGCTGTGATGCTGTGATGATTGTTCTCTTCCTACCCAGAAGCCTTTCAATAGGCAAGTCAAGCATGTGACCCCAGCTACATATACCAAATGTATTCCTGACAAATGCCAGGACATTGTGAGCTTTCTTGTTTTACTGAGAGCTCCATAAAGGAAGGAACATCTCTTTTTTTTTTTTTTTTTTTTTTAAGAGTCTCACTCTCACCCAGGCTGGAGTGAAGTGGTGCGATCTCGGCTCACTGCAGTCTCTGCCTCCTGGGCTCAAGGGATTCTCCAGCCTCGTCCTCCTGAGTAGCTGGGATCAAAGGTGTGTATCACCACACCCGGCTAATTTCATATTTTTGGTAGAGACGGGGTTTACTCATGTTGGCCAGGCAGATCTTGAACTCCTGGCCTCAAGTGATTCGCCTACCTCGGCTTCCCAAAGTGCTGGGATTACAGGCATGAGCCAATGCACCTGGCCTGTCTTTTTTATGTTATGTCCATGTGAAACAGCCCAGTGGTCAGCACACAAAGGGGTCCAAATGTGAAAGGAAAGGGCAAACACAGGGGAAACCTAGGGGTGTTCAGAAATAGTTCCCAGGTCACTGCCTGTTTCAATATGTACAGTCCTGGGCCCCACGCACAAGATTCTGACTTGGCAGGTCAGAGTTGGAGATGGGGAGCTACCTGGTTACGAGGGATCCCAGTGCATTTTGAGGCAGCTGATTGTTAAGACTGCATTGTAAAAATTACCCCACAAAGATGTGAAGGGAAACAGAAAGACATTGGCAGGCTAGAAAACAACACAAGTAAAACATGAACAAGTTCATTCCAGAAGGAGATTCTCAAACACAGCTGCACATCAGAATCACCTGGGGAGATTTTAAAACCCCAGTGCCCGGGCTCTGCAGCCCAGATCAATTATTACAGAATCTCTTGGGGATGAAACATGGGCATCAGTATTTTTGGTTTTTGTGTGTGTGCGTTTTTTTTTTGTTTTTTTTTTTTTTTGAGATGGAATCTTGTTCTGGTCACCCAGGCTGAAGTGCAGTGGTGCGATCTCAGCTCACTGCTACCTCTGCCTCCCGGGTTCAACCCATTTTCCTACCTCAGCCTCCCAAGTAGCTGGGAATACAGGTGTGCACAGCCACGCCTGGCTAATTTTTGTATTTTTAATAGAGATAGGGTTTCACCATGCTGCACAGGCAGGTCTCGAACTCCCAGCCTCAGGTGATCTGCCCACCTTGGCCTCACACAGTGCTGGGATTACAGGCATGAGCCATTGCTCCTAGCAGTATTTTTTTAATGAGGCAAAATTCACATAACACACAAGTCCCTGTATGAAACCATACTCTTCAGTATCATTAAATACATTCACAATGTTAAGCAATCATCATCTCTGTCTAGTTCCAAAACATTTTCATTAACACCCCCCGCCCAAAAAAAAACCCTGTATCCATCAAGCACTCTCCATCTCCTCCCCTTTCCCCCAGCTCCTGGCAACCACTTACCTGCTTTCTGCCTCTATAGATTTGCCTATTCTGGGCCTTTCACATAAATGGAATCATGTAATATATATAATAACCAAAAGGTAGCAACAACCAAGCTGGCCATTTGGTTGATGAATGAATAAACAAAATGTGCTGTATCCATACAGTGGAAGTATTGGTGCCTACTACATGTGGATGGACATTGGAAACATCACGCTAAGTGAGAGAGAGCCTTGGTATTGTCTCATCTCCCCAGGAGATTCCAAGGTGCAGCCAAGGTTGAGACCCACTGACAAGCAATGGATATGGTTGGGTGCAGATGAAATAAGGCAGCCAGGGGCAGGAGGAATGTCTCATTGACGATGACTGTTTGTGGATGCCAAGCAGGGGTGGGGATGAGGGATGATAACAGCAACCCCAATCCCAACACAGCGTGACCGATTTTATCTTCAGCCAGCTGATACGCCTCATGGGGTTTGGACACAGGACACCTCTGCCTCCCAGGTTCAAGCGATAACACCTGCCTCAGCCTCTTAAGTAGCTGGGATTACAGGCATGTACCACCACGCCTGGCTAATTTTTGTATTTTTAGTAGAAACGAGGTCTCGTCATGTTGCCCAGGTTGGTCTCGAACTTCTGGCCTTAAATGATCCACCCACCTCAGCCTCCCAAAGTACTGGGATTACAGGCATGAGCCACAGTGGCAGCCTCCAAATTCTATTTGAAGTTTGACTTTCCCCCTCCAGAAAATCCAACCTTTTCCCAAGTCACAGTGGGGCAACCCGGAGTTAATTTGAGAGAAATGTGCTTTTAAAAACAACTCCAGGCCAGGCGCAGTGGCTCACGCCTGTAATCCTAGCACTTTGGGAAGCCGAGGCGGACGGATCATGAGGTCAGATCAAGACCATCCTGGCCAACATGGTGAAACCCCGTGTCTACTAAAAAAATACAAAAAATTAGCAGGGCATGGTGGCACATGCCTGCAAGCCCAGCTACTCGGGAGGCTGAGGCAGGAGAATCGCTTGAACCAGGGAGTCAGAGGTTGCAGTGAGCCAAGATCGCGCCACATCACTTTGGCCTGGGCGACAGAGTGAGACTCCATCTCAAAAAAAAAAAAAAAAAAAAATTATAAAAGGTCACCTTTACTGAGCACACACTATCTCATTCCATCCCTACATCAGCCCGTTATTTCACCAGTGGGGAAGCAGGGACACAGAGTAGTTAGGTGGGATGCCCAAGGTGGGACCACTCGTGTGAAGTTCCCACACACTAATATGAGACCCTCCATGACACAGCCCCTCTCTTTCTCCAGCCTCATTTCCTGATTCTCTCTCTTGCCCTCTAGGCTTCAGCCACACAAACTTCTTGAAAGTCCCTTAAATCTGGCTGAGCGCAGTGGCTCACGCCTGTAATCTCAGCACTTTGGGAAGCTGAGGCGGCTGGATCACCTGAGATCAGGAGTTCCAGACCAGCCTGGTCAACATGGTGGAACCCCATCTCTACTAAATATCCCAAAATTAGCCAGGTGTGGTGGATGGCACCTGTAATCCCAGCTACTCGGGAGACTGAGGCAGGAAAATCGCTTGAACTCGGGAGGCAGAGGTTACCGTGAGCCAAGATCTCACCACTCCACCCAAGCCTGGGCGTGAAGAGTGAAAGTCCTTCTCAAAAAACAAGTCCCTTAAATCTGCTCTATGCCTGTCAACCTCAGGGCCTTCACTGTGCTGTTTCTCACCCTGAAATGCTCTTCCTCATTTCTCTACATAGTGAACTCATCCCACCCCCTAGGCCTCTCCTTAAGTGTCATCTCTTCAAGGAAGATTTTACTTTTTTAATATAACTATTAAAATATAATTCAGGTACCGTATGATTTGCCCATTTAAAGTGAACAAATCAATGGTTTCATTGCATTCACAGAGCTCGGCAACCACCATCATGATCAATTTTAAAACATTTTCATCACCCCAAAAAGAAACCCTATATCTATGAGCAGGTTCCTGCCATTTCCTCCTCCCACTAAGCCCTGACAATCTACTTTTTTTGAGATAGAGTGTCTGTCACAGGCTGGAGTGCAGTGGCACAATCTCGGCTCACTGCAACCTCCACCTCCCGGGTTCAAGCAATTCTCCTGCCTCCCGAGTAGCTGGGATTACAGGGATGTGCCACCACGCCCATCTAATTTTGTATTTTTAGTAGAGACAGGGTTTCTGTCTTCATAGATTTGCGTGTTCTGGACATTTCATATAAATGACATCTTAGAATATGTGACATTTTGTGACCGGTTTCTTCCACTTAGCTTCATATTCTCATAGTTCATCCGTGTTGTGGCACGTGTTAGTACTTCATTTCTTTTGATGACTGAATAATATTCCATTGCATAGTCAAACCATGTTCTATTTCTCCACTCATCAGTAGACAAGCATTTGTGTTGTTTTCACTTTGGCGCTATTATGAATAATGCTGTTATGAGCATTTGTGTACAAGTTTCTGGACGGACATATATTTTCATTTCTTTCATAAACTGGAGTGGAAGTGCTGAGTCATAGAACTCTGTGTTTAAGCTTTTGAAGAAGTGCCAGACTGTGTAAGGAAGAAAGCCTTTCCTCACCCTGTGAGACTGAGCTCCCTCTCTCCATTTATACATTCTCTTTAAGCCCTTTGCTTCTCTTTCAGAGCAATTCACGTTGACCTGGGTCACCCTCAACTTAAGGCTCATAACTCCCCTAGATCCTCAGGGTCCACACTAAATGTGATGAAATATGATGCAAGCCACATATTTACATTTGCATTTTGTAGTAACCACATTTTAAAAAGTAAAACAAAAGAAGTGAAGGTAAATGGAATAATATCACAGATTTGAACAAATCTATCCAAAATACCAGGTCAACATGTATAAAATATTTTAACAATAACAAAATACTTTCCTTTCTTTTTATATTAAGTCTTCACAATCTAATGTGTATTTGACACTTCTCACATATTTCAGAATGATGGCAGCAGCCTATATGGGGGGCCCGCCCATGATGCCAATGATGGGCCCTCCTCCTCCTGGGATGATGCCAGTGGGACCTGCTCCTGGAATGAGGCCGCCCATGGGAGGCCACAGGCCCATGATGCCTGGGTGCCCAATGATGAGACCTCCTGCCCGTCTCATGATGGTGCCCAGTCAGCCCAGAGTGACTCGACCAGACAGATAAGGATAGAGGGGAGGCCTCATTGCATCAGTGTGGTTTTGTTTTTGTTATTGTTGTGTTTTTTTTTGTTTGTAATGTTTTGTTTTGTTTTTGAGACAGAGTCTTCCTCTGTCACTCAGGCTGGAGGGCAGTGGCATGATCTCAGCTCACTGAAACCTCCACCTCCCGGGTTCAAGCGATTCCCCTGCCTCAGCCTCCTGAGTAGTGTGGGACTACAGGCGTGTGCACCATGCCCGGCTAATTTTTTTTATTTTAGTAGAAACGGGTTTCACCATGTTGGCCAGGGTGGTCTCAATCTCCTGACCTCGTGACCCACTCGCCTCATCCTCCGAAAGTGCTGGGATTACAGGTGTGAGCCACTGCACCTGGCCTATATGAATTTTATATTTACCTGCTCCCTTCACTAGGAGATCATGCTGCTGTGATATCGGGTTTTCTTAACAGCATAAGGAAGACTTGCCCCCTTGCCCTATCAAAGAGAATAGTTTTGGAGGGGAGAAGTGGGGCTAGAAAAGATGCAGTTTTCATTTGTATTGGGAATTGTGAAAATAAAATTGCCAACTCCTTTAGTTAAAAACAAAAAAAAGAAAAGGAAACAAGATGTGGGGCTGCCATATGCAATACCGTGGATTCCACGGATCTTTTACTCTGGAGGCAAATATTATCTTTGCTGAAGCCAGACCAACCTGACACAAAGACCTTTTGGTTTTTAAATGTGACTGTGTTTTATTTTAGAATGTGTAATTCACTTTAGAAGGGCAAAGTACCTGTCTGGGGAAGACTATTTAATTTCCTGCATTTATTTAGAATGTTGGCTGATGTTATTATGAAGGGAAACAGCTCTAACAACTGAGAGCCCCCCACATAGACACAGCTCATGAGTTCACAGGGCAAAGGAATTGAACAGCAGCCTCCTAATAGCCGGCCTTCTTTGTGATGTGGAAATAATTATCAGCATGTAAAAGACTATATATATATTCAACAATTCTGATCCCCTGCAAAATTCAAATCTACAACTGATTTGCTTCCTGGGCTCCTGAAAACAACTTTGTCAAAATTGTTCAGAAATATAATCAGCCAATCGTTGCCCCTTGGGGACGCAGGATAAAGCAAGTCAGCCATGACCAATGAGGAGTCGGCCGTGCACAATTACATGCAGACCTGCAGGACATCGAGTCTCTGCTATGGTCCCTCCCCAGTCAGGCCCCCATTGCCTGGGCTGCAGCCAGAAGCATTCAGGCACAAGTGCATTCAACAAATACTTATTTAATTGTATTGGTGGTTAGAGGGTTGCGATTGATTAAGGTACATTAATGGATCAATGTCTTCCCTGTATCCAAGACTCTGTCATTTGTCTCTGCAGTTCCTCCCACTGAAGAATCGGAGTATATTTCTCCAGTCCCTAATGTTGGGTTTTGAATTGTGTCTAGCTCTGGCCACTGGAATATTAATCTGTATGACCAAAAACTTGGAAAGTGTGCATTCATTTGTGCTCGCTTACTCCTGCTATCACCATGAGAACAAACCCAGTCCAGACTGCTGCTTCCAGCAGAAGATAAGACATACCAAGAGCAAAGTCGAGCTTCCCAGACATGCTCATGCTAGATTGACTAATCCTCAGTTGACCCATAGATCCATGAAAATAAACGATTGTTGTATTAAGCCACTGAGATTTGGAGTGACTTGTTATACAGCATTTTGTGACAACAACTAACTGATACAAGGGTCACTGTCCTTTATCTCTGTAGATTTTAACCAATTTTTAATAGCTAGATGGAGATCTTCTAGTTGCCTTTATTTATAATGAATATGACTGTAGAGCTAGTTTGGCCTGACACTACCAGTAACCTACCCAGAAATTCAGAAATACTTTCTTCTCCAACCCGCCCCAACCAACCTTTTTTTGTTTGTTTGTTTTTGGGTTCTCCCTCTTTGCCTAGGCTAGAGTACAAATGGTACAGTCAGAGCTCACTGTAACCTCAAAATCCTGGGCTCAAGTGATCTTCCCCTTCAGCCTCCTATGTAGCTAAGACTACAGACATGTGCCACCATGCCTGGCTAATTTTTTTATTCTTTGCAGAGAGAGGGTCTCACTATATTGCCCAAGTTGGTTTCAAACTCCTGGCCTCAAGCAGTCCTCCTGCCTCACCCTTCCAAAGTGCTAGGATTATAGGCATGAGCCACCACACCCAGCCTCCTCTTCTTTTTAAATAGAAACCTTATTTTATTCTGACAGTGGGTTGCTTTCTTTTTTTTTTTTTTTAAGAAAAAGTTGGCCCAGCCCCAGGGAATAAATTTTGACTGCTCTAAACAGGGTTGGCCAACTATAGACCAAGGGCCAAATCTGGCCCTCTGACTATAAATTAAGTTTTACTGGAATAAAACCAGGTCCATTGATTTATCCATTGTCTACATATGCTTTTAGGCTACGATGGCACCACTGCGTCACTACAACAGAGGTTATCTAGGCCAAAAGCCTAAAATATTACCATTTGCCTCTTTATGGAAAAAGTTTGCCATTCCCTAGTCTAAGGCTTAGATTCTGAGCTTATCATTTTAGCCTACCCCCCCTTACCAGTGACTGGCTCAAAACAAGTCTGTGATTCCATTCTGACTGTTCTACTGAGGGAATTCCCCCTTCTTCTCATGCGGAGCTGATGAGGGTAAGTTGTATTAATAGGACATAGGCTTAGGTTTTCTGAAAAATACTTTTATCTAGAAATGCATAGGAATATGCTGGTGCCTGAATGTACCATCTGGGGGCCTGGAGATTGACTCACCTGCCTCCAGAGCTAGTGCTCACACTTACTACTGAGAGGCCTGAGGAAACGCCTCCCTTCCCACCACCAGAACCTGCATACGTCACCTGGAAAACTAGAGATCAGCCTGCCACACACACTACCCAGGAGCCCAGTGGTGCACCTGCCCACCTGGCCCAGTGCTGCCACTGCCAGCAACCAAAGAAGCCACCTGGAGGCCCAGGGATTGGCCCACACAGACAGGCTATCATCAGTGCCCACAAACACTGCCCATGGTCCCTTGTATTGACACACCAGGTCTACCACCACTACCACTGATGGTGAAGGACAAGACTTCCTGGCATCCCCATCAGCAAAGTCTCACCACAGCCTCCAATAACAACTACAGTCTGGCCAAGTGTGGTGGCTCACGCCTGTAATCCCAGCACTTTGAGAGGCTGAGGCCGGTAGATCACGAGGTCAGGAGTTCGAGAGCATCCTGGCCAACGTGGTGAAACCCTGTCTCTACTAAAAATACAAAAATTAGCTGCACATGGTTGCACATGCCTATAGTCCCAGCTACTCAGGAGGCTGAGGCAGGAGAATTGCTTGAACCTGGGAGGCAGAGGTTGTAGTGAGCTGAGATTGCACCACTGCACTCCAGCCTGGTGACAGAGCTAGATTCCATCTCAACAACGACAAAAAAAAAAAATACTGCAGTCTAAGCCACTGAATGACTCACAGGCACCACTCATGCCAATTACAGCTGAAGGAATCATATGCAGACTATACCACTGTACCCACCCAGAATCAAAGCCAAAGTGTGATAGCCAATGAACACTGTAGATACAGCTATAAGAAAAGGTCTTTCCCATATAAAAGCCAATCCATAAAATTGGAAGAAATGACTGTTATGTCAGAGGCACAGACAGTCACATAAGGATGCAAGAAATATGAAAAAGGAAACATAACATCTCCAAAGAAGCACAATAATTCTCCAGCAACAGATCCAATGAAAATAAAATCTATGAAATGCCTGAAAAAATTTCAGAATAATGTTATTAAAGAAACTCAGGCAGATACAAGAGAACACAGATAATGAATTCTAAAAAAAAAAAACACAGGAAAACAATTCATGATCTGAATGACAAATTCAACAGAGATAGACAGCATAACAAAGAACAAAACACAAATCCTGGAAGAGAATAAATCATTGAAATAAATACAAAAGATAATTGACAGCTTTAACAATAGACTAGATCAAGCAAAACGAAGAATTTCTGAACCTGAAGACTAGTCTTTTAAAATAATCCAGTCAGACAAAAAGAAAGAAAAAAGAATGAAGCAAGGCTACATGACATATGGGACACGTATGTGACCAAAAACTGAAATTCTGGGAGTTCTGGATGGAGATGAGATGGGTAAAGGCATAGAAAACCTATTTAATGAAATAATAACTGAAAACTTCCTGAATGCTTCCAAATGCAGGAAGCTCAAAGATTACCAAATAAATACAACTCAAAAAGGTCTTCTCCAAGGCACATTATGGTAAAATTGTCAAAAGACAAAGAGAAAATGCTAAAAACAGCAAGAGAAAGGCATCAAATCACTTATAAGAGAATCTCCATCAGGCTAACAGGGGATTTATCAGCAGAAACCTTAGACTAGGAGAAAGGGGATGTATAGTACAAGTAAAAAAAAAAAAAAAAAAAAAAAGTAAGCCAAAAATACTATACCCAGCAAAGCTATCCTTCACAAATGAAGGAGCCTGGCACAGTGGCTCACATCTGCAATTCCAGAGACTCAGAAGGCTGAGGCAGGAGGACCATTTGATCCCAGGAGTTCAAGGCTGCAGTGAGCTATGATCATGCCACTGTACTCCAGCCTGGGTGACAGAGTGAGACTCCATTGCTAAAAAAAAAATAGTAATAATAAAAGAGAAAAAAGGATTTCCCAGATAAGCAAAAGACTGTTTGTTTGTGTCTTGTTTGTTGTGGTCCTACAAGAAATGTTTAAGGGAGTCCTACATTGGGAAGCAAAAGAACAATATCTACCATCATGAAAATACATGAAAGTATAAAACTCACTGGTAGTTCAGACACACAAAGAAGAAAGGATTCAAACATCATCACTAAAGAAAACCATCAAACTGCAACCATAAATAATGAGAGAAAAAAGGAACAAAGGTGTATTAGTCTGTTTTCACACTGCTGATAAAGACATACCTGACTGAGACTGGGCAATTTACAAAAGAAAGAGGTTTAATGGACTTACACCTCCACATAGCTGAGGAAGCCTAAGAATCACGTTGGAAAGCAAGAAGAAGCAAGTCATGTCTCACATGGATGGCAGCAATCAAAGATAGAGCTTCTGCAGAGAAACTACCCTTTTCAAAACCATCAGACCTTGTGAGACGTATTCACTATCATGAGAACAGCATGGGAAAGACCTGCCCCCATGACTCAATTATTTCCCACCAGGTCCCTCCCACAACATGTGGGAATTCAAGATGACACTTGGATGGGGACACAACCAAACCATATCATTCTGCCCCTGGCCCTTCCCAAATCTCATATCCTCACATTTCAAAACCAATCATGCCTTCCCAACAGTACCCCAAAGTCTTAACTAAGTTCAGCATTAACTCAAAAGTCCACAGTCCAAAGTCTCATGTGAGACAAGGCAAATCCCTTCTGCCTATGAGCATGTAAAATCAAAAACAAGTTAGTTACTTCCTAGATACAATGGGGGTATAGGCACTGGGTAAACACAGTCATTCCAAATGGCAGAAAATTGCCCAAACAAAGGGGCTACAGGACCCATGCAAGCCCAAAATCCAGTGGGGCAGTGAAATCTCAAAGCTCCAAAATGATCTCCTTTGACTCCATGTCTCACATGCAGGTCATGCTGATGTAAGAGGTGGGCTCCCATGGCCTTGGGAGAAAAAAGGCCACAGCTCCACTCCTGTGGCTTTGTATGGTTTAAACCCCCTCCTGGCTCCTTTCACACGTTGGCATTGAGTGTCTGCAGCTTTTCCAGGCACACAGTGCAAGCTGTCAGTGAATCCACCATTCTGGGGTCTGGAGGATGGTGGCCCTCTTCTCACAGCTCCACTAGGTGGTGCTGCAGTAGGGACTCTATGTGGGGGCTCCGACCCCACATTTCCCTTCTGCAGTGCCCTAGTAGAGGTTCTCCATGAGTGCCCTGCCCCTGCAGCAAACTCCTGCCTGGATATCTAGGCATTTCCATACACCTTCTGAAATCTAGGCAGCAGTTCCCAAACCTCAATTTTTGACTTCTGTGCACCCACAGGCTCAACCCTATGTGGAAGCTGCTAAGGCTTGGGGCTTGCACCCTCTGAAGCCACAGCCCACGTTGTACCTTGGCTCCTTTTAGCTGCAGCTGGAGTGGCTAGGACTCAGGCACCCTAGGCTGCTCACAACAGGGGTCCCTGGGTCCAGCCCACAAAACCATCTTTTCTTCCTAGGCCTCTGGACCTTTGATGGGAGGGGCTGCCATGAAGACCTGTGACATGCCCTGGAGACATTTTCCCCATTGTCTTGGGGATTCACATTTGACTCCTCGTTACTTAAACAAACTTCTGCAGCCAGATCGAATTTTTCTTGAGAAAATGGGATTTTCTTTTCTATTGCATTGTCAGGCTGCAGATTTTCCAAACTTTCATGCTCTGCTTCCCTTATAAAACTGAAGGCCTTTAACAGCACCCAAGTCATCTCTTGAATGCTTTGCTGCTTAGAAATTTCTTCTATCAGATACCCTAAATCTCAAGTTCAAATACCCTATCAGATACCCTAAATCTCTCAAGTTCAAAATTCCACAAATCTCTACAGCAGGGGCAAAAAGCCACCAGTCTCTTTGCTAAAACATAACAGGAGTCACCATTGTGCCAGCTGCTAACAAGTTCCTCATTTCCATCTGAGACAAACTCATCCTAGACTTTATTGTCCATATAACCATCAGCATTTTGGGCAAGTCTCTAGGAAATCTCTTCCAAATTTTCCCACATTTTCCTGTCTCCTTCTGAGCCCTCCAAACTGTTCCAACCTCTGCCTGTTTCCCAGTTCCAAAGTCACTTTCACATATTCAGGTATCTTTTAGCAACAGCCCACTTATCGTACTAATTTACTGTATTAGTCCATTTTCACACAGCTGATAAAGACACATTCAAGACTGGGAAATTTACAAAAGAAAGAGGTTTAATGGACTTACAGTTCTACATTGCTGGGGAGGCTTCAAAATCATTGTGGAAGTCAAGGAGAGGCAAATCACATCTTACAGGGATGGCAGCAGGCAAAGAGAGAGCTTGAGCAGGGAAACTCCTCCTTTTAAAACCATCAGATCTCATGAGACTTATTCACAATTAAAAGAATAGCATGGGAAATACCTGCCTCCATGATTCAACTACTTCCCACTGCCTCCCTCCCACAACACATGGGAATTCAAGATGAGATCTGAGTGGGGACACAGCCAAACCATATCAAAAGGATATACAAAATAAACATAAAACAATGAACAAAATGACAGGTATAAGTCCTCACCTATCAATAATAACTTCGAATATGGGTTAAATTACCTACCTAAAAGATAGAGACAGGCTTAATGGATAAAAAATGACCCAACAACGTCTACAAGAAACTCACTTCACTTGTAAAGACACACACAGACTGAAAGTGAAGGGATGGAAAAATATATACCACACAAACAGAAATCAAAAATAATCAGGAGTAGCTAAACTTACATCAGATAAAACAGACTTTAAGTCAAAAGCTGTAAAAAGGACAAAGAAGGTCATTATATGGTAATAAAGTGATCAATTCAGCAACAAAGTATAACAATTCCAAATATGCATGCAACCAACACAAGTGCATCCAGAGACTTATAGCAAATATTATTAAATCTACATGGAGAGATAGAGTCCAACACAATGATAGTTGAGAACTTCAATATCCTACTGTCAGCATTGGACAGTTCATCTAGACATAAAAGCAACAAAGAAACATTAGATTTAAGCTGCACTTTAGACCAAATGGACCTAACAGATATTTTCAGAATATTTCATCCAGCAGCAGCAGAATATACAGTCATCTCATCAACACATGGAACATTCTCCAGGATAGACCATATGTTAGGACACAGAACAAGGCTGCACAAAATTTTAAAAATTAAAATCATATCAAGTATCTTCTCAGACCACAATGGAATAAAACTTGAAATCAATAAGAAGAAGAAATTTGGAAACTGTACAAATACATGGACATTAAACATGCTATTGAATAATCATTGGGTCAATGAAGAAATTAAGATGGACATCAAAAATTTTTTTTAAACAGAAAATGGAAACACATTATGCAAAACCTATGGGATACAGCAAAAGCAGTACTAGGAGGAAAGTTTATAGCAATAAATGCCTACACCAAAAAAGTAGAAAGATTTCAAATAAACAACCTAATGATGCACCTCAAGGAACTCAAAAAGCAAGAACAAATCAAACACACAATTAGTGGAAAGAAAAAATATAAATAACATAGCAGAACCAAATGCAACAGAGACAAAAAAGAAATGCAAACAATCAACAAGATAAAAGTTGGTTTTTTGAAAAGTTAAACAAAATTGATAAACGACTAGTGAGGCTAACAACAACAAAAAAAGAGACCCAAATAAATACAATCAGAAATGAAAAAGGAGACATTACAACTGTTACCAAAGAAATAAAAAGGATCATTAGAGGCTATTATGAACAACCATATGCTAACAAATTGGAAAACCTAGAGGAAAGGGATAAATTCCCAGACATACACAGCCTACCAAGATTGAACTAGGAAGAAACAGAAAACCTGAACTGACCCAAAATGAATAGCAGGTTTGAATCAGTAACAAAAAGTCTCCCAAAAGAGAAAAGCCCTAGACTAGGCTTTTATGCTGATTTCTACCCAATTTATAAAGAAAAACAAACACCAATTCTTCTCAAACTATTCCCAAAAATTGAAGAGGAAGGAATTCTTCCTAACTCATTGTATAAGGCCAGCATTACCCTGATATCCAATCAAGACAAGGACACAACAAAAGGAGAAAACTACAGGCCAATATTCCTAATGAACATAGATGGTAAAATTCTCAGCATAATACTACCAAGTCAAATGTAATGATGAATGAAAAAGATAATATACCATGATCAAGTGGGATTTATCCCAGGAATGCAAAGATGGCTCAACATACACAAATCAATACATGTGATACATCACATCAACAAGATGAAAGGCAAAAACTGTCTGATCATCTCAGCAGATACAGAAAAATCACTCAGTAAAACTTACCATTCCTTCATGATGAAAACTCTCAACAAATTATGCATAGAAGGAACACTTCAACCTAAGAAAAGGCATATATGACAAATCTACGGCTAACATCCTACTCACTGGGAAAAATTGAAAAGCCTTTCCTCTAAGAACTGGAACAAGAGAAGGATGCCCACTTTCACCACTCTTATTCAACACAGTATGGGACATCCAAGCCAAAGTGATCAGACAAGATAAAGAAATAAAAGGCACCCAAATGGACAAAAGGAAGACACATTGTCTCACTTTGCAAATGACATAATCTTATACCTGTAAACAGAAAAACCTAAAGACTCTACCAAAAAACTCTTAAAATAAATTAGGCTGGGCATGGTAGCTCATGCCTGTAATCCCAGCACTTTGGGAGGCCAAGGTGGACGGATCACCTGAGGTTGGGAGTTTGAGACCAGCCTGGCCAACATGGTGAAACCCTGTCTCTACCAAAAATACAATTAGCCAGGCATGGTGGTAGGTGCCTGTAATCCCAGCTACTTGGGAGGCTGAAGCAGGAGAATCGCTTGAACCCGAGAGGTGGAGGTTGCAGTGAGCCAAGATTGCACCACCGCACTCCAGCCTGGAAAAGAGAGACTCTCAAAAAATAAAAAATAAAAAATAAAAAACATTTCTAAAAACGGATGTATAATTCAGTAAAGCTTCAGGACACAAAATCAACGTACAAAAATCAGTAATGTTTCTATATACCAGTAACAAACTAGCTAAAATAGAAATCAAGGAAGAAATTCTATTTACAATAGCTACAAAAATAAAATACCTAGGAATAAACTTAACCAAGGATGAGGAAAAAAAAAACAAAAAACCTCTACAATGAAAACCACAAAACACTGATAAAATAAATTGAGAAGTACACAAACAAATGGAAAGGCATCTTATGCTCGTGGGTTGGAATAACTAATACTGTTAAAATGACCATACTACCCGAAGCAATCTAGAGATTCAGTATAATCCCTATCAATTATATTCTTCACAGAAACAGGAAAAAAAAACCCTGAAATTCATATGGAACCACAGAAGACCCCAAATAGCCAAAGCAATACTGAGCAAAAAGAACAAAGCTAGAAGCCTCACACTACCTGATTTAAAAATATACTGCAAAGAGGCCGGGTGAGGTGGCTCAAGCCTATATCCCAGCACTTTGGGAGGCCAAGGCGGGTGGATCACAAGGTCAGCAGATCGAGACCATCCTGGCTAACATGGTGAAACCCCGTCTCTACTAAAAAAAAAAAAAAAAAATTAGCCAGACATGGTGGCGGGCATCTGTAGTCCCAGCAGCTACTCGGGAGGCTGAGGCAGGAGAATGGCATGAACCCGGGAGGAAGAGCTTGCAGTGAGCAGAGATCACGCCACTGCACTCCAGCCTCGGCGACAGAGCAAGACTTCATCTCAAAAAGAAAAAAAATATGTATATATATGTGTATATATGTATACATATACGTATATATGTATATACGTATATATCTGTATATATACACATATATATGTATATATGTATATATACACCTATATATGTATATATGTATATATACACGTATATATACACGTATATATACACGTATATATGTATATATACACGTATATATACACGTATATATGTATATATACACGTATATATACACGTATATATGTATATATACACGTATATATACACGTATATATGTATATATACACGTATATATACACGTATATATGTATATATACACGTATATATACACGTATATATGTATATATACACGTGTATATACACGTATATATGTATATATACACGTGTATATACACGTATATATGTATATATACACGTGTATATACACGTATATATGTATATATGTATATATACGTGTATATATACGTATATATGTATATATACGTGTATATATACGTATATATGTATATATACGTATATATACGTATATATGTATATATACGTATTATATACGTATATATGTGTGTGTATATATATATACAGTATATATATATATATACTGCAAAGCTATAGTAACCAAAACAGCGTGTATTGGTATTAAAACAGACACAAAAACAAAGGAAACAGACTAAAGAATCCAGAAATGAATCCACATATTTACAGCTAACTGATTTTCAAGAAAGCTGTCAAGAACATACATTGAATAAAGGACACCCTCTTCATTAAATGGTGCCAGGAAAACTAGATATCCAAACACAGAAGAATAAAACTAGACCCTTATCTCTCATCACTTACAAAAATAAACTCAAAATAAATTAAAGACTTAAATGTAACAGCCACAACTATAAAACTACTAGAAGTAAACACAGGAGAAACGCTTGAGAACAAAGATTGTATGGCTAACACTTAAAAAGTACAAGCAACAAAAACAGACAAATGGGATTATATTAAACTAAATACCTTCCGCATATCAAAGAAAACAATCAACAGAGTGAAAAGACAACACCCCTCCCTTACGCCATACACAAAAATTAACTCAAGATGGCTTACAGACTTAAATGTAAAACCCATAACTATAAAAACGCTGAAGACAACCTAGGCAATACCATCCGGTACATAGTGATGGGCAAAGAGTTCATGGTGAAGATGCCAAATGCAATTGCCACAAAAGCAAAAATTGACAAATGGGATCTAATTAAATGAAAGAGCTTCTGCACAGCAAAAGAAACTATCAAAAAATAAGCAGACATTTCTCAAAAGAAAATATACAAATCACCAAGTTTATGAAAAAATATTCAACATCACTAATCATCACGGAAATGCAAATCAAAACCACAGTGAGATATCATCTCACACTTGTTAGAATGGGTATTAAAAAGACAAAGCACAACAAATGCTGGCAAGCATGTGAAGAAAAGAAAATTATCGTATATTGTTGGTGGGAATGTAAATTAGTACAGCCATTATGAAAAAAAGTACAGAGATTTCTCAAAAAACTAAGAACAGATCTACCATATGATCCAGCAATCCCACTCCTGGGTATATATCCAAAAAAAGATATCAGTGTATCAACGGGATATCTGTACCCCCATATTTACTGCAGCACTCTTTACAATAGCCCAGATATGGAATCAATCTAAGTGTCAATCAATGGATGAATGGATAAAGAAAATGGGAATATACTCACAATAGAATAGTATTCAGCCATAAAAACGAATGAAATCCTGTCATTTTCAGCTAAATGGATGGAACTAAAGGTCATAATGTCAGGTGAACTAGGCCATGCACAGAAAGAAAACTTGCATGTTCTCACTTATATGAGCGGTTTATGCTCCTGGAAATCAAAGCGGGGCCATATTTCAGGTCAGTAGGGTCAGGGATAGAGACCGCAGTTATGGACTTGTGTGCCCTGGAGCTATATAAAATTGATATCATGGAGATAAAGAGTAGAATGATAGTTGCCAGAGGCTAGGAATAGGAGGGGTTTGAAAAGAGGTTGATTAATGGGTATAAAAATATATAATAGAAGGAATGAGATCTAGTGTTTATTATCACAGAAAGTGACTACAACAATTTATTGTATATTTCTTTTTTTTAATTTCAATAGTTTTTAGGGAACAGGTGGTATTTTGCTACACGGGTAAGTCCCTTAGTGGTGATCTCTGAAATTTTGGCGTACCCATCAGCAAAGCAGTTTACCCAATGTCTTTTATCTCTCACCCCCTCCCACCTTCCCCCTGAGCCCCCAAAGTCCACTGTTTCATTCTTGTGCCTTCGCATCATCGTAGCTTAGCTCCCACTTACGAGTGAGAATACGCAATGTTTGGTTTTCCATTCCTGAGTTACTTCATTTAGAATAATGGTCTCCAACTCCACCCAGGTTGCTATGAATGTCATTATTTTATTCCTTTTTAAGGCTAAGTAGTATTCTATGGTATACATATATATAACACATTTTCTTTATCCACTAATTGATTGATGGGCATTTGGGCTGATCCTATAGTTTTGCAACTGTGAATTCTGCTGCTGTAAACATGTGTGCAAAAGTATCTTTTTCATATAATGACTTCTTTTCCTCTGGGTAGATACCTAACAGTGGGATGGCTGGATCAAATGGTGGATGTACTTCTAATTCTTTAAGGAATCTCCATACTGCTTTTCATAGTGGTGGTACTAGCTTACATTCCCACCATCAGTGTGAAAGCGTTGTCTTTCACCACATCCATGCCAACATCAATTTTTGTTTTTTTGTTTTGTTTTGGTTTTTGTTTTTTTGAGATGGAGTCTCGCTCTGTCGCCCAGGCTGGAGTACAGTGGTGCCATATCAGCTCACTGCAACCTCTGCCTCCCGGGTTCAAGCAATTCTCCTGCCTCAGCCTCCTGAGTAGCTGGGATTACAGGCAACTGCCACCATGCCCGGCTAATGTTTTGTATTTTCAGTAGAGACTGGGTTTCACTATGTTGGTCAGGCTGGTCTCAAACTCCTGACCTCAAGATCCACCCAACTTGGCCTCCCAAAGTGCTAGGATTACAGGCGTGAGCCACAGCGCCCGGCCCTCTTTTTGTTTATTTTACACGTGGTATTGCATTGTGGTTTTGATTTGCATTTCCCTGGTAATTAGTGATGTTGAGCATTTTTTCATATGTTTGTTGGCCATTTGTATATCTTCTTTTGAGAATTGTCTATTCATGTCCTTGGCACACTTTTTGATGAGATTATTTTTTTCTTGCTGATCAGAGTTCCCTGTAGATTCTGGACATTAGTCCTTTGTCAGATGCAGTTTGTGAAAATTTTCTCCCACTCTGTGGGTGATCTGTTTACTCTGCTGATTATTCCCTATGCTGTGCAGGAGGCCTTTAGTTTAATTAAGTCCCGTCTATTTATCTTTGTTTCTGTTGCATTTGCTTTTGGGTTCTTGGTCATAAACTCTTTGCCTAAGCCAATGTGTAGAACCATTTTCCAATGTTATCTTCTAGAATGTTTATGGTTTCAGACCTTAGATTTAAGTATTTGATCCATCTTGTGTTGATTTTTGTATAAGGTGAGAGATAAGGATCCAGTTTTATTCTTCTACATGTGGCTTGCCAATTATCCCAGCACTATTTGTTGTATAGGGTGTAATTTTCTTACTTTGTTTTTGTTTACTTTGTTGAAGATCAGTTGGCTTTTAAGTATTTGGCTTTATTTCTAGCTTCTCTACTCTGTCCCATTGGTCATGTGCCTATTTTTATACGAGAACCATGCTGTTTTGGTGACTATAGCCTTGTAATATAGTTTGAAGTTGGGTAATGTGATGCCTCTAGATTGGTTCTTTTTGCTTAGTTTTGCTTTGGCTTTGCAGACTCTTTTTTAGTTCCAAATGAATTTTGGCATTTTTTTTTCTAGTTCTATAAAGAATGATGATGGTACATTGATAGGAATTGCATTGAATTTGTAGACTGCTTTTGGCAGTATGGTCATTTTCACAATATTGAGTCTACCCATCCATGAGCATGGAATGTGTTTCCATTTGTTTTTGTCATCTATGATTTCTTTCAACAGTGTTTTGTAGTTTTCCTTGTAGGGGTCTTTCACCTCCTTGGTTAGATATATTCCTAAGTATTTTATTTTTACAGCTATTATAAAAGGGTTTGATTTGATTCTCAGCCTGGTAGATGCTGGTGTATAGCACTGCTACTGATATGTGTACATAGATATTGTATCCTGATAAATAGATTTATTGTGTATTTCTAAATAGCAATAAGATTTGAAATATTCCCAACACAAAGAAATGATCAATGTTTGAAGTGATTAATATCCTAAAGACCCTGATTTGATCATTACACATTGCATACATGTACCAGAATCTCACATGGACCCCATAAATGTGTACAATTATTCTCTATCAAAAATATTTTTTTAAGAAACATGCAGGAATACACTGTACCTCTTCCTTGCTTTGTCTGGATATTGTCACATGAGGACTTGACATGCGGATTGTGGCAGCCTTTGTGACCAAGAGCAGAAGACAATAGCAGCGTAGAAACCTCAAATGAAAAACCTAACATCTCAAGCTACTAATTTTGCCAACCTTGGCATCAGCTATCTCTGGTCTTAGTACATGAGGTGATAAGCCCCCACTGTTCAAGTTGGGTGGCCATCAATTGCTGCAGAATAGAAGTTAATGAGGCTTCCTCCTCCTGGATCTCCTATTAGACCTTGACATGCCCATTCAGTCACAGGCAGAAAGGGAAGCACAGGGTAAGGAGACCTGGCTGACTGTGCCAGATGCAGATCTTACCTGTCCTGTTTAGAACACTCAAAGCTCAATTGGTTAAACAAAAAAAGGAAAAAGACAATAAGGAGTATAGCACTCCCCAGATGCAACTTAATCTAACACTCTATACTTTAGATTTTCTAGACATACTTAGAAATCAGACCACTACTTCTGCAGAACATTTTACTGGTAAAAAGAACAGACCACATGAGGGAAAACTGATTTGGTGGAAAGACAACAGAAACAAAACATGGGAAATAGGTAAGGTGATAACATGGGGGAGAGGTTTTGCTTGTGTTTCACGAGGAGAAAATCAGCTTCCTGTTTGGATACCCACTAAACATTTGAAGTTCTACAATGAACCCATCAGAGATGCAAATGAAAGTGCCTCTACAGAGACAGAAAACCCGCAATCGAGCATCATCGACTCGCAGGGTGAACAAAATGGTGATATCAGAAGAACAGATGAAGTTACAATCCACCAAGGAAAAGGCACATGTGGAGAGTCAGGGAGAGGAAGAGAAAGAAAAAGAGACAGAGATCAGAGAGAGACACAGAAAGTGAGACTGGGGAGAGAGAGAGTGTAAAAGAGAGAGAGAGAGAGACCGTAAGAGAAGGGAGACAAAGAGATAAAAGGCGCGAGTCAGCAGGTGAGGAGAAAGACTGAAAACTATGAGAAACAGCAACTAAGACACAAAGGAGGTGGGAGACTGCCTTGGTGCCGCAGCACCCACACCGTCCTCTTGCCCCCGTCACTTGGGTTAAAACCACCGCAAATTCCACTATTGCAAATTTTGTATTAATCCTTGTATTTCTGTCCTTTCTATTTTTAGTCTACAGGTGAATCCAGCAGCTCCAGAGAGACAGCGACCAGCGAGAAGGGGCCATGATGATGGTGGTGGTTTTGTCAAAACGAAAAGGGGGATATGTAGGGAAAAGAAAGAGAGATCAGACTGTTACTGTGTCTACATAGAAAGGGAAGACATAAGAGACTCCATTTTGAAAAAGACCTGTACTTTCAACCATTGCTTTGCTGAGATGTTGTTAATCTGTAGCTTTGCCCCAGCCACTTTGCCCCAACCACTTTGACCCAATCTGGAGCTCATTAAAACATGTGTTGTATGAAATCAAGGTTTAAGACATGTAGGGCTGTGCAGGACGTGCCTTGTTAACCAAATGTTTGCAAGCAGTATACTTGGTAAAAGTCATCACCATTCTCTTGTCTCAATAAACCAGGGACACAATGCACTGTGGAAAGCCGCAGGGACCTCTGCCGTTGAAAGCTGGGTGTTGTTCAAAGTTTCTCCCCATGTGAGAGTCTGAAATATGGCCTCGTGGGATGAGAAAGACCTGACGGTCCCCAAGCCCGACACCTGTAAAAGGTCTGTGCTGAGGTGGATTAGCCAAAGAAGAAAGCCTCTTGCAGTTGAGAGAGAGGAAGGCCGCTGTCTCCTGCCTGCCCCTGGGAACTGAATGTCGCGGTATAAAACACGATTGTACATTTGTTCAATTCTGAGATGGGAGAAAAACCGCCCTATGGTGGGAGGCGAGACATGTTTACAGCAATGCTGCCTTGTTATTCTTTACTCCACTGAGATGTTTGGGTGGAGAGAAACATAAATCTGGCTTACGTACACGTCCAGTCATAGTACCTTCCCTTGAACTTCATTATGACATAGATTCTATTGCTCACATGTTTGTTGCTGACCTTCTCCTTATTATCACCCTGCCCTCCTACTACATTCCTTTTTGCTGAAATAATGAAGATAATAATAAAAACTGAGGGAACTCAGAGACCCGTGCCAGTGCAGGTCCTTGGTATGCTAAGCGCCGGTACCCTGGGCCCACTGCTGTTTCTCTATACTTTGTCTCTGTGTCTGATTTCTTTTCTGTCTCTCATCCCACCTGACAAGAAATACCCACAGGTGTGGAGGGGCAGGCCACCCCTTCAGTATGAGATTACAGGCATGAATAACCCCACCTGGCCACCTAACTCACTCTTGAGAGGCCAGAAGTGATGCTGGAACTTTCTTCCTCTGTGGGTTAAAAAGGGAAAATTAGGGACAACACAAGGCAGGAGAGATGCAGCGATGGATATGTCTATATGGAGCTTCTGTCTGCATCCAGTAGAAAATGCATTTCTAGGCACCAGGTTTAAGAGCGAAAACCTGGAGTCTTGTCTGTTAGCATTCTCCTTCCCCACAAACCAGAGAGGGAATACATTTGCTCCAGCACACCCGTATGTAGGAAATGTCACATTCCTATTTCTGTAACTTCAGTTAAATCTGCTGTGAGTCCCTGGATGCCTGGCAGGTGGAGAATTCAATCTTGTCGTTACCAGCATTCCTTTCCCTTCTCCATGGGCTTATGTAAGAATTCTGGGCTTACACACTGTTGGAAAGCCAGGAAGGAACTACATCCCCCGAACTCTCCATTCTTCCAGCTGCTCATGATCCATCAACGGTCTTTGGGCCATCTGCTATAGCAAGACCCTCCTCACAGTGGATATCAGGGGCTGGGGTGGAAACGTAGGGGATAGGAGACACTGGTCAAAGGGTACAAAGTTTCCAGTAGGAAGAATAAGTTTTGAACAAGCTAAACTCCTCTGAAAGCTCAGTTCCTTATCTGTAGAGCAGGGACACATCATTAACCTTCTAAGGATGTTGCTGTGAGAGTAAAAGATGAGGTTCAGCACAATACCTAAAGCACAGTCAGGTCTCCTTAAGCTTGAACCTGCATCGCCATGAGCTCTACATCTCAGGACAGAAAGGCTCACAGCCAGTTTCTCAGTTCCCAGTGAGAAGTGGATCCCAGACCAGGCTGAACCGCAGGATCCCCAGGGGATACCCAGCCCTACTGAGTCAGAATCACTGGAGGTAGAGCCTGGGTATGTATGTATGTATGTATGTATGTATGTATGTGTGTGTGTGTGTGTATGTATGTATGTATAAGAGACAGGGTCTTGCTCTGCAGTCCAGGCTGGAGTGCAGTGTCACAATCATAGTTCACTGCAGCCTCAAATTACTCCTGGCCTCAATTCATTCTCCCATCTCAGCCTTCAGAGTAGCTGAGACTACAGGCACATGCCACCAAGCCCGGATAGATTTTTTTTTCTTCCTTTTGGAGAGAGTCTCACTCTGTTGCCCAGGCTGGAGTGCAGTGGTGCAATCTTGGCTCACTGCAACCTCTGTCTCCCGGGTTCAAGTGATTCTCATGCCTCAGCCTCCTGAGTAGCTAGGATTACAGGCATGCACCACCACACCAGGCTAATTTTGCTCTTTCATTGTTGTTTCTTGTTTGTTTTTCACAAATAGGACTTCTTATTTGCTACCGTTTTAAGTCTGAACTTTAAACAGATTCTTGGACTGGTGGTTCACATCCATCAGCTCATTCAACTTCAGCATGTGTCTCGTCCCTAGTGGGTTTTCCAGAACTACTACCTTCACCACGAAGCTCCATGCCTTTCAAATCCAGAGTTCTCCAGCATTTTTACTTTTCTAATGAAGACAACATGGAGAGGATAAATTGGCAAGCCTTTTCTATATCTTTTCCAATGTTGTCTGGAATCAATTTATTGACCACTTCTTTCAAGTCATTTGTCTGCACCTCTCAGGTCATGATTTCCATCATCTTCTTCTGGATTTGGCGGACTGTTGGTGCTGATCATAAGAGGTCTTCAGTATCTGATTGTTGTGTTTTTTAGTAAAACCAACACAAAACAGATGAAAGAAGTAACCATCGGTAGTCTTGACATCAACATGAGCTTCAATCATTGTTGAACATTTTTCAACCATGGAACATATTTTGTCACAGGTAAGACCCATGCCATAGAAGTTAGTCAGGCAGTTTTTGTCCTGAACATCTTCAGTAATCAGCTTGAATTTTCTAAATGCAACTTCATCATTCTGCAAATCAGCAAGACTCACTTCAAACACAAGACGCTTGAGACCATCAGATGCAATTTGGGTTCCTTTGGTACTGGCGACCAAGTCTTTCCAATATTTATTATATTGAACCTAGGAGGTGCTTTCACATCATACTGATCTTTCTTAGAGAATGGACCAACTACTTTCTTCTTAACTCCTTTTTTGCCACCTTTCATAAGGCACTTGTTCTTAACAACCGCCATGGTGCTTCTCGGAGTACCAAAAGGCTAAATTTCATATTTTTGGTAGAGAGGGGATTTCAGGATGTTGGCCAAGCTGCTCTTGAACTCCTGATGTCAGGTGATCTGCCCACCTCAGCCTCCCAAAGTGCTGGGATTACAGGAGTGAGCCACTGCACACAGCTGTTATTTATTTTTTCTTTTTTTGTAGAGACAGGGTCTTGCCATGTTGCCAAGGCTGTCCTGGAACTCCTGGCCTCAAGCAATCCTCCCACCACAGCCTCCCAAACCACTGGGATTTCAGGTGTGAGCCACCATGCCCAGCCTGGAATCTATTTTTAAAGCCAATCAAGTGTTGAATAAAATTGCAACTTGGGCTGTTTTTTCTTTGCATTTTTTACATTTCAATGGTTTTTAATATATTCAGAGATATACACAAACATTACCAGTCAATTTTAGAACATTTCATGACCTCAAAAAGAAACCTCATACCCTTTAGCTAACACCCCCATCCTCCCATGCCCCTACCAGCCCTAAGCAACCACTAATCGACTTCCTATTTCTATAGATTTCCATCAGAATGAAATCATGTAGAATGTGATCTTTCATCTGTTTTGAAGGTTCATCCACGCTGTAGCGTATGTACTTTCCTCCCTTTTGTGATCAAATAATATTCCACCATGTGGGTAGACAACAATCGGTGTATCTCTTCATCTGGTGATGGGCATTTGGATTAATTCTCTCTTTGGGTTATTAGGAGTGATGCTACTGTAATTATTAATGTACAAAATTTTGTGTGGACCTGTGCTTTCATTTTTGAATATGAAAATATTGCACATCTCCAAGGAAGACATACAAGTGGCCAATAAGCACATGAAAAGATGCTCAGTGAAATTCATCATCAGGGAAACAGAAATCAAAACCACAATGAGATACCACTTCATACCCATAAGCATGGCTAGAATCGAAGATAGAGAAAATTGGCCTGGTGCGGTGGCTAATGCCTGTAATCCAAGCACTTTGGGAGACCGAGGCAGGTGGATCACCTGAGGCCAGGAGTTTGAGACCAGCCTGGCCAACATGGGGAAACTCCGTCTCTACTAAAAAAATACAAAAATCAGCCAGGCATGGTGGCAGGTGCCTATAATCCCAGCTACTCGGGAGGCTGAGGCAGAAGAGTAAGTTGAATCTGGGAGGCAGAGGTTGCAGTGAGCTGAGATTGTGCCACTGCACTCCTGCCTGGGCGACAGAGCAAAACTTTGTCTCAAAAAAACAAACAAACAAACAACAAACAAAAACAGAAAATAACAAGTGTTGGTGAGGATGCAGAGAAACTAGAACCTTCATACACTGCTGGCAGGAATTAAAATGGTGTAGCCGCTGTGAGAAACACTTTAACAACTTCCCAAACAATTCTACATAGAGTTACCAAATGACCCAGCAATTGTACTCCTAGATATAGGCCCAACTTGGGCTCTTTTAATCTATGGAAAATGAACTATGGGTACTTGGCAAGAACAAAGAGGGAGAGAGGCAGAAATGCTGCCATGAGGGCACATTGATTGGTCTCTAGTACACAGGGCTCCTACTGCAAATGGTCTCTAAATGACTTCATCAGTTGCTCAGAAAAAAAATCACCCTCTGCTCCAATCGTGGAGGAAGAAGTATGGATTGGACCTGGTGAGCCACGGTAAGACTGACTGCTAAACTTTATGAATGATGAGGGGATTTGCACGTATAATCTTGACTGTACTAGATTTTTTATTTTATCCACTGTCTTTGAAAACCTAACTCTTAAGAACTGACTTTCCTGTACTTGTTGTTGACTCTAAGTAAATTTCCAATTCCACATAGTCCAAAGATGATATGCTGAGAAATCTCTCAAAGGAAAAATGCTAAGAATACAGGCAGAGTTATGCGGCAAATTTTGCAGAATTAACACAAATTGCACTTGTGGGTATGAAGCACAAAACATTTTCATGGGTAAAGAAAAAAGTGTTCTTCATTCTAGTAGACGCTGCAGGATGAGGCCGATCAAGGTGCCGGCCCAGCCAGACCTTGGGCTCTTACCTAATTTGTGTTAGAGTCAACTCTGAGGGACTGTGTATCTCAGTCATCTTTTTTTTTTGACATGGAATCTCGCTCTGTCTCCCAGGCTGGAATGCAGCCGTGTGATCTCAGCTCACTGCAACATCTGCCTCCTGGGTTCAAGCGATTCTCCTGCCTCATCTTCCCAAGTAGATGGGACTACATGTGCATGCCACCATGCCTGGCTAATTTTTGTATTTTTAGTAGAGACGTTTCATCATGTTGGCCAGGCTGTGCTCAAACTCCTGACCTCAAGTGATCCGCCTGCCTTGCCCTCCCAAAGTGCTGGGATTACAGGCATGAGCCACCATGCCCGATCTCAGTCATCTTTTTATCCTCCACACCTGGCAAGTTCTAGTCACACTGTGGTTCCATACAAGTTTGTTGAATAAACAGGAGACAGAAAGTGGGAACTCTGAAAGTAGCGAAGATTCCAGAATTGTGCATATTTCCCAGAGACTGTGGGCCAATTCCTCAGTCCTGCCAGAGTTTCTCTATCTCAACTCAAACATTATGTGTGGGCCCAGGCGCAGTGGCTCGCACCTGTAATCCCAAAACTTTAGGAGGCTGAGGTGGGCAGATCACTTGAGGCCAGGAGTTTGAGACCAGCCTGGCCAACATGGTGAAACCCTGTCTCTACTAAAAATACAAAAATTAGCCAGGCATGGTGGTGTGCACCTGTAGTCCCAGCTACTCAGGTGGCTGAGGCACAAGCATTGCTTGAACGCAGGAGGCGGAAGTTGCAGTGAGTCACCATTATGCCACTGTACTCTAGCCTAGGCAATAAAGGAAGACTGTCTCAAAAGAAAAAAAAAACCCATAAGTGTGGGCCTTGTTACAGAATTAATGTGTATATGGACAATATGTACATGGGTGTATGTTAAGAGCATGAGTCATCCACAAGATTTTAGCAAAGTCCATTGGGAAAGCTCAATGCTTTGGGCTTCCACTTGCTTTGCTGCCTCTGTCCTCAGAAGGAGGCTTCATCCTTCCATGTAACCAGCAAATCCTTTATGCAGAGATGTACACAACACACTCCTCTCCTTGGCTATGACACTTTGAAAGGGTCCTCTTGGTGGCCCCTGGTGCTCATTTCAGAGTAGTTCAAATTAGGGTGATCAGCTTTCATGCCAATCACTCTACAAATCACTCCTATTATGACCAATTTTTCTAAATGCTTTATTGAATTATTACTTAAAGAAATGTGCACATAGAAGAGGTCAACACAGTACTTTTCTTACAAACTGAACATACTGGCCAGACGCAGTGGCTCATGCTTGTCATCCCAGCACTTTGGGAGGCCGAGATGAGCAGATTGCTTGAGCCCAGGAGCTTGAGACTAGCCTGGGCAACATAGTGAGACACTCCTCTCTACAAAAAATAAATAAATAAAAAATTAGGCAACAGTGGTGGCACATGCCTGTAGTCCCAGCTACTCGGGAGGGCTGAGGTGGGAGGACTGCTTGAGCCCAGGAGGCAGAGGCTGCAGTGAGCCATGACAGTGCCACTGTGCTCCAGCCTGGGTGACAGAGCAAGATCCTGCCTCAAAACAACAACAACAAAAAAACTGAACATCTCCATATTACTGACACCCAATTCAAGAAACAAAATATTACAGACCCTTCCAGGATATTCCTGGGGTCTCTTCCATCGCTACTAACCCCTGACTACAAACAGCCTCCACCTATTTCACCTGACATTGTACTTTATGAAAGCAGCAGTTCTCAGATGGGGCTATTTTACCCCCAGGGGACATTAGGCAATATCTGGAGACACTGGTGGTTGTGTCTACTTGGGGGGAGTTGTGTTACTGCATCCAGTGAGTCCAGGGATCTAGGGATGCCGCTCAACATCCTAAAATGCACAGGGAACCCCCACACATAGAACAGAGAAATTGCTGAGCCGAAATGTCAGCAGCGTCACAGCTGACACCCTGACATACACACTATCACACAGTATCTGCTCTTTCGTGCTCAGGATCTTTTTCATTCTAATCATCTCATAGGAAACAGAAATGTCATTTAGAAGTAGGTAGAGTCCAAAACAAAGAAGATCCAGAGTTTTTTTTTTTTTTTTTAAATCAGAATGGTGCCTTTAGAGCTAGGATTTAGTTTCCATTCTTTCTGTCTCATTTTCAAGTGATTTTTTCTTCAAATGGCATCTACTGGGCTCAAGAACCGGAGATCCCCACAAAGCTGAGATTCACATGGGAATTTTGTACACACCCACACAGGTATACACTGCCATTTACATGCAGACATCCACCCACAGATACACACATCCGGAGACCAAGACAGAAAGCAAACTCAACCATAAAAGCACGGTTCTCCGAACAGGAGAAACGCACCATTCACTCCAGGGAGGTACCACCTATTTGTTTAATTCAGCCTCTGATAGTCAGGCTGTTGCCAAGCCCAGCTCTGAAAGTCTTCCCCTCTAGGAAAGAGAGATGGATTTTTTCTTTACTCAAGAATATAGATCTAAAAAAACCAAACACTTCTGCATCTCAAAGCAGGCTCTACCTCCTGAGCTACACATATTGATCAGCATTTTACTGTCAATTTTCTTTTATTTGAATTCGAGAAAAATATAACTTAATTATGTTCTTACTGACAGTTTGGAATCAGTTACACTAAATCCAATTCTCTGGGTTCTCATGATTAATGTGTTTAATTTGGGGGACGACAAAGCAAAAGCATTGGTCGTGTTTTAATATAATTAGTACAGGATATATCTAAGGGGTTGCAGTATCACTGTAGCAAGAAGCTCATTCTGCAGCAAAAGGGGGGTTCTGCCACTAGGAATGAGTTACGGTGGTTCATGGCTGCACCGTTTCATCAATGTCTCTTCAAGAGTCCATGGAATGTGGAATGGGAAAGACTGAAATAGTGCAAGTCTTGGCTAAGCTTCTATTAAGGGGTGTTAGGAGCTGATAAAATAACCTGGTCTTTATAGACATCCCACACTGTAGTTCTCTAAGCTACAGATTCTCAGATTTTTCTGTTTTATAAACGAGTAAAAATATTTTTTTAATTTGAGAACCAACATAAGGTTGCTATCTGTTTTTCTTTTGGGTAAGAAGAAACTTTTTTAAACTACCAGTTTCACACACACACACACACACACACATATACATAGAAATTCCAACATGATTTGTCAGAATAGGTGAGGTTTTGCTGCAATAACAAACAACTCCTAAATCTTGGTAACTTCAAACATCAGAAGTTGTTTTTCTCACTCATGCTACATCTGCAGGGAGGTATGGGGTGCTCTGTTTTCCATCAAACTTGCCCTAAGACTAAGGTTAATGGGGGTTGCAATACCTCGAGTATCACCAAGCAGGGAACAGAGGGAGAAGAATGCTAGAGAGTCTTGTACTAAGAATTAAATGCTCTAGGCTAGAAGTCTAACATTGCACCTCTGCCCCCAGCCTCTTGGCCAGTACTAGCCACATCCCCTCCCCCACCACAGGGCAATGCATGAAGACAGGAGAATTGGATACATTACAAATTTCTACCCAGTGGCATTTCATAAAAGAGAAAAAAATGCAAATACAAAAATGTTTTAATAGAATAGAATATATACATTTTTAGAATAAAGAATAATCCTCCAAAAAGGACAGCTGGTGGTCTTTCAACAATGGGCACATTTCTGTGACATTTTGTTTTTCCATTTTATCCTTGACCTATGAACATTTTATACAGATGGTCCAAAGAACACCATTTGGGGACCACTGCTCTAATCAGGTGATGAAAACGGCCCCAAGAACAGAGCACAGTCTCTTTAGCAAAGACCCGGCAGGGCCAGGGTGACCATGTTCTCACCATCAATGTGCAGACATCCACCTGCAGCATCCTCACATCCCAACATCAAACAGTGGCTCTTTATATCTTGATTCTAATGTCCTTTGATCTTCATAATCATTGTAAAGCTCTCTGGCCCCAAGATCTAACAACGCCACTCTAGCTACATCATGCAACTCTTCACCTCTCCTGCCTCCTCATCCCTCTAAACTTCTCTTCACAACCTCATGTTTCCTTCTTGCTTTACCTTCCTGCTCACCCTGGACCTTACAGTCACCTTCTTCTTGTAATGTGCTCCTGAACTCGTTCTTCCCTTCCTTCAACCACACCCACCTGGAAAATCTCCATACCCCATTGATGACTTGCCTCGCAACTGCCCAAGGGCTGCTGAATGATACTGGAAAGAATCACAACGTGGATCTGGTAGTTCCACTAAATAATCTCACCATCCAACTCTAGGGTAGACTTCACTTCTGTTCAGCAATATGTTTAAGCATCACAAATAAATTCCAAACCATATTTGCTATAACAATTGACTTTAAACCTCTTCCATATCTCAAAGCCCCCCAAACCCATCCCTAGGGGTTTCAGAGCCCAGAGTTGAGTTCTCTCAACTCACTTCCATCTCACCCCTAGATCACTGTATCTTGACCCTCTTCCTCTGCCTTTCCCAACTTATAAGGAGAAGCATCCTTCTCCATTCCCAAGTTACCTTCTCCACTTGTGCCTCATTTGAGACCTGCCTTTATCACCCGTTCCCTTGGAACTCCCATGACCCACCACCTTCACTTGTCATTTCACTCATAAATATTATGTACCTTGTATGTGCCAGGTGCTTAACATATAATCATGCTTAAGTCTCCACATGCTAACAAGAAAAACCTTGATTATCCCTGCTATGCCCTCAAGTCATTACCCTCCCCGCTCCTTTCCTGTGTTCCCAAACTTTGTTGATCATCATCAAACCCTCTGATGCAGATGGCTCCGAAGTTTGCATCCTATTAGGTTGGTGCAAAAGTAATTGCGGATTTTGCCATTAAAAGTAACGGCAAAAACAGCAATTATTTTTGTACCAGCCTAGTATCTTTTCTCCGGCTACCAAACTTTGTCCCTGAGACATCTCATCACCTATAACTACCTCCTCCATGCAGTTGATTCCCAGATCTGTATTATTCTACTGGAAGTCCATTCTCCAATTTTCTCGGCTAGAATGACAGAAGCCCAATTAGAATTCATGCTACCAGTTTACCACCACCACCACCACCACCACCACCACCGTCGCCCTGCCATTGTTAGCACAACCATCTCTTGAGTGGAGCTCAAAGATTTGTAATCCGCCACTCCCCAGAAAGATAACTTCAGACTCAGCCAAGAAGTAAAGATCCTCCAGATATGGCCTCAACTACCCTCCAACCCATGTCCCCAGTGCATCCCGTTGATGCCCCCTTCAGTGGAGTTAAAATGGAGTGAGTGTTTTTCTTTTCACATACTCCTGGTGTTCTTCCACAAATACAATTTTCACCTCTTGAATATTTTCAAGGATTCTCCATGCTACACACAGTGAAATCCAAACTCCCCACCAGGACCCCAGTCTTCCCAAACCCTCTGCACTTTTCTGCCTCCATGCTTTTCCTTGGGTCATCCTCTTCTCTAATATAACCTTGTGTATTATTCTAGGTTCTCCAGAGAAAGAGCAGAGAGATAGAGGTAGAGCTATACACATAGAGAGAGACAGATTGATTTGTTGTAAGGGATGGCTCACATGGTTATGGAGGCTAAGGAGTCCTGGAGTCTGCAGTCAGCAAGCTGGAGACCCAAGACGGCCAATGATATAGTTCCAACTCGAGTCCACATCTAAATTCAGGAGAAGATTGATGTCCCAGCTCAAATATAATCAGGTAAAAAGAGCAAATTCTCTGTGACTCTACCTTTTTGTTTTCTTCAGGCCTTCAGTGGATTGGATGAGGCTCACCCACATTGGGGAGGACAATCTGCTTTATTCAGTCTACCAATTAAGGGTTATCCTTATCCAGAATACCTCAGAGACACACCCAGAATAATGTGTAGCCAAATATCTGGGCACCCAACAACCCAGTCAAATTGATACATAACACTAACCATCATGTCTTGCTTCTACTCTCTCCCCATTACTGCATGGCCAAATTCTTCCCTTATTTCAAGGCTTAGTTCAAATGTTACCTCTTAACTAAGCCTTCCCTGCTAACCCCAAATATTAATAGAATTGGTGTCTCCCTTCTCTGATGTCTCAAAATATGTTGTGTTTCTCTTTTACTGTATTTATTACAAACTCCCTTATAAATCAAGACAGTGATTCCCAGACAAATTATCAAAAGAGTATAAAAGAAGTCTTCTTTGAGTGTGAAATATCTCATGGAATATAGCACATGGCGTCTTCATGAAGAAACTACTGGGAGAGAAGACAAACTGGAAGAGGCCAGGGAAAGGGGGTTAGTAAAAAGCACAATGAGGCTGGGCTCATACAGTGGCTCACAACTGTAATCCCAGCACTTTGGGAGCCCAAGGCCTGTGGATCACGAAGTCAGGAGATCAAGACCATCCTGGCTAACACGGTGAAACCCCGTCTCTACTAAAAATACAAAAAAGTTAGCCAGGCATGGAGGCGGGCGCCTGTAGTCCCAGCTACTCGGGAGGCTGAGAAGGAGAATGGTGTGAACCCGGGAGGCAGAGCTTGCAGTGAGCCGAGATCGCACCACTGCACTCAAGCCTGGGTGACAGAGCAAGACTCCATCTCAAAAAAAAAAAAAAAAAAAAAAAAAAAGGAAGCACAATGAAATGTCAGTGGATGGGTGCCTATCATTTCTAAGGGAAATAGAATATAATCCAATAATTTTATAGCCAGCTAAATTATTGCCCAATCAAAATAGACAAAAGACACTATCACATGCTGAAGAACTTAAAGAACACAGTATTTCTGAGCTCTTTAAAAAGAAAAGTCTTCATAATAAAATTTAGTCAGCCAAGAAATTAAAAAATAAGCAACTTGTGAACTGAATGACCATGAAAAAAGGCTAGTGATAGGACTATGATTGCAGAACAGAAAGAGAAGGTGTCAACCTTAACAACATAAAACAACCTAGAAATAACTAGTTTCCAGAGGTAAAGGGAGGGACCGTAGGAAGTAGAAGTGCTAATGCCCTTTATTAAGTCAATTAATCAGGTCTAAAATTGAAACGTGATTTTAAATATATAACTTCTTGTTTATTTTCCTCCCTAACTACCTGAGGATCAACCACCATCATGAATGACACAGTAACTACCTGGACCAGGAAGTTCATGACCAATCGACCGCTCCAGAGGAAACAAATGGTCACCAATGTCCTTCACCCTGGAAAGGAAACAAAATGTACAAGACCACAATGGATGTCATCTTCATATTAATAGTTGGACTCAGAACCCATTTTGGTGGTGGTTAAACAATCGTCACTCACATTGGAGTGCAGTGGTACGATCTCAGGTTCCCAAATCTCTGCCTCCCAGGCTTAAGCAATTCTCCTGCCTCAGACTCCCCAGTAGCTGGGATTACAGGCACGCACCACTACTGCCTGGCTAATTTTTATATTTTTAGTAGAGATGGGGTTTCACCTTGTTGGCCAGGCTGGTCTTGAACTCCTGACATCAAATGATCCACCCGCCTTGGCCTCCCAAAGTGCTAAGATTACAGGCATGAGTCACCGCGCCCAGCCTTTTCTGTATTAAATTTTTTAAAACACAACATTTAAAATAATCAAGTCATTCTTTTGGAATCTACTTTGTATTATAGGTATCCAAATACTCACCTATTCTCTCTCACATGATGACAAACTCGTTGAAATGTCATTTAGTTTTGTGGCTCCAGCCCCAGGGATTCTGACTCTGATTCTAAAGGGCCTGCATGCAGAGTGAGCAAGCTGCCTGGATGATTCTCTTACAGGTGTTTTAAGGGCAGCAGTTTGAGACACCCTGATGCAAAAGAACGAACGCTCAAGGAAGTTGGCTGTACATGTATTTTCCTTCCTAGCACAGGAAACGACAGAAAGATTATCCAATCAGTACCACTCATAGCACCTGATTATATGTGCATGAGGAATTCAGAAATGGTTTGATCAAGGTTGAAGACCTAAAAAGAAGCTTTTCTCTCGGACACCAAGTCCCCATCTTATGCGTGGTTGAGTTAGTAGAAAATGAGGATGATGCTTCTTCCTCCAGCATTGGTATCCTATGGTTTTTGTTGTTCAGTAAATGAAGTACATCCATCCCCCAAAATCCCCAAGCTCAATTCCAGTTTCCTCACATACACTTTTTTTTTTTTTTCTTGAGACAGAGTCTCTCTCTGTCACCCAGGCTGGAATGCTGTGCAGTGGTGCAACCTCAGCTCACTGCAACCTCCACCTCCCAGGTTCAAGTGATTCTCCTGCCTCAGCCTCCTGAGTAGCTGGCATTACAGGCATGCACCATCATGCCTGGCTAATTTCTGTATTTTTTGGTAGAGATGAGGTTTCATCATGTCGTCCAGGCTTGTCTCAAACTCTCGGCCTCAAGTGATCCACCCACCTCAGCCTCCCAAGTGCTATGATTACAGGTGTGAGCCACCGTGCCCATCCCCCTCACTTACACTTTTACAGAAGATCTGATCATACCCACTCTGCAGAAGTCAGAAAGACCCCCACGTGGTGTTAAACGGGAGTGAAAACTTGAGTTCAATCAACTGAGAGTGACACAGAAACATTTCCCCCAAAACGCTTTTGGCAGCTCTGCTGATCCTTAACCTGGCTCCATTTCAGGGCAAGACCTCCACTTAAGCTGCACTGGCTTCCACTAGAGTAAATCACATTAACTCATGGCAAACACAACTGAAGGGCAAAAAGATTCTTTTTAAAAGGATTTTAGTCTCTCACTTACCAACACACGCTGGCCTCCCTAGAGCCTGACTCCATTCAGCACCTGTTCCACTGAGCACCCACTGAAAGCTCAGCTTATGAGCCGAGATGACCCAGACATCAAGGAGTTTACAATCCAGGGGAAGAACAGACCTGAATACAAGTGATGACAATACAAGACGGAGTCAAATAGCCCAACTTGAAGTTTCAGCAAAATAGCACCAAAGACTAGTTCCCAACCCAGCTCCCAGAGCCAGAGCCAGAGCCAGGCTGGCTGCATGAGATCAGCTGGGAGTTTTTGCAAACCTAGGTCCTAGCTGAGCCCCTAATCATGACTGGCAGTCACTGGGAGTGAACTCCAGGAACTGGTTTATTTAATAAGCACCCACACACACACACGATTCTGCTGTTCCTAAGGGTTGTAGAAACATGGAACTATAGAAAACACTAAAAAAAAAAAGGCACTAAAACAAACCTATAAATATTCACTACCATCCCAGGCATCATGAGGACACTCCACGTGCACTATTTACAATACTTAGAATAACCTGCAAGGGAAGCATTCATTCATGACGATGGGCTTTATCGGGAACAGAGCCAGCCCTGGGAATGTTTGAACCTGCGCTGAAGGTCACCCCCTCCTCCCCACAGGAGGGGGCTAACATTGAGGATCAGGGGCCAGATGGGAAATGGAGTGTCCTTTTATTATGAGACCACAGTGAGAGACTTTTTTTTTTTTTCCAGAGTCTCGTTCTTGCCACCCAGGCTGGCGTCCAGTGGTGCAATCTCAGCTCACTGCAACTTCCGCCTCCCGGGTTCAAGTGATTCTCCTGCCTCAGCGTCCCGTGTAGCTGGGACTATAGGCACCCGCCACCACACCTGGCTAATTTTTGTATTTTTAATAGAGACAGGGTTTCACCATGTTGGTCAGCATGGTCTTGATCTCTTGACCTCATGATCTGCCTACCTTGGCCTCCCAAAGTGCTGGGATTACAGATGTGAGCCACCACACCTAGCCTCAGACTTTCAAGTAAAGCCACAATGGACCACAGAGCTTAGACATCAGGGCTAACATGGAATCTCTGTCATTAAATCTTGAGATCTTATTATCTTTGCCCAAAGAAAAAAATAATCACAATTGACATTTTGAGGACAAGACATCTGAATGTAAACTTGATCTTAGAGGATATTAAGGAATTACTGGTAATTTGATTAGGTATGACAATGATCATATAAAAAATGCCCTCATGTTTTTAGAGGGAAAGTAAATTATGTAGGGGTGAATATCAGGATGCAATTACATAACTACTGTAAACTATTTTGTAAATACTTCAGAAAAACAAATGGAGTAAATATTGCAAATGTTAATAGTTTTTAAATCTATATGATGGGTATATGATAGCTCATTAAACTAGTCTGTCTACTTTTATGTTTATTGAAAAGTTTTCATAATAATAATAATAATAATAATAAAAAACCTTGGCCAGGCACAGCAGCTCATGCCTGTAATCTCAGCACTTTGAGAGGCCAAGGTGGATGGAGGACTACTTGAGCCCAGGAGTTTGAGACCAGCCTAGGCAACACGGTGAAACCTCATCTCTACAAAAAAATAGACAAATTAGTCAGGCATGGTGGTGTGCACCTGCAGTCCCAGCTACTCGGGAGGCTGAGGTGGGAGGATCACCTGAGCCCAGAAGGTCAAGGCTGCAGTGAGCCAAGGTCACGCCTCTGCACTCCAGCCTGGGAGACAGACCCTGTCTCAAACAAACAAACAAGCAAACAAAAACCCTCTTGATCCCATTTCCCAAAAAAGTGATTTTTTTGAGATCTTACCATCTCCTGGCTTGGTGCAGAGTACAGGAAATCCAGACAAAGTACAGCACACAAGGAATAAGGAGGGAGGGAAGCGTGGGGGAGGCTGACACTGTGGACTCTCCCAGCTCAGTTGACCCATGAGCCTTGCTTCACGGAAGAAAGGAATGGAAGATGAGTCATGCCTTCAGCACACAGTGACCGTCCTCACTAGTAAATGTGCCTGCAGAAGTGTCCAAGAACTCAGTGCCAGAGCCAGGCTGGCTGCATGAGAATCACCTGAGAGCTTTTGCAAACATAGGTCCCTGCTGGGTCCAAATGCATTCATTCATCTCTTCGAGAGGAGAAGAGAGGCAGAACAAGGAAAAGGATGGGAAGAAACCAGCCTTGTGCACAGGGGGATGCTAGGATTCCTCCTGCAAGTTTAGCGCAATGCAGCCTATTTTACACGGTCACACAAGCTCAGAGAGGTAAACCTGCCCAGGTTCTAGCTTGTAACTGGCAAAACCCGCCCAAATCTCTGTCTCCAGAGATATTTCCACTTGCTTCAATTCTGGAGCTGTCTTAGTTGTAAAGATGACAGATTCCACTCATCACTCACGTTTGTTTGCAGATATTGCCTAAAGTCCCTTGTGAATATTTAGGTCAGGGCTGTTTTTTTGAGTTTTTTGTTTGTTTGTTTGCTTCTTGTTTTTTTAACAAAGCAATCTTGTGGAAAGAACCCAAAGTGGCTCCCCCATTTAAGACCCTGTAAACAGGGAGACGAGAGTCCTGGTCTGGTTTCCACACCTTCCTTAGATTTCCCTGTGTGTAAAATCCAACAACAATCTTTGACAAATTGCCTCCCCTAGGGGAGAGGTGGAGGAAGTGTTAACTTTGCTTTTTTTTTTTTTTTTTCTGTTTTCAGACAGAGCCTCGCTCTATCACCCAGGCTGGAGTGCAGTGGTGCCATCTGGGCTCACTGCAACCTCTGCCTCCTGAGCTTAAATGATTCTTGTGCCTCAGCCTCCCGAGTAGCTGGGACTACAGGCAGACGCCACCACACCTGGCTAATTTTTGTATTTTTAGTAGAGATGGAATTTCACACATTGGCCAGGCCGGTATCGAACTCCTGGCCTCAAGTGATCCAACCCCCTCAGCCTCTCAAAGTGCTAGGACTACAGGCATGAGCCACCCTGACCAGCCAATTTGCTAATTTTTTTTTAATAGACAGCTTCGAGGTCCAGTATGAGTTCACAGATTAGGAAACATCACAGGCAAAGAAGAACACTTTGCATTCAAATAGCAGAATGTTTTCATTTTCAAAGAGCTCTCACCTGCCATCTAATCTTGTCTTCCTAGCAGTCCTGAGAGAGAAGCAGAGTGGTTTCCAATCCCACTTTCCAGAAGAAGAGACTGAGGCAGAGGCTTTGCAGATACACAGAGGACATGTGAGGACAGGTGAAGGTCATGATCATTGTCAGCCCCCTCCCCCAACTGGACATTCCCAAATCTGGTGGACTTCCAGCCAGTGGAGACAGAAAGACTGGATCACTCAACTCTGCCATGGGTGCCAGGACCCAATTTTTCCCTGGCTAACTCGGTCACCTCCTGTCTGGGATCTCCAACTACTACGCATCCCAGAAGTCTCAGCTAAAACAGCAATTCAACGGGGAACTTTTTTCTGAGGCTCCAGGATTGGGCCAGGCCCTCTCCATGGCTTTCTGCCCTTCCCCTACTGCAGAACTTAGCACCTGTATGTCACTTTTGGTTAAACATGTGCTTTTCGTATGCTCTCCATGTTATCTGCAGCATCTGCCAAGAATAATAATGAATGGTAAAACCTAATCTCTATTGAGTGTCGATGATGCACTTTTAACGTGACATCTTATTTAATCTTCACTATATCTGCAAGAGTAGAAGCTATTAATAGCCAGTTTTCAGATAAGAAAATCAAAGCACAGTTTCTATAACTTACCCAAGCAGCTAGCTAGGAGGCAGCTCAATTTGAGCCCAGGGAATCAGTTTCCAGAAACCATGTTCTCAATTACTAGAGCAGATACCTCCCCAGAATCTAGTAGGTGGTTAATGAGTCTTTGTGGAATAAATGAACAGAAGGACAAGCAGTGGATGGATACATGGGTGGGTGGGTGGATAGATGGGTGTATGGAAAGATGGGTGGGTGGGCAGGTGGATGAATGAATGGATGGTTGAGTCGGTGAACAGATGGCCGAGTGGGTGGAGAAATGGATGAGTGGGTGAGGGGGTGGAGGGATAGATAAATGGATGCACGGGTGGGTGGATAGATGGGTAGATGAGTGAATGGGTGGATAGATGCATGGGTGAGTGGTTGGATAGATGGGTTGGTGTGTGAGTAGGTGGATGATAGCTGGGTGCATAAGAGAGTGGGTTGGATGGATAGATGGGTGGGTGGGTGGGTGGATAGATGGGTAGGTGGGTGGATGGATGTATGCATGTCTGGATGGATGGATGGATGGATGGATGGACGGATGGATGGAAGGAATGGTGGATGGATGGACGGACAGATTAACAGATGGACTTGAGCATTTATTCAGGGTCCTCCAAAGAATTGAGTGATTTTCTAGGGTGTGTCATCACCTGCAGGTGGATGGGCAAGGGGGCTTGCCTCTGTAATACTTATGATTATGGGTAGTGCTCAGCCTTAGTCGCCACTCTCGGAACACTTTATTGACTAGGAAAGTCAAAACTGGCATTGACAACTAGTGCAAATTACAGCTAAAACTAACAGAAGATGTTGAGTGATGACAGCTGGGCAACAAATAATCAATAATTTGGCTGTGTCATGTTGCTGCCATGCTGGACAGGTAGAGCCACGGGTTCCTTGATCCCGCCATCACATTGAGGATGCTTATCAAGACTTCCCCAACCATGGGGACAGGGATCTTATCAAATACTTGCAGTTCACCCCAAAAGGCTCACCCTCTTCGTTCCACCTGCACATGACCTTCAGCTCAAAGACATTTCCAGTCCTCCAGGTCAGCCCTTCTTCCAGCCTTTGAATTAACTCTGATGACTGCCTGCCCATTAGGTGTCTTCAACTTTCATCACACAGCCTTTTCCAAGGCTTTCCTTCAGTCCAGCCCTCACCAAACGTTGGAACTGTTGTTGACAAAATCCAGAACAAGCTGGCTGGGGGATACAGGTGGGAAGCAGGCTGTAGTAATGCGGAAAAATTCTAAGCAATCTCGAACACATAAAAGAAACTGAACAGGTAAGAGAGAGGCACTCAAGAGAAGAAGTGTGAATTTTGCATAACTGAAGGTGAAGAAGAGCGGGGGGCATGGCAGACCACAAGATAAATATGATATAGACTCCTTTTTAAAAAAGTATAAACACCCACACTTTCCTACAGACAACTGTGCTTCAAATATTGCTAAGGTCTTTACTAAAGGCGAGTCAGAAAAACTGAGTATTTTATGCAATACAGTAAGAAGGCCCATAGGCAAGCATGTTCCTGACACCACCTTCTAGGATAACACCTGGGATTCTGGTTACACCTGTCCTAAAGTTGTCTCTCACTCCTGCTGTTGGAGAGCTACCATGAGAGAAGAACCATAGTGAAGTGGTTAAGAGTGTGCACCCAGCGACCAGCCAGATGGCTTCAAACCATCACTATCTAATACCGAGCAAGTTACAGAATGTTTCTGAGCCTCAACTTTCTCATCTGTAAAATGGGTATGCCGTCATTCATTAATCAAACTCTAGGTAAGCATATACTAAGTACCAGAGACACAAATGAGAATCAGGAACAGGCATGGCCCTGGCCCTCACAGTGACCACAGTCTAGAAGGGGAAGGATGACAAGCACAGAAACAGGAAGCCATAGCTGAGCTAGTGTCTACCACACAGAGGCATCTGGTGTCATGAAAGCAGATAACAGGGGGTTGCTGTGACTGAGTCAGTGTGGCCAGGTGTCCCTGAGGATGTAGTGACTCCACTGTCAGATGAGACCGTGACCAGGTGAAGAGGCAGGGAGAGGGAAAATCTTTCCAGGAAGAAAGAGCAGGATATGCAAAGGCCCTGTGGCAGGAAAAGAGCAAAGGAAGTTCAAGAGCCTGAAAGAGGCCAGAGAGAACAAGTGAACATGTGGATAATCACAGCACCGACCTCATACAGGACTTGCAAGAAATCGAGAGACTGTCTGTAATAGATTCAGTAACGACTAAATAGAAACTATCTCCTAAAAGCACACGATGAGGCTTCTTGGTGGTATTTCCCATGTGAGGCTGCCATGAACTCAGAGGCCAAGTTCAACCTGCCTGTAGACAACCTCCAAGCCAGCTGGACACACATACACCCTCAGGCTCAGGATACCCATGACAGAGTCCTGGATGCTTGAAGTCATGATAAGTATCCAGAATGACACAGAATTCCAGCCAGGCATGGTGGCTCACGCCTGTAATCCCAGCACTTTGGGAGGCCGAGTTGGATCACCTGAGGTCAGGAGTTCCAGACCAGCCTGGCCAACATGGTGAAACTCCCTCTCTACTAAAAATAGAAAAAAATTAGCCGGGTATGGTTGTGGGTGCCTGTAGTCCCAGCTACTCAGGAGGCTGAGGCAGGAGAATCGCTTGAACCTGGGAGGCAGACACTGCAGTGAACCGAGATTGCACCATTGCACTCCAGCCTGGGCAGCAAAAGTGAAACTCCGTCTCAAAAAAGAAAGAAAGAAAAAAAGAATGACACAGACTTTGCTAAAGGGGGAGAAAAGGCTTTCTTCCAAAGCTGGGCCTGGTTTCTACAGAGAGTCTTTCAGATGAAAATTAAGCAACTCTTTGCAAGCAGCTCTTTGCAAGCACCTCAGAGGAGAACCCCTCACCCTGATGAATCAGGCACACAGGTGGATCCAAGACAATTGGCTGCGTGCATGTGAACAAGCCTATGGTGGAAATGCAGTGCTTTATTTCTTAGGGGTAGTTTAATCACCAGGAGGGAGAAGTTTCTAAAGCAGCATACAGAGGTGGCTGTTGCCTGGGTTTTCTGGAAGGGGGAGGTGGTGAGGATAAGGGCTTCCATTTCATCTGCAGGACCCTTGCAGAAGGAGCTGGGGAAAGCTTTGCAGCCATCTGCACACTGTTTGCCATCTTGTCTGGCTGGGCAGCCGAGCTCCAGATGGGGGCGGATGGGATAGCTCTTGCCACCGTATTTGGAGAGAGATGGCAGGGAAGTCAGGCCCCATGAAGAAGACAGGAGCACACAGTTGCTGGAAAGTGCTGCCTAGGCCCCTGGGGCTGAAGTGTCCAACCCCACAGTCTCTAGATGCCACTAAAGCAGCCTGAGAGGATCTTCTCTGTCCATCTCCATCCTGGCACCTACAGACACTTGGAGACAGTCCTTCACATGGGAACTCACAAATGCATACTGATAACCCCCACACGGAACTCTCATACGTAGCAAGTGAAAAGACAGGATGCCAGTTAAACTTGAATTTCAGATAAACAACAAATCATTTTTTAGGGTAAGCAGGTCCCAAATATTGCATGGGATATATTTGCACCAAAAAAAAAAAAAAAAAAAAAGCGTTAATGAGAAACTCAGGTTTAATTGGACGTCCTGTATTTTACCTGGCAAGCCTAACACTGCATAAACACAACCTTGAGCTTGAAACTCAGAGAAGCCACGGCCGTGCTCACACACGTGCACAAACCCATATGCCTTACAGAGTCAAGGGCTGTGATAAGGGGGTCCCCACCCTTGCACACTTCCCTGTCCTCTGTCTGGGCTCAGAGTGAACAGGGGGTCACCTGGCATCCACGTCTAAGCTGGGCTTGGAGGTGTCCTAATGAAGCAGGATGCTGACCTGCACTTCCCCAGCTCAGCGGGGGCTGCAGCCAGGCCTAGCTTCCAGTCTCGGGCCTAGAACACACAGCACAGCCCCAGACCTTGGCAAGAAGCCTTCATCTCAAGGGCCACTGGTCCAGGACCTATTAGAAGCCCCACTTCTTCCCTCTGTTTCTGCTGCCATTGCCCCATCTCTGACCCTGCCACTCAATCACTCTATAAACACAGCAGGTACTAGGGGTGGCTCTGGGCTCGGCACTAAAGACATTGCCCCTGGTAAAGCCACAGTCTAGCAATGACAGTCAACCACGTATCAGCAACAGCCCTGCCCCACACGTGCTGACTGCGCACAAGGCCGGCGCTGTGAACGTGCTCTCAACAGTGATCTCACTGAACCCTCATGGCAGCTCTAGGATGCAGACAGTAGCATCACATTATCTCCATTTTACTTTCGAGGAAACTGAGGCCTGAAGAAGGCAAATGCAGGCCTCGAGATTTGCAGTAACATTGCCAGGAATGTTTGAGAAAGCAAACTTCTCCAGAGTGAGGCAGTCTGCCAGAGCTCAGAAGCCAGAGTCCCTGTTAGCAGGGGGCTGGGGGGACTGTGGGGTGGGGGCAGACAAGCAGGTAGGGGCTGGACCCCCCAGGACACCAGGGTGCAGACTGGTGTGAGTAAAAGAAAGAGAGGCGGTCGTGCCATCATCTGCAGAAGATGATGTCTACAGAGGACAGTACCATGTGAGCCCTTGGGGAGCCGGATGACTGGATGGAATTTTGCACAGGATGCAAATTAAGCACAGATCCCCCTCTGACCTAGACAGCCCACCTCCAGGAACATCTCACAGAAATGCAGGCACAGAGCACCAAGTGATGTGTGCGAGGAAATTCATCAGAACACCGTCTGTGATTGGGAAAAGGCGGAAACCATCCAAAGACGTATGGGTGCAGGGCTGGTTAAACGAAGCGTGGTGCATCCACACGTCAGAATAACTGCTGGGAGAAGAAGGTGGTACCCAGGTTCCAACGTGAGACAATGTCAAATACATGCTGCCTGAAAAGCAGGCTTTCCAAAGAATAAATAGAGCATTATTCATTTTTTTTAAAAAAAGGTTACAATAAACACTTATGTGCAAATACATGTGCTTGCGTGCACAGAGGAAAAAGGTGTGGACAGGAACAGAAAACCAAACTCTGCATGTTCTCACTCATAAGTGGGAGTTGAACAATGAGAACACATGGACACAGGGAGGGGAACAACATATACCAGGGCCCCTTGGGGGTGGGGGACAAGGGGAGGGAGAGTGTTAGGACAAATACCTAATGCATGCGGGGCTTAAAACCTAGATGACGGGTTGATAGGTGCAGCAAACCACCATGGCACATGTATATCTATGTAACAAACCTGCACACTCTGCACTTGTATCCCAGAACTTAAAAAATAAAAATAAAAGAAAAAGATGTGGAGAGGTATACCCCCACCCTCCCCAGTGTTACCTCTCAGAAGCAAGATCAAGAAAAGCAAATCAAGAGGAAGTTTTGTGTTTTGTTTTCTATATAATTTTTTTATTTTTGAAACATAGTCTAGCTCTATTTTGCAGGCTGGAGTCCAGGGACACAATCTCGGCTCATTGCAACCTCCTCCTCACTGCAACCTGCTCCTCACTGCAACCTGCTCCTTCTGGGTTCCAGTGATTCTCTTGCATCAGCCTCCCAAATAACTAGGATTACAGGCCCGCGCCACCAAGCCCGGCTAACTTTTGTATTTTTTGTAGAGACAGGGTTTCACTATTTTGGCCAAGCTGTTTTCAAACTCCTGACCCGCCCGCCTTGGCCTCCAAAAGTGCTGGGATTACAGGTGTGAGCCACCATGCCTGGCCTGCATTGCTTGAATTCTCAGACCACATAGACCCTCTCATCTGGCCCAATTGCAAGAGTCCAAGGCAGGAAAGGAAGAAGGCAGGGACTTACCCCTCCATCAGGACAAAATAGAACAGAGTCAAAAAAGAAAAACATGAATGGATCAGTCAAGAGGGCTGTGCACGTGCCCTCCCAGGCACCTACACCTTGCAACTTCAGCCAACAAGCTTTCAAGCCACAGAGTCCTCCTCCCCAGAGACTAGCAAGGACACAAGCCCTGGCCAGGCCCCTCCAGGAGGATGGTCTGAGGGATAAGGTGGGGTGCAGAGTCAGGGGTGGCAGGAGGAAAGGGGGACACAAAGCCAAGGAAACCAGGGCACCTCATGCTTCCTGAAGGCCCCCAGAACAGGGCGCTACACAAAGCCCCTGTGTATCTGTTTCTATAACAGCCTGAACACAAGGAAAAGGAAAACAAGGAAAATGCACAAAGCCCAGCCTCACCTGGAGCGGGTTAAATAAAGGTCTTTGTCTTCATGTCCTTTGGAATTGGAAATCCAAGCTTCTTCTTCTGTGCCTTTAAGGTCCGGGCTGCTGCCCCACAGCTCCCTTCTCTTCCCTCCTCCTCTTGTCCTGACTTTTTCTTTTTTTTTTTTCTTTTTTTTTTTCTTTTTTTTTGAGATGGAATCTTGCTCTGTTGCCCAGGCTGGAGTACAGTGGCACAATCTCAGCTCACTGCAACCTCCACCTTCTGGGTTCAAGCAATTCTCGTGGCTCAGCTTCCCGAGTAGCTGGGATTATAGGTGTCACCATGTCCAGCTAATTATTGTATTTTTAGTAGAGACAGGTTTTCACCATGTTGGCCAGGCTAGTCTCAAACTCCTGGCCTCAGGCGATCCGCCCACCTCGGCCTCCCAAAGTGCTGGGATTACAAGTGGGAGCCACCATGTCTGGCCCTCTTGTCCTAACTCTGCCATCTCTTTGCAGTCTCCCCTGAGCAGCTTTCCCTGGGCCCGCCCTGCCCCCCTCCAGAGCTGCACTCTCAAACCACCCCCCAATGCCCCCTGGCCCTGGCTTCTGCCCTGGGGCTCTGATCCTCAGCTGGTGAGGTCTAGAGGGTCAGAGGGAGCCAGACTCCCTAGAGAAGCTGAGGCAGGAGCCCTGTGCTGGGCTGTGGGTAACCTGCCCCCTTCTAGCTGGGGCCGAATAGAAGGGGAAAGGCTGCCCCCAGAATACAGGGCTCTCAGAGGCCCTGGGGATCTGTGCTGGCAGTCAGGAGGACTGTCACCTCAGTGCAGTTGCCTGCAAGGAGGGCTGTGCAGGAAGCTGCATGTTGCTCAGAGAACAAAAAAAGGAAATTAAATGCATCATCTGGTTATTAGCATGAACTTTTGAGGCAGACACTTAAATATGCATGCCTAGACATTATAAAACTTGGGGGAAATGTTAATTTCAATAACGCCAGTTCTCATGCTTGCAGAAACCATTCTTTTATCTCCCTTCCTGGTAAGTTGGGGGCTCCATCCCTCAGAGTGGCAGTGCCAAGACAGCTGGCCTCACTGGGTTTTGTAAGCTGTGCAAGGTGAGATCCCAAGCCCTGGCCTGGAGACCCATCTAGGAAAATGTTAGAACAGGGCAACAAGTGGCCATTTCCTCCCTCCTTTCTCTTCCCCATACAAAAATCAGAAAGCACCCTAGCCCAGTGCCCAGCCACAGTGGTGAGGAAACCCCACTCAAAATCCTGGGTTGTGCCCCTGATACCAAAGACCTGCAAAACTGGGACTCACCTGCTGCAACCCAAGCCCAGACTTGTGTACATTTCAAGGGTGGCTGGACTCATGGCCGCCTGGGACGTCAGGTTGGTACAAAGTCCTCTTAACCTAAGACTGTCAGGGTACAAGGATCAGCATTTTCTTTCCTTTCTCTTGAGGGCCAGATGGTAAATAATTCAGCTTTGCAGGCCATAGGTCTCTGTCCCAACTATTCAACTCTCCATTGTAGCAGGAAAGCAGCCACAGACAATATGCACTGAAATGGGTGTGGCTGTGTTCCAATAAAACTTTATTTGTATGAACAGGCAGGGGGCTGGTTCTGGCCTGGGGGCTACAGCCTGCCTCCTCTGCTACAGCTTGATCTCCAAGGACCGATCCGTCTTGTAGACCAGCAGCTGGCACACAGGAGCTGCTCAGATACTTGAAGGAGGAATGGAGAAGGCAAGCAGCCCCCAGTGTGCAGACGTGAGGGTCTCCCAGCAGCACCATCCTTTGCCATCTCATGCCGAGGGACAAAGCCAGAGCAGGGCCCTCCACCAAGGCTGGGTTCTCCTCCAAGGAAATGTGATAACAAGACAGAAAGCATCGTGGAAGGATAGGGGCTTTGGAGTCCCACAAACCACAGTTTGCAAGACCAGGAGCATCCTGCACTTCCTTGCACACATCCTGGGTGGGTGCTGGAGCATCTAGACTTAGAGTGAATCTTCTCCCCCTCCTCCCCCAACTGGCCTCCATTACACTTCCAGCAACAATGTGGTGTATGTACACAGTGGAATACTATTCAGCCTTCAAAAAGAAGGAAATCCTGCCATTTGAGACCACATGGATGAGCCTGGAGGATATTATGTTAAGTGAAATAGGCCAGGCACAGAACGACAAATACCACATGATCTCACTTATATGTGGAATCTAAAAAAGTTGAACTCGGCCAGGCATGGTGGCTCATGCCTGTAATCCCAGCACTTTGGGAGGCTGAGGCCGGCAGATTGCTTGAGCCCAGGAGTTCGAGACCAGCCTGCATAACATAGCAAGACCCCATCTCTACATAAAAATACAAAAATTAGTGGAGCGTGGTGGTGCATGCCTGTACTCCCAGATACTCAGGAGGCCGAGGTAGAAGGATTGATTGAGCTTGGGAGGTCAAGGCTGCAGTGAGCCAAGATCACACCCCTGCACTACAGCCTGGGCAATAGAATGAGATTGTCTCAAAAAAAAAAAAAAAAAAAAAAAAAAAAAAGAAAAAGAAAAAGAAAAGAAAAAAGTTGAATTCACAGAAGCAGAGTAGAATGATGGTTGCCAGGGTGGGGAAGTGGGCAGATGCCAAAGGACACAGAATGTCATTTAGAAGAATAAGTTCAGGAGATCCATGGGACAACATGGTACCTACAGTTAATAACAACATATCATACACTTGGAAATCACTAGAGTAGATTTTTTAAGTGTTCTCACCACAAAAAAATAAGTCTGGGAGGTGATATGTTATTTAGCTTGATTTAGCCATTTCGTAATGTATACATACTTCAATCACATCATGTTATATACCCTCTTGTACATAATTTTTGTCAATTCAATAAATTCAACAACTCCAAAAAACATGACATTCTCTTTACAAAAATAATTAAAAATAAAATTCAGAATTCTATTGTATTTATTTATTTATTTTTGAAACAGAGTCTCGCTCTGTCACCCAGGCTGGCTGAAGTGCAGTGGTGCGATCTCAGCTGACTGCAACCTCTCTCTCCCAGTTTGAAACGATTCTCCTGCCGCAGCCTCCCAAGTAGCTGGGATTAGAGGTGTGTGCCATCACACCTGGCTAATTTCTGTATTTTTAGTAGAGACAGTTTCGCCATGTTGGCCAGGCTGGTCTCGAACTCCTGACCTTAGGTGATCTTCCAGCCTCGACCTGCCAAAGTGCTGGGATTACAAGTGTGAGCCACTGTGCCTGGACAGAATATAAAAGATTGTTTAATTCAACTAAAACATTAAAACATAGATTATTTCTATAAGTGGTAATTGTTATAGCATGTTTTGGTCAAAATAGTCTCCTTACCCATCCACAATTAAATGGTTAATTGACATCTGATTGGATTTTGATAAAGTTTTCAAATCATGACTGACTTTTCCAATGTACGGTAAAATGTGTTTGAAAATATTTCATAAAAATTAATATTTAAAAATGGTCAGGCATGGTGGCTCATGCCTGTAATCCCAGCACTTTGGGAGGCCAAGGTGGGCCGATCACTTGAGGTCAGGAGTTTCAGACTAGCCTGGCCAAACCTCATCTCTACTAAAAATACGAAAGTTAGTCGGGCATGGTGGCATGCACCTGCATTCCCAGCTACTTGGGAGGCTGAGGCAGGAGAATTGCTTGAACCTGGGAGGTGGGTTCCCCAGGCTTAGAGCAAAACCCCCATCCTGTCTGTCTCCACTCTCATCCCAGGCAATCGCAGTCATTTCCATAGCCTCAACCACTGTCTACCCGGGATGCCTCCCAAGACAGGGTCTCCAGCCCAAACTTGGCTTCCTAGCCCCAGACCCATCTGTCCTGGCACACGTTGCCCCCTGGGTCCCAAGCAACCTCAGCCAATGAGTCCAACGTCAACTTCCTATCCTTGCCTGACACTGTCAGCCCTGAGATCAGACTTGACCATTCACCTCCAGTACCTGATAGGTCCATCAGTCCTTTGGAACATATCCCACGAACATTCCCCAAACCAGGCACCGGACTCTACACATCAACATCGTCATGTGAGTCACCAGCATCACTGGCAGGGACCACTGACCCAGCCTCCAACTCATCTCCTTCCTGTCCCTTGAGTTCTGTGTCACATTCTAGAGGCCACAAGAAGAAAAATGACCACCTTAATGAAATTAAAAGAATTGAGAAGACATTTCCCTATGGTCCAAAGTCTTTCCAACTGAGAAACACATATCAAGATCCAGCCTGCCAGCCCTGAGGTTAAATGTTCCTGAAATAATTAAAGCCCAGGGCAACACAGCCCCCACTCCACAAGTACTCCCAGCACAGTAAGACTTGCTTCTCTGGAGGGGCTTGAAATGTCCAGTGCATACCCTGCCCCTCTCTGTCGTAGCTAACAGGAATGTGCTCCGTGTCTTCTTCCTGTTCAAAGGACCGTCCACCAACCTGCGCAGGCAGCACTTTCGGCTGGGCGGGGATGCGAGAACTTCCCACCATTTCCCACTTATGCACTGCATTCCTCAGGAGACTGCCTCACAAATTACAAGAGCGCCACGGCAGACACACCACGTTCCAGCGGGTGGCCATGTCTTCATGTCAGCTTGAAAGATCATCGCCAGGGAAATATCTATATCTCGGCAGAGAGAGCTTCAGCCTGTGTAGTCCAGCTGTGCTCAAATGGAAATCCAGAAACCCAGATGTTGGTCCAAACACCCTGTCTTGGACAGCTGGCTCTTCATGTCCCCAGCATGGGAGTGAACTGGGTGGCCACCTGCCCTGCCTGCCCACATCCCTGCTTCCTGGAATCCTGGACACTGAGAACCAGGGGGATGTGGTGGGGAACAGGCAAGTCTTGTGCAGAAAGCCAAGATGCCACCCAAATCCACTCTGCAGTCTAGGTGGGTGATATTCTGGTCTGCACCACACCAGTGCATGAGGGGATGCAGGATGGAGTCTAGACAAGCCAAATGTAAAAAGATATTGCCCAAGTATTTTGTGCTTTGTCTGTGTTACAATGCTATGCCCAGCCCAGCGTGGTGGCTCACACCTGTGTTCTCAGCACCTTGGGAGGCCGAGGCAGGCGGATCACCTTAGGTCAGGAGTTTGAGATCAGCCTGGCCAATGTGGTGAAACCCCATCTCTACTAAGAATACAAAAATTAGCCGGGTGTGGTGGTGGGCACCTGTAATCCCAGCTACTCGGGAGGCTGAGGCAGGAGAATCACTTCAGCCCAGGAGGTGGAGGTTGCAGTGAGCGGAGATCTTGCCACTGCACTCCAGCCTGGGCAACAGAGTAAGACTCTGTCTTAAAAAAAAAAAAATGCTATGCCCAGCATTTTTCATGTACTGTCTTATTATCTCAGTAAATCCCATATAATCTTCCTATGAAAGTGTATCTCATTTATCTCCATTTTATAGATGAGAAACCTGAGGCCCCTGGAGTAGTATTAATTGTCCAAGACTGCATTGCTGATAAAGGGTATAGCAGGGACCTAAGCTCGACACTCTCACCCTCAAACATTTCCACAAGTGTAGACCAATGGCTCTCAACTGGGGTGGTTTTGCTCACGTACCACTCCCTTGCTCCATGGCATTTGAAACCGTCTGGAGACATCTGGGGTAGCCATAGCTGGGAGGGTAGAATGGCACCTAGAGGATGGAGACCAGAGATGCTGCTAACCATCCTACAAAACACGGGATGGCCCCAACACCAGCACCACGAATGGTCTGACCCCAAGTGTTGTGACTGTGGCAAAGCTGAGAAACCCAGGTTTCTCCTCAGCAAGAAGGAAAATCCCTGCAACGTTGATGCACCTCTACAGGAGCCCCAGGCTGACAATAACCTTCCTCATCTGGTTTCAACCCTGGATGCTTTTACCTGGTGCGTCCATCAGGGATTTCAGGGACTCCAACGAATTATTACCCTTGAATGCTCGGTTCAGCCTGACAACCCAGAAATCTCTGCCTAGGTGCCTGGTCTTGAGGAAGGCTCAGCAAGTGGTTGAGGTTGATAACCAAATACCTAGGAGGGACTTTTCTCTCCCTCCAGGAGGAGCTGTGGGTCAGACACCCTGGGATCATTCACAAGGGGTCAATAAAGGCTTGGGGAGGGCCAAGTTTTCTAGGCCTTCTCAGAGGGGCGGGTGTTTATGGATACACAAGAAGCCTGTGAAACTTCTGATATTGGCAGGAAACCAATGCCCCCCACCCTCCACCCCCAAAACGTCCCCACCATAAACACTTGCCCTGCAACAGGACTTGGCACTCAGGGGCTCCTGGGGGCCCGATTTATCTGCTAAAACATCCTCTAGCCACCAACGAATAAAGCAACCCCTTGCCACCCAACCACAAGAGCACAGCCTGGGAGCCACTCCAAGGGACATCCAGTCACATTAAAACCTCAGCCATCCAGAGCACCAGGCCTGGTGATGAGAAAGAACATTTTATCCTTAAAAGCATCTGAATGCCCATGCTGCTTCTTGCAGAGAACAGTCCAAAATAATCTGCTATTAAAGAACGAGGATGGTTTTGACATTTTTACCAAGCTAATGGTCTACGCAGACAAAATCTCATAAAAGGGCACTCTGTTCTTCTTGATCCACTCAGACATGGCCTGTGAGTGAAGAAATGGGCTCTCTTCCTCAAAGAAATCACTGCTGATCCTCGTACCAGCCTGACACTGCTTCATGGGTTCTTCAAACAGAGTATTCCCATAGAAACTAAAAAGGAAGAGGAATGTGTCTGGCGGGCATTGTGGGCAGCAGTGGGCTTTGGGCCAAATTTTAAGTTTGAAAACCAAGATTCCCTCTTTTCGAGGGGCCGCCGGACTGAGCAGATACAGACACCGTGAAAAGAGGGTGCCATGTTCAGATTCAGGAAACAAGGATGGTTTCTGTTCAGTTCCTCCATCATCCTTCAGGTCATGCGATTCCCATTTCCCTCTGTGGACCAAACAATTCAGTGGGGTTTCTGCCTTTTAAATATTTCGTTATCAACATATCATCCTTTTAGCCTCCAGAAGCATTTTAACATGGAGATTCTGGCTTAAGACTCTTGTGGGTCTGTCTCTCTCTCTCTCTCTCTCTTTTCCTTGAAACAGCGTCTTACTTTGTCACCCAGGCTGGAGGGCAGTGGCATGATCACAGCTCACTGCAGCCCGACTTTCCAGGCTCTAGCAATCCTCCCACCTCAGCCTCCAAAGTACTTGGGACTACAGGTACATACACCACCATACCAGGCTTTTTTTTTTTTTTTTTTTTTTGGTAGATATGAGGCTTCACCTCGTTGCCCAGGCTGGTCTTAAACTCCTGGGCTCAAGCGATCCCCGCCTTCCCCCTCTCAAAGTGCTGGGATTATTTGCTTGAGCCACCACGCCCGGCCAAGGACCTTGTCTCTTGTGATGCACCCCAGAACAAAACATCACTGCAAAAACACACCAAGGCATGAGTTTCAGTCCTAAGTCCCATTTATCCACCATACACTATGTGCCAGGCACAACGCTAAGTGCTTCTATGGACGAGCTTCCCTTAATCTCAGCAGTAACAACCCCAGGCAATGGGGCCTGTTGACCGATCCATTTGCCACTGAAGACAGTAAGGCTCAGAGAGGGTAATTGGCTTGTGCCATGTCAGCCAGCTAAGGAGGGGCAGAACCAGGACGCGAACCCCAGACACCTGGCTCCAGACTCGCGTTCCCAAGGTCCCACTACCTTTTGTCAATCCACTGCATTCTAGTATCCTGGTCTTTGGCAGAGTCCACGTAAAAGAAGGAGGTAGAGGGAGTGAGAGGTACTTCACGCAATAAAGTTTCCTGGTGTTACACTGCCACCGTAATTGTGTCCCCGACCAGGACCTCTCCCTTCTCATCCTTTCCGTGATAGGCCCTAGAAAACCTTCCAGAGAACTGTCCTCCTTCTCCCGGGATCTCAGAGAAAATTCACCTGAGTTCAGTGTCCAGGTGACCCAAGCTCTGAATGCAGTAACGTGCACGGGGAGATGAGGATGTCACCATGAGCAACCCCAAGACTGGGCAGGGGGGGCTCTGATGCAGCCCACGGCGAGGAGGGCTGCCCGTGCTGCCTAAATGGGTTCAGAAAGAAAGCCGCCCTCTCGCCCATGTGGGGTTCATTAACCACGAATCCAATTATTCGGACAAGCTCAGCTAAGTAAATGGTCAAACATAAAAACATATGGAAGGAAAAAAGAAGTCAACCCCATTATCCATCAAAAACCATCAAGGTGGCGGCCCTCACTGAGGGGTACAGCTCTCCAGCGGGCCCTCATCTGCCCTCCAAACCCACGTGCCTCCCCAGTGGAAGGCCAGCAAAACCACGCTGGAAGAGTTGGGGTAGGAAAGCAGAAAGAGAACCCCAGGAGGCCAGGCTGGCCACGGAGCCCCATCCCACACACACAGGCCCGGTGGCTCAGGGGCCCAGGTGTGCAGGACACCGGGAGCTCATAGGGACAGCGCCCCGCGGGATGCAAGGAACTATGCCTCTCTGGCCCTCTCTGTAGGGATGGAAAGAGAAGAGCGATTTCTGGGATGGAAGCCATCTGCCTCCTCTCAACTCTCGCTGCCCAACCAGAAAGGGAAGAAAAACAGGAAGATGCGGGACAGGTGAGGAGCTGGGTGAGCGCCGCCAGCCCGCAGCCCAGCAGAGCAGGGCTTGGCCAAGCCTGGCGCCAGGGACTTCCCCCCTGCCCCCACCACAGGCCCCTCGCCAGGTGAGAGGCACCGACAGAGTCCCAGACAGATGCCCCAGACAGGATGCCCAGGGCAACCCCCGCCCCTTCCCCTGCTGGGGGCCCCCAGGACGCGCCCCCCCCTCCCATTTTGGCTAGCCGCAGAGTCCAGCGGGTCTCTGGGACGGCGTGGGAGAATCAGGAAGTCGAAGCCACACAGCCAAGAAGGGGCAGCTGGCGTCTCGGAGGCCGTCACGAGCTGTCACTCCGCGCCCGCCGGAGTTGCCGCTCAGTTACCAACTTCAACCCGGAGCCGGCTACGGAGCCTCCCGCCGCCCCTACCCCGCGTCCCCATCACCCCCGCGCCCCCGGCACCCCCGGACCCCCGCGCCCGCGTCACTTACTCCTCTGCCGTCGCCACCTGTCTGGGTGCCGGTCTCCTCCCTGCCCGGCCGCGGCGCGTCCTCCCCGTCCTCGCAGTCGCCGGGCTGTGCGCTTCCCCCCTCCAGCAACAGCCGCAGCCTCTTCTCCTCGGGAGGGACGTCGTCCTCCTCCCTCCTGGGAGGGCCATCCCTGCCTCGGGGCTTGCCAGTGGTTTCGGAGCTGCGGGAAGGGCTGGCAGTGGCTCCGGGGGCTCTGCCTGCACTTGGGGAAGAGGAAGGACCTGTCGCGAGCGGCCTCTCGGCGGAGCTGGGGCGTCTGAGCGCGGGCTCGGTGGGTGCGCGCGGCGCGGAGCTGGGCATCGGCGCCGGCGCGGGCTCCTCCGCGGGCCGCTCCTCGCTCTCTGGCGCCCTCTGCTGGCCTGGCGCGCACCGCGGACACGCAAGGCCCGGGCCTGCGCCGCGCTCACCTGTCCCGGCCCAGGTGCTCGCTGTCCCTTGCCCGTGGCCAGGCCCGCTCTGGCCAGGCCCTGCACCTCCTCCCTGCCCCAGCCAGTTTGCACCCCGATGGTCTCCCTGCCCAAGGAGGAGAGAAGAGAAGGGAAGCCCCGAGAGGGTGGACATCGGCCACAGCCACCTTGTCTTTGCTCTTACCCTGTGTCTTGCATGATTTGGAGGTGGTGGGAAACCCGAGGTTGCTCAAAACTCGTGGAGAATTCCGCCTGCAGGATGACATGAATGCACCTTCGCATTGCCTACCAACAGATCTTTTCTGAGCATCACTGTGGACCAGGCGTGGTGATAGGGGAGGGGACATTGTGGTGAACATGACAGGCATGGCCTTCACCCCGTGGGGCTCAGCGCTGGGTCAGAAGGCATTGAGAATGGACATTGTCAATTGGGCCAAAGGAGGCCAAGGAGAAGAGCGGGGGGCATGGGAACTGAGAAAGACAGGAGGCTCAGCAGGTCTTGGAGCTGGGAGAGGGACAGCAGCAGCGGCTGTTCCAAAGGAAGCAACAGCTGAGAGAGGTCTCAGAGAGTTGTTCTCAGCCCAGTGGAGCATGTTCGGGCAGAGGGAACAGCGTGTGCAAAAGCCCAGAGGCTGGGAAAGAAGCAGAAAGAGGACTGTGGGGCTGGAGCGTGGAGGGCGAGGGGTGAGAGGTGTGGTGGGCAGAGAGATTGCCTGGGAGCCAGCAGTGCAGGGACAAAGGAGATAGGGGATCCTTGCAGGCCCCCAGCCAGGTCTCAGGCACAGAGATAATGCAGGTGGGCAAAGAGAGGAAATGTGGAGAAATATTTTGGAGGCATGCCCTAATGAATGAGCCCACAATGCACTCTTAGTGTCAGTGTGCAGCTCCTTCCTTGGCTGTGTGATCAGCTGAACCCGGGGGTATTTTCTGGACATGGAGGTGCTACACCAAGAGTCCAGGACAGGCTAAGTGAGTACCAGCAGCTCCTGGCCTACCTCAAAAGCAGGAGAGACAGGGGAGACTGGGGAGGCCGGGGAGGAAGGGGAAGCCAGGAAGGCAGGAGAGGCCAGGGAAGCAGAGGAGGCCAGGGAGGCAGTGGAAGCAGGAGAGGCTGGGGAGGCTGTGTCCTTTCCATGATTCTGCCCGGGATCTTAGGCCCCTGAACTCCCTGAGCTTCTCCACCCCAAGCGCTGGAACCATGTTGCACAACGGTCTCTCCACTAAGCTCCTGATGGCGGCCCCTACCCTGCTGTGCTCCCTATTTCAACCCTAAAAGCTCTCACAGTGGGCAGCACATAGTAGGTGCTCAGGAAACACTGGTGGGAGAGCACATGGGTCTGCTCAGCACCTTCCTCTCTCCTCCAGCTCTCCCCTGCTACGAAATAATTCTGATAACGACACATGGGCTTTGAGACCCTCTTCTATTACTTTCCATATGCTAATCCATCTATACTTCACAGCAGCCCTGGGGGTGGGTGCTATTAGGATGTCCATTTTACAGAGGAGAGACTGAGGTATAAAGAGGGTAATGACATAGGCACAGTACAGAGGCCGGGGCCAAGTGATCGCAGCACTCAATCCCCAAAGGCAATGTGGACGCAGTTACCATAAAAGACAGCAGAGTCAAAGCTGCAACCAGAATAGCCTGACTCGCAGAGAACTATGGTGCCAGCTGATCGTGGCATTCCTAGAAGTGAAATAGATAAGAAGCCTGCCACATTTTTACTTGATCTGTGTTTGCAGAAGTGTTCTAGGTCAGGTGAGTAGAAGTCTAATCTGAATCATAATAACAGAGTCACAGTCCTCAGTCAATTCCCAGACATAAGCCAGTTCACAGACCCGGAGTCCCTTGTCTGAATGGGAAGCCAGGTCCCCTCCAGAAAGGACTCTGCTCCACTGCCAAAAATTTATACTGTCAATTTTTCTCCCAGCCTGCCCCCGAAGGAATACACAGCCTTTTACCAGGATGACTGAACAGGGGAAAAGGAACTGATGAGATCTGTGCAGGATCACTGGACACAGGCTCTGAACTGGCACTAGGGCGAGACTAGGGTCTACCAGTCAGAATAGGCATTTTGGAGGTCAGGTGAATGTTGATGAAAGTTCATGTCATGATAGATCCATTGAGTCCCCAAATCCATCCTCTGGTTATATACAAAGTGGCTTTGCTGAGATTCAAATTCAGGGCATCCAACATAGAGGCTGTGCTCTTACTCATGAAACATTCTGACACTAGTAACCAATTTAAAAATGCAAACACCTCCTGGGGCTAGCCAGAGTCCTCCAAACAGTCACGTAAATTGGTTCTGTCAAGGATTTCCTCCTACACCCTGCTGAGAGCCAGTTGCAAGGAGAGGCTAGGGAAGGGCATTGGGTAACTTTGTTTCTAAAAGCTCTTTTGGATGAAGACGTTTGGGAAAAGAAGCAAATAGAGTCCAGCAGAAGAGGTAAGAAAGTAAGTTTATGTTTGGCCAGGCACGGTGGCTCACACCTGTAATCCCAGGACTTTGGGAGGCCGAGGTGGGCAGATCACGAGGTCAAGAGATCGGACCATCCTGGCTAACATGGTGAAGCCCCGTCTCTACTAAAAATTCAAAAATGAGCGGACCAAGATGGCACACGCCTGTAGTCCCAGGTCCCAGCTACTCGGGAGCCTGAGGCAGGAGAATCACTTGAACCCAGGAGTCAGAGGTTGCAGTGGGCCGAGATCATGCCACTGCATTCCAGCCCGGCGACAGAACGAGACTCTGTCTCATAAAACAAACCAAGACAAACAAACAAACAAAAAAGCAAGCTTATTTTTAAGCCTCAAGAAGTGTAGTGGTTTAGGGGTTCTGCAAATACGGCCCCAATCAGACTACAAGATGTTGTGGCAGCAACACTTACACCCAGTCACTCCTGGCTGGCTGAACCACTTTTCAAAACACCCTTGCACAGCTGTGCAGAGCGCCTGGCACCACTGGCAGCCGGCAGAGCCATAACTCACACTGTCACCACTCCCCTCAAACCCTTTCAGTAAGCACATTCTTTATTTTTTTTTTTTTGAGACGGAGTCTTGCTCTGTCATCCAGGCTGGAGTGCAGTGGCGCAATCTTGGCTCACTGCAAGCTCCGCCTCCCAGGTTCATGCCGTTCTCCTGCCTCAGCCTCCCAAGTAGCTGGGACTACAGGCGCCCGCCACCATGCCCGGCTAATTTTTTGTATTTTTAGTAGAGACGGGGTTTCACCGTGTCAGCCAGGATGGCCTCAATTTCCTGACCTTGTGATCTGCCCGCCTTGGCCTCCCAAAGTGCTGGGATTACAGGCGTGAGCCACCGCGCCCGGCCTGGTAAGCACTTTTAATCAATGCAACAGGAATAAACATTTGCTGCAGAGCGGCCATGTGCAGGGAGGAACACGGTTCCACTCAGGCTCAGAAAGCAAAACCTCCTGGCTGTTTGCATCTGTGCGAGAGCTTGCAGGAAAAGCCCTCTGTGTGGCTGCCAGCCTCACACACTCCCCCGAAGGGATGAGTTTCTCTTTCCATGTTAATCTATGCCCTGACGTGCCATCTGTCAACCACCATACCATTCTCAGTTGACCTTTCAAAGCATCTTTGCCCTTTGGTCACCAGCCCTGCCCTGCAAGCCCCCAGGTGACATTGAACTTAAACGAGAGAGAAAACAGGTTTCGGGGTGGATTTCAGTTCAGCATCTTGGAATCTCTGTGTGGACATGAAATCTGTCTCCCCAGCCATGGGCTGCATCCTTGTTTGTCATCTGGTTTTGTTCTTGGGGACTTGGAAACTCGTGGGCACATTTGCAATTTGTCAAGAAGCTGCACGGCCCTTCCAACAAAAGCAAGCAATAGGAACAGAAGCCCAAGGCTTCAGATCAAGGTGCGACTTAAAGCAGCCTCAGTGTAAAAGCAAACAGGAGTCAGAGGGATGCCTAAGGCGGAGTCTAGTCTCCAGGGCAGCTATAAGGCAAAGAGAAAGAGAGAGAGATAGACAGAGACAGACACAGAGACAGAAAGACAGAGAGAGATGGGAGGAGACATGAGGCACCCAGGCCTCTGCATCAAAATCCCTACAAGAGGGGCTTCCTAAAAATGCAGGAGGCTGAGGTGGGCGCAAACAGAAGTTCAAGACTAGCTTGGGCAACATAGCAAGACCCTGTCTTTACAAAAAATACAAAAATCAGCCAGGTGTGGTGGTGCATGCCTGTGGTCCCAGCTACCCAGGAGGCTGAGGTGAGAGGATGGCTTGAGCCCAGGAGGTAGAGGCTGCTGTGAACAGAGATAGCACCACTGCTCTCCAGCCTGAGCCACAGGTGAGACTTCATCTCAAAAAAATTTAAAAAAAATTTTTAAAAAGGATCACTCTGGCTATTTGAATGGATGATAAGAAGGTAAGAGCAGAAGCAAGGAGACCAGCAGTGAGATTCTGCAGGCGGGAGTCCACAGTGGCTCAGACCAGGCTGGCACTGAAGACCTGCTAGATTCTATATATATTTTGATGATGAAGCAACTCACTGACTCTTGAAGAGTGGACTCTAGGAGACTGTATTTTTAACAAGCTCTCAGAGGATTCTAATGCAGGTTGAAGTTGAAGAACTCCTGATTTAGGTGAAGCTTCTGTTTCATCCTAGGGGAAGTACGAACTGACTTTTCTCCAAGCCACCTCAAAAGAGGCGCTAGACAAGATGTGCTCCAATGTCTGAACATGTGTGCACAGCTCTAGAGCCGACCTCAGGACACTCAGTCAAAGGTTAGGAGTACAACAGTGAACAACCACCATCCTCTTTTCAATGATCTTTGCATTTAATGAGAGAAATAAAAAGCAAAAAGAAAAATCATTTTCAACTCAGAATGGTAGGAGTTATGGTGACAGTATGCCTGGGGCAATGGGAGCACAAAGAAGGGGCACCCAATCGGCCAGGTGCAGTTGTTCATGCCTGTAATCCCAGCACTTTGGGAGGCCAAGGTAGGTGGATCACTTGAGGCCAGGAGTTCGAAAACAGCGTGGCCAACATGGTGAAATCCTGTCTTTACTAAAAATACAAAAAGATTAGCCGGGTGTTGTGGCGGGCACCTGTAATTCCAGATACTCAGAAGGCTGAGGTGGGAGAATTGCTTGAACCCGGGAGGCGGAGATTGCAGTGAGCCAAGATCGTGCCACTGCACTCCAGGCTGGATGGCCAGAGTGAGACTCCGTCAAAAAAAAAAAAAAAAGCCAGGAGATGGGTGGGCATGCAATCTCTATCAGGTGGTGAGAAATCCTTCTCCACTACAGGACTCCTCAGTTGAAGACTAGAAAATGGTAGGGATTAGCCAGATCGATAGGAGAGGTGTGGAAGATCATTCCCAGCAGAGGGAAGAGCATGTGCAAAAATCGAGACATGAGAGGGTGAGAAGCTGAGAGATGTTCATATAATTGTAAAAAGTGACTAATGTAGAGGTAAGTTGGAGCCAAATCTTAAAGGCTCTTTGTCGTGTTTATCCTGTAGACAAAGGGAGACAGTAGATGTTTTTATGCAGGGGAGTAATGATCCACTTTGTGCTATAAAAAGAGCAGCCTGGCTGGAGGAGAGTGGGACGTGAGTAGACCAGGTAGGAAGTTGCAATACACCAAGTGAGACAGGATGGTTGGCTGGACCAAGGCTGTGGCAGTGAGGATGGAGAGGAGACAGTAGACTAACTTGACTGAGAGAGAGGGAGGAATGAAGAATGAGGCCCAGGTGTTTTGGAAGCTGGGTGAATGGTGGTGTGAATCTGACGTGGTGAGCCCTGGCAGAAGAGGAAATCAGGAGAGGAAAGGTAAGATGAGGTCAATGCAAGACAGACAGCCAAGTGGAGATAACAACTGGGCAGTCGGATTCATCAGCCTGGAGTTATACAGAGAGCTCTGGAATGGAAATAAAGAGGAAAGGACTTTGGGAATAGGTGAATCCTCCCAGAATAATGTGTAGAGAAAGGAGAATAGAACACAGGGGACAGAAAAAGGGAAGCGATTTGTTATTAAAACCAAACATCCATCAGACATCTTCCAATACAACACTTGTTAGAGGTTTCCTCAGTGTGAGTTATTCAGGACCAGAGCTAAAGACCATATTCCCAATAAAATCACTGCTGGGAAGGTCTTCATGAAAACATTTAATGCTGCTTTTAAAACAACAACAACAACAACAAAAAAAAGGCTTTAGCTACTGCACAGACCCTGGAGCAATTTTTCGGCAAGAGTCTATCAAACACAAATCTGATCTGACTCAAGGAGGTGTCATATCAAGTGTAAAAATCCAATTCCAATGTCCATAAGAGCCTTTCTGCCAGGTACAAGACCCTAATCCAGTTGAGTGATTTTCTATTGATTAATAGGCTGGGAATACACAGGTTGTTGGTTTTTGAGATTTCCCTCCCTGTGCCTTCATGCCAGCTGTGAAAGAGTCAAAAGCCTCCTAACTGTCAAAATAAAAATGACACTTGGTCACAGAGGAAACAGATTATAGGTCAATCACATTGATGACTTTTTAACTATGAGAAGCCATTAATGTTACTGAATAAGCAAATCTGTTTGCATAACCAGATTTTTATAGGCTACTGGGAATAAAGGTTTTCCTAAGTGGGTGATTAGTACAACGATAGCATTTGGGTCTCTGATGGAACAGCTCTGATGAGGAAATGTTCCTTTAATTATGTGGAAGGCCAATTACCACGTTTAGCCACATTGTTTTGCAGATTGCGTATAATTTCACCATTTCCATAGCTTCAGCACTATAATTCTGGAGAAAATTCAGGCACCAAGGAGACACTTGAGGCACATTATGCTGGAAACAAAGACGTTTTAGCAAATTCAATTTAAGCTTCAACATTAAAGTTATTTTGTTGAATAAAACATAATGCAATAATGAGCTTGTGTATGTCAACTGTATAGTGGAGGTAATAATAGCTAGAGAGAGCATGTCCCGTCTCTTCTTTTTAATGCTCATTCGAGTAATACATAATGCTATAGAGAGAACCTTTCTCTAATATGTGCTTTATCTCAGGCTAAGCGTGTTTTGTGCAACTGTGCTTCAAGAAAAAAAAAAGGTAAAGGATCTAATTTGGGAGCCATTCACAATAGTGCTACCACTTGCTTTTTTTTTTTTTTTTTTTTTTTGAGACGGAGTCTCGTTCTGTCGCCCAGGCGGGAGTGCTGTGACGCGATCTCCGCTCACTGCAAGCTCCGCCTTCCGGGTTCACACCATTCTCCTGCCTCAGCCTCCCGAGTAGCTGGGACTACAGGCGCCCGCCACTGCGTCCAGCTAATTTTTTGTATTTTTAGTAGAGACGGGGTTTCACCGTGGTCTCGATCTCCTGACCTCGTGATCCGCCCGCCTCGGCCTCCCAAAGTGCTGGGATTACAGGCGTGAGCCACCACGCCCAGCCCACTTGCTTTTTTTTATACTCTGAGATTTCTTATTCCCAGTGCCTACCAGGAATAGACTTTCTGGAGAAGCTCAGATTAATCACTCCTTATGAGAGGTGAAAGCGTGCTGGCAGCCCTCACAGCCCTCGCTCACTCTCGGCACCTCCTCTGCCTGGGGTCCCACTTTGGTGGCACTAGAGGAGCCCTTCAGCCCACAGCTGCATGGTGGGAGCCCCTTTCTGGGCTGGCCAAGGTAGGAGCTGGCTCCCTCAGCTTGCAGGGAGGTGTGGAAGGAGAGACATGAGCCAGAACCGGGGCTATGTGTGCTGCTTGCCTGCCTGCTGGAGTTCTGGGTGGGCATGGGCTTGGCAGCCCCTCGCTAGGAGCTGCCGGGCCGGCCTTGCCAGCCCAGGCAGTGAGGGGCTTAGCACCTGGGCCAGCAGCTGCTGTGCTCGACTTCTCACCAGGCCTTAGCTGCCTCCCCGTGTGCCAGGGCTTGGGACCTGCAGCCCACCATTCCTTAGCCTTCCTGCTCCATGGGCTCCTGAGTGGCCCAAGCCCCCCCGACGAGCACCGCCCCCTGCTCCACGGCACCCAGTCCCATCAACCACCCAAGGGCTGAGGAGTGTGGGCGCACGGAGAGGGACTGGCAGGCAGCTCCACCTGCGGCTCCTGTGTGGGATCCACTGGGTGAAGCCAGCTGGGCTCCTGAGTCTGGTGGGGACTTGGAGAACATTTATGTCTAGCTAAGGGATTGTAAATACACCAATTGGCACTCTGTATCTAGCTCAAGGTTTGTAAACACACCAATCAGCACCTTGTGTCTAGCTCAGGGTTTGTGAATGCACCAATCGACACTCTGTATCTAGTTACTATGGTGGGGACTTGGAAAACCTTTCTGTGGACACTCTGTATGTAGCTTATCTAGTGGGGACGTGGGGAGCCTTTGTGTCTAGCTCAGGGATTGTAAACGCACCAATCAGCACCCTGTCAAAACAGACCACTCAGGCTCTCTGTAAAATGGACCAATCAGCAGGATGTGGGTGGGGCCAGGTAAGAGAATAAAAGCAGGTTGCCCGAGCCAGCAGTGGCAACCCGCTGGGGTCCCCTTCCACACTGTGGAAGCTTTGTTCTTTTGCTCTTTGCAATAAATCTTGTTGCTGCTCACTGTTTGGGTCCACACTGCCTTTATGAGCTGTAACACTCACTGATAAGGTGTGCAGCTTCACTCCTGAAGCCAGCAAGACCGTGAACCCACTGGGAGACATGAACAACTCCAGACGTGCAGCCTTAAGAGCTGTAACACTCACCATGAAGGTCTGTAGCTTCACTCCTGAGCCAGCGAGACCACGAACCCCACCAGAAGGAAGAAGCTTCGAACACATCCGAACATCAGAAGGAACAAACTCCAGACACACGACCTTTAAGAACTGTAACACTCACCAGGAGGGTCCACGGCTTCATTCTTGAAGTCAGTGAGACCAAGAACCCACCAATTCCAGGCACACTTATACACTTGGCACTGGGAGGTCTGTATGGAGCAAGTGAAGAAATCAGCAGAGTGAAGATAGAGGGAGAACAACATGATGGGGGAAAGGCAAAGTTACTGCCATGTTGGTTTCAATTGTGCCACTCATGAGTGAGACCCATGACCTCCTCTCTCTAGGACTCTGTTGTTCTTATCTGTAGAGTGGAGGAATAGAAGGGCCTTTTAAAGTATTAACATTTCCTGACCTATTTGTAAAACACTTCCATTCAAACTGATGGGAATCTTGACTGCTTTGCCAAGAGGACATAATAATCATCAAGCTGAATGCACCAAACAACATTGCCTGAAACTATCTAAGCAAAAACTGAGAAAGTTACACAGGGCAGACAAACCTCCTATAAGAGTAAGAACTCTTCAGCACATGCTTAGTGTGTCAAAGACAATGCTGTGTTCACACGATTCCTCTTCCTGGACATGCAGAAAGACTACATTTCCCAGCCTCACTTGCAGTTAGTTTGCAACCATGTGACTGCATTTCCACCAATAGGAATGTAAGAAATAACTTCAGGCCAAGGTTATCAAAGACAAGTGTGAGCTATGTTCCCTCTCTTCCTATCCATATGGCTACAAGCAAAAAACTCTGAGATGACAGAATTAAAAGATGGAAACCTCCAGAATCTCTGAATCACTGTTGGACAAGGGCCCCCAAGGAGAACCCCTGCCCTGCACCAGACTATGCTATGGGTGCCAACCCACTGAGAGTTCAGGGTTTATTCATCTCAGCAGCAGTCTATTGTTACACTGACTAATATCCTAAGGTTTGAGAGATCTAGCATATTGTTAATTGAAGCTAGATTTCAATTATACTGAGAAACTTATCTATTTAAAAATAAAAACTCTCCTAAAAAAACAAATAATCCACATTCCTTTTAACAACATGTGGCAAATTTGCAAAAAAAAAAAAAAAAAAAAAAAAAAACTGGCCACATATTAGGCCATAAAGAAGTCTCAACAAAATCCACTATACGATTGACATTGTCCAGACCACATTTTCCTGACCATAATGCAACAAAAGTAGAAGTCAACAGCAAGAAGATAGCTAAACACAAGCATACATTAGGAAAATTAAAAATATCCTTTCATGAGTTAAATGAAAAATCACAATAGAAATTACTAAACATTTACAACTGAATGAAAACACAACTTTATATATATATATGTATTTTTTGTGTGTGAGTCTTCCAACTTTGTTCCTCTTTTACAAGGTTATTTGGGAAATTCTGGGTCTCCTGCAATTCCTCATACAGTTTTATGCTGTTTGTCAATTTCTGTGGCTGGGATGAACTTAACGTAGTTCTCATAGACCAGAATTTGCATGTCTCTGTCTAGAGCCCGGATCTGCTGCACCATGTCTGTCTCACTGTCCATCAGCTGGGCCAGAGGGCACTCTCTAGGCAGCTTGTCTAGGTAAACTTCCGGGTCGAAGTGCTCCCCGTTCAGATCAGTGGGGTCCAGGGGGTCGGGCCCCGCGGGGAGTCCCACGGCCTCCCCTTCCGAAAGGCCGTTGTAAAGCTTTAGCATCCTGTGCGCCTTCCGCCGACGCTCCGTGAGCCTCCACATCGGGCCCATCTGGGGAGTCCCCCGGTCCACACCCTGGGCTAGGCCCTGTGACAGCTGCCGCCGCCATAGCTCCAACTGCAGCCCACGGGCGTAACTTTTTATATTTTTAAGTTGGATACATGGAGCTACTTGGCTTTTGCTTTCATCACATCGTTGAGGAAAGAGGTGGTTGCTTATGGTACCCCTGTTTTTACTGCAACCTGTAATGGATGAGAACCTCCCTGTTGCAGAGAGCAAAACACTGAACTAAATTGTGCTGTAACACAGCCCTGTGTTGGGGGATTGGGAGTAATCATGCAAACGCTTGCAAATTTGCACAGTGACAGAGACAATCGTTTGGACAGCTGTTCACTATATGAAAAGGCAATTGACCAAAAGTCAGTTACTGAGCTATCTCAATACTTTCATTCTATTTTAACTTTTGGCAACAGGGTGCAATTAAAGGAGAGAAAGAAAACAAAGTGATAAGTGTAAGATAATGTACACACATGTGTAAAAGAAAATGACAAGACAGGATGACTATTTGTCTCTTGGTTAGCTCCTTGGGCTCTATGTCTCCTTCCTCAGAGAACCTCGTTTTCCTTTGTCCAGATTTCTTAGGGTGGATAATCCAGGTGCTTGATCCCCCATGATGGAAGCCAAAGACGTCCCTGGAGCCGCCTCCCACTGCACCCTTTACTGCACTGCCCACATGGACACAACTCAGCCGATTAGACTTCCTCTCAGAACTTTAGTCTTGAGCAAAGGAATTAAAGGGTGAAGTGACTGAAGGTATGCCCTTCCAAAGTGGTACGTGAGATAATGGCTAAAGTTTGCCAAGCCCATCCAAGCACATTTTTTCGTAATTTTTATTAATTTATTTTTTTAAAACAGAGTCTTGCTCTGTTGCCCAGGCTGGAGTGCAGTGGTGTGATCTCGGTTCACTGCAACCTCTGTCTCCCGGCTTCAAAGGAGTCTCCTGCCTCAGCCTCCCCAGTGGCTGGGATTACAGCCATACGACAGCATGCCTGACTATTTTTTTTTTTTTTTTTGTATTTTTATTAGAGACAGGGTTTCACCATGTTGGCCAGGCTGGTCTCGAACTTCTGACCTTGTGATTCGCCTGCCTCAGCCTCCCAAAGGACTGGGATTACACGCATGAGCCACCGCGCCCAGCTTCCAAAAGTTTTAAGCAGAGCTCAGAGGTCTTAACCACAGGCACATCAGAAGAGCATTTTCGAAATGCTTTCCAGCTTCCTCAATAGAAATGGAAGCCAAACTCCGAATTGATGACTCCTTTGAGGAAGTCGAGAGCTGTAAGAAAAGCCAGGAACAGGGGCAAGGTAGGGATGCGTCCCGAATGATCCTGTGACAATTCTTTCTGGAATCCTTGATGTGATCTCAGCTGCCCTTTCTATACATGACACAGTCATTGTGGCACCCACTGGTCTAGCTGTGGTCTACAAGGAACCCCCAAAGGGAAGGGCACAGTGAGCAGGGCCATCGGCCTGAGTGATGAGGATTTGAGAGGGCAGGTTGGATGCAGGGAGAGGACTGGCCAAATGCCATAAGTCTGGACTTAGACTGCCTGGTTCAAATTGGACTTCACCCTTTTTGACTTCATGATCTGGTACAAGCTACATGAAACTCCGTTGCGCCTTTTCTAGTCTGTAAAATCATCATGAAATGTGCACTAATAACGTGGAGACTATGCAGATGAAATGAAACCAGCTGCATAGAGCACAGAGCTCAGAGCCTGGCCTTTAGGAAGCCTTCAGTTAAGGGTTCATGATGCCATGGTGTCTGTCGTCATCCTCTTTATCCTCATCATCACCTTCATAATCTCTTTGTTGTTCTTAGGGAATAGTTTAGAGGGACTGATTCCCTTCTATCATAGGTGAGATGTCTATGAAAAGGACAACCAGTGGGGGAGGAAAGAAAAATTTTGAATAAGATTTCTGGGACCCCCAGCACAACCAAGAACAGAAACTCCACAGTCTGCTGAGCACAGAGTTTGCATATTGGTCTCCTCACATCTGCCCAGCGCATTCTCCTGTTTGTCCTGAGGAGGAGAAAACAAACAAGGCTCCCGACCGTCCCTCAGCACTCACTTGAATGTGTGGCCTGCCCCTCCACACCTGTGGGTATTTCTAGTTGGGTGGGACGAGAGACTGAGAAAAGAAATAAGACACAGAGACAAAGTATGGAGAAACAACAATGGACCTAGGGGACCGGCGCTCAGCATACCAAGGATCTGAACCGGTAAAGGCCTCTGAGTTCCCTCAGCTTTTATTGATTATTATTTTTATTATTTTAGCAAAAAGGAATGTAGTAGGAGGGCAGGGTGATAATAAGGAGAAGGTCAGGAACGAACATGTGAGCAATACAATCTAAGTCATAAGGAAGTTCAAGGGAAGTTACTATGACTGGACGTGTCTCTAAGCAAGATTTATGTTTCTCTCCATGCAAACATCTCAGTGGAGTAAAGAATAACAAGGCAGCATTGCTGCAAACATGTCTCACCTCCCGCCATAGGGCGGTTTTTCTAGCATCTCAGAATTCAACAAATGTACAGTGGGGTTTTATACCGAGACATTCAGTTCCCAGGGGCAGGCAGGAGACAGCGGCCTTCCTCTCTCTCAACTGCAAGAGGCTTTCCTCTTTGACTAATCCACCTCAGCACAGACCCTTTACTGGTGTTGGGCTTGGAGACGGTCAGGTCTTTCTCCTCCCACGAGGCCACTTTTCAGACTATCACATGGGGAGAAACCTTGGACAATACACCGCTTTCAAGGGCACGGCTCCCTGAGGCTTTCCACAGTGTATTGTGCCCCTGGTTTATTGAGACTAGAGAATGGCGATGACTTTTACCAAGTATACTGCTTGGAAACATCTTGTAAACAAGGCACGTCCTGCACAGCCCTAGATCCCTTAAACCTTGATTTCATACAACACATGCTTTTGTGAGCTTCAGGTTGGGTCAAAGTGGTTTGTTCAAACTGACTGGGGAAAAGCTACAGATTAACAACATCTCAGCAAAGCAATTGTTGAAAGTACAGGTCTTTTTCAAAATGGAGTCTCTTATGTCTTTCCTTTCTACATAGACACAGTAAGAGTCTGATCGCTCTTTCTTTTGCCTACACTCACTGAACTGCCCTTCCCCTCTGCTGGGCCATGACCATGGACAACAGGTCCACTGTCCTCCCTGCGTGGTGCACCATGGAGGCTCAGACTCCGTCCTCGAGGCTGGCAAGAAGACAGGGTAAGACATGAGCCTCCTGATACAGGTGATGTCTGTGGAGCCCACAGGACTGCAAATTCACACTGCAGGGCTGGAGGCATAGACTGACTATTTACTATTCTGTGCCCTGGGGGTTCAAGGCACAGAGCTCCTCATTAGCCAAAGTCGCCCAAGTTCCCCAACCACGAAGGATTTCCTCATAATAATGCAAGAAAAAGAAGATAAAAGTGAGTGTCCATAGAAGTGTGGGGCTCTTCCTCTAATCAGGAGAAAGCTGATGTGTATTCTTCGCTTCTTTCTTTTCTTTTTAAACATCCAACTGCTTTAATTTTCATCTCTTATTATGGGAAAATATACCACGTATAAATATTAAAAATTATAAATATATATTAGTTCATATAGAATGGCCAGTATAAACATTTACAATTTCCACTCTTTTTCAGTTTGCAGTTTTATGACATTAAGTATTTCACTTTGTTTAGCAACCATCACCGTCATCGTCTCCGGAACAGTTTTATCTTTCAAAATGGAAATTGCACCCATTCACCAAGCTCTCCACTCCTCTCTCTCGCCCGCCCCTGGGGGTCACCTTTCTAGTTTGCAACTCTATGAGTTTAACTACTCTAGACACTTGATAGATAAGTGGAATCATACCGTGTTTAATTTTCTTGTTTTGGAGACAGAGTCTTTCTCTGTCACCCAGGCTGGAGTGCAGTGGCGTGATCTCGGCTCACTGTAACCTCCACATAGTGGTTTCAAGCGATTCTTCTGTCTCAGTCTCTGGAGTAGCTGGGATTACAGGCGTGCGCCACCACGCCCAGCTAATTTTTGTATTTTAAATAGAGACCATATTGGCCAGGCTGGTCTCGAACTCCTGACCTGAAGTGATCCCGCCTGGCTCAGCCTCCCAAAGTGCTGGGGTTACAGGTGCGAGCCACTGAGCCTGGGCGTGTTTATCCTTTTGGGATTCATTTATTTCACTGACGATAATGTTTGCAAGGTTCATCCATATTGCGGCCTGCGTCAGAAGTGCCTCTCTGTTTTTTTTTTTTTTTTGGTTTGTTTTTTGTTTGTTTGTTCGTTTGACTTTGTTTTGTTTTGTGTTTCCATGGAGTCTCACTCTGTCGCACAGGCTGGAGTGCAGCGCCACAATCTGGGCTCACTGCAACCTCCGCCTCCCGGGTTCCAGCGATTCTTGAGCCTCAGCCTCCTGAGTAGTTGGGAGTATAGGTACACGCCACCACGCTCGTCTCATTTTTTGCATTTTCAGTAGAGACAGGGTTTCACCAAGATGGCCAGGCTGGTCTTGAATTCCTGACCTCAGGTGATCCGCCCACCTCGGTCTTCCAAGACGCTGCGATTACAGGCGTGAGCCACCACACCGGCCAGAAGTGCCTGCCTTTTGAAGGCTGAATAGTCTTCCATTGTATGAAGGAACTGCAGTGTTCTTTTTCATTCATCTGTCCACGAACCCTTGGGTTGCTTCCACATTTTGGCTGTTGTGAATAATGCTGCTATGAACATGGGTGTACACAAATCTGTCTTCCACTCTTGGCTTCTAATTCTTTTTGGTAGGTACCCACAAATGAAACTGCGGGAACATCTGATCATTCTGTTTCTAATTTTTCCAGTAGACGCCATACTATTTTCCCCGTTCCTTCATGGTTTTACATTCCCTCCAAACATATTCGAGCATTCTTACTTCCCTCTAGTCTCACTAATGCTTGTTTGTTTATCATATCCATCCTAATGTGTGGTATGACATTCTTGGTTTGATTTGTGCTTCCCTATGACGAGTGACTTTGAACATCATTTTAGATGCTTATTGGCCATTGCTATATCTTCTTTAGGGACACCTCTACTCGAGTCTTCTGACCATTGTTGATGGGATACTTTGGGTTTCTTATTGTTTAGTTCTAGCTATTCTTTATATATGATGGATATCAGCTTCTTTTCAGATATATGCTTTGCAAATCTTTTTCCTAATCCATGGGTTATCTTTTCACTCAGTTCACAGTGTTTTTTTTTGCTGCACAAAAGTGTCTGTCATTTAGATGTAATCCAAGGAATCTAATTTTCTTTTGTTGCCTATGCTTTTGGTGTCATCCCAGAGAATATTGTCCAATCTGATGTCATGAAAGCGTGGCCAATGTTTTCTTTTAGGCGTATGATACTTTTAGCGCTTGGCGTGAGGTCTTTGATCCAGTTTGTGTTAATTTTTGTACCTGGTGTGACAAAGGGTCCACCTTCATTCTTCTGCATGTGGAAATCAAGTTTCTCCAACAACATTTCTTGAAAAGGCTGCTTTTCCACCAATGAGCTTTCTTAGCACTCATGTGAAAAATCATTTGAACATATAGGTGAGAAGTTATTTCTGGGCTCCAACAGAAACAAACAACAACAGACAACAGATAAAGATACAGCATGGGCCGGGCGGGGTCGCTCACGCCTGTAATCCCAGCACTTTGGGAGGCCGAGGCCCGTGGATCACCTGAGGTCAGGAGTTGAAGACCAGCCTGACCGACAGGGAAAAACCCCCATCTCTACTACAAATACAACATTAGCAGGGCGTGCTGGCACATGCCTGTAATCCCAGCTACTCGGGAGGTGGAGGCAGGAGAATCGCTTGAACCCAGGAGGCAGAGGTAGCGTTGAGCCAAGATTGCGCCTTGACACTCCAGCCTGGGCAAAAAGAGCGAAACTCCATCTCAAAACAAAAAACAAAAAACCAGCATGATTTCAAGAGCAAAGCTTAAAAACCAGCATAATGAGAAAGTTAGGAAGCTTCTTACCAAAGCATCTGGAAATATGCAAGCAATTCTTGTGAACTAAAATTTTCATACTGTACTATCAAACACTAGAACTCACTTATTCCATCTTTCTGTATTTTGGGACCCAATTATCCACTTGTCTTCATTCCCTATCCCAGCCCTTTTCTTCCTAGCGTCTGCTGATCACCTTTATACTTTCCATCTTCCTGAGATTCCTTTTGTGTGTAGATGTGTGATGCAGTCTCTTTCTGTTGCCCAGGTTGGAGTACGCAGGCACAATCAGTGCTCACTGCAAGCTCTGCCTCCCGAGTTCAAGCCCTTCTTGGGCCTCAGCCCTCCGAGTAGCTGAGACTACAGGCACGCGTCACCACGCCCGGCTCATTGCTTGTGTTTTCCATAGGGACGGGGTTTCACCATGTTGGCCAGGCGGGTCTCGAGCTCCTGGACTCAAGTGATCCGTGCGACTCGGCCTCCCGGAGTGCTGGGATTACAGGCCTGAGCCACCACACCTGGCAAAGGTGTCCTTCTTTCTTCCTACATAGAAGTGAGGACATGAGGTGGCTCACGCCTGTAATCCCAGCACTTTGGGAGGCCGAGGCGGGCAGATCACAAGGTCAGGAGATCGAGACCATCCAGGCTAACACGGTGAAACCCCGTCTCTACTAAAAATACAAAAAATTAGCCGGGCGTGGTAGCGGGCGCCTGTAGTCCCAGCTACTCGGGAGGCTGAGACAGGAGAATGGCGTGAACCCGGGAGGCGGAGCTTGCAGTGAGCCGAGATCGCGCCACTGCACTCCAGCCTGGGCGACAGAGCGAGACTCCGTCTCAAAAAAAAAAAAAAAAAAAAAAAAAAAAAAAAAAAAGAAGTGAGGCATGAAATATGTGTAATTCTGTGCCTGGCTTATTTCATTTAATATACAGACCTGCAATCTCATCCATTTTGTCTGCAGCGGAGAGGAGTTTCTTCCTTTTTAGGCTGAATAATACTTCACTGGGTGTGTATACCACAGTTTCTTCATTGAAACAAATTTCTGAAGAGTAAATATTTTTAAAATGTCTCGGAATCTGAAACCTCAGGGATACTGTGCCCATTTTATTCTTTTCTATTTCCCATCTTATGTATATGCAAGTGTATAACAAAGCAACAATCAATGTGTGTATAAATCTACAACTTCAACAAATGTAAAATGTAAATGCTGAGTGGTGGCTGGGAGCGGTCGCTCATGCCTGTAATCCCAGCACTTTGGGAGGCGGAAGCGGGCGGATCACCTGAGGTCGGGAGTTCAAGACCAGCCTGACCAAAATGGAGAAACACTGTCTCGATTAACAATACAAAAAAAAAAAAAAATTAGCCAGGCATGGTAGCGCATGCCTGTAATCCCAGCTACTTGGAAGGCTGAGACAGGAGAATTGCTTGAATACGGGAGGCAGAGGTTGCAGTGAGCCGAGACCGTGCCATTGAACTCCAGCCTGGGCAACAAGACGGAAACTCTGACTCAAAAAATAAGGAAAAGAAAGAAATAGAAAATGCGAAATGGTAAGAAAAAACAGCATAATAAACATTTGTATGGTGTTGATGGACAATGCATTTGAAGATAATAATTGAAGAAATCATATTACAATTAATTTCTGTTCTCACTCATTGGAGCTTGATGCCTCTAAAAACTTCGTCATTGGAACCACCTCTGGTGCTTTCAAAGAAAAAAAAAAATCCACATATTCACACAGGTGCAAGGAAATCAGAATCTCAGGTATTGAGACCCAGGCCTCATCATTTGTAACCTCCCCAGGTGAGTTGACTCAAAACCAAGATTGAGAACGGCGACATAGATCTCTCCACATAACCTGCCTAAATAGATTCTCTAGAACCAGTTTATAAAGAAATTCCACATGAACTGTGGAAGAGGATATGAATTTGATGTACAGTATGTCCTCACTTAACATCTTTGAAAGTCTCTTGGAAACTTCACCTTGAAGCAAAATTATGTATAGTGAAACCACTTATTTTTCATCAACAGTGTAACTACACAACTTTGAACAACCAATGGTGTTGGACGACCTCCTGTACATTGTTTCCATAAAGTCAGTTTTCAGGGAATTCCAAAACTAAGTGAGGACTTCATGTATATAAAAAGATGGTTGTGATTTCACCTGGATGGCAGGGTTATTGCTCAGAAACTAAAGGAGGCCACCTAGGTATAGAGGATTCTGTCACGAGGTTTCTGCTAAACAAAGGATCCCAGAATCCTCACCCATTCCAGTGAAAGTCATAACGAAGAAAGCAATATTCACAAAGGAAATGCGGAAAGGAATAAAAGCCATCAAGCCACAAAAATAATGTGACTAAGGGGCAGGATTTGCAGATGTAGAGATTTAATGCGGTTGCCCTTTCTCACCCACACAAGAAAAAGGATGGAACAGATCATGAGATTCGACTGTTCTGGGGCGCAGCCTCCGCAGGGCACTTTGTATGTCCCTGTTTCTCAGGCTGTAGATAAAAAGGTTCAGCATGGGGGTGACCACAGCGTACATCACTGATGCCACCACACCATTCCTGGGGGGTGGTGACACAGCTGAAGTCAGGTACATGCCAATGCCTGTTCCATAAAATCAGCAAGCAACTGCCAGGTGAGAGCCACAGGTGGCGAAGGCTTTATACTTCCCATCTGACGATGAAATCCTGAGAATGTAGGGGACGATTTTATAGTAAGACCAAAGGATCCCTGAAATGGGAAGAAAACCAAACATAGTATTATCGAAATATATGAATATGCTATTGATGACGCTGTCAGAACAGGCAAGTTTGAGAAGTTGAGAGGGGTCACAGACAAAATTAGAGACTTCCACATTCTTGATGATGGTGAATTGTAACACAATCCAGCTATGCAGCTGGGAATCCAACAGGCTAAGGAAAAAGGACACCAAAATGAAGAAGACACAGAGGTGAGGATTCACGATGACTGGGTAGTGCAGAGGATGACAGATGGCTATAAAGCAGTCATAGGCCATCACAGTCAGGAACATGTCTTCTATACATGCAAAAAGGACCAAGAAAGACATCTGCGTCAGGCAGCCCGCATGAGAGATGACTCTGCTATGCGACTGCATTCCACAATCATCTTGGGAACCGTGGCCGAGGTGAAACCGATGTCAGCCCAGCACAGGTTGGAGAGGAAGAAGTACATGGGGGTGTGGAGGGGGGAGTCAGAGCGGACAGCCAGGATGCTGAGCAGGTTCCTCAGCACCGTGACCAGATACATGGACAGGGACAGGGACAGCAAAGCGAGGACCGGCTGCAGTTCTGGATCCTCTGAGAGTCCCAGGAGGACGAATTCTCAGACATCTGTGAGATTCCGTGGCTCTGTGTCTCTTGGACAACTTAAGAAGGAAAGATGATTGGAAAAATAAAAGATAAAAACCAGCCCTTAATGCTGGATGCAATTCACAAGGAACATTTTCACACTTGCGGACCATACACCGCCAGCAATGTTTCTCAGTTGTGACAATTCCAAAAAATATCAGAACTATTACGTGATTTACTTTTTTGCTATGCAAGGCTTTCTGTACATACTACTTTAGAGAAAATCCACTGAAGAATATTAGAAGACCAAAACGTCATATATAACAAATCCGTGATCTCAGTAAAATACGGCCTACTCTTTTCAGACAAAATACAATGCAATGACCATGTCCTTCTCTCTTGAAGAAAAACACCTCAGTCTAATTGAAAGAAATTAAGAAGCCGTGAAATACACTCTACTTTATTCTGACACGGTGCTACAACTTCCATTGATGTAGAATATGCAAAAGGATGACACAAGAGCTAGGACCCCACTATCTGAAAACGAAATCAAACCTTATAGTTTTCAATCGGAAGACCTTTTCACATGCCTGTTACTTTTAGTATTTATTATCATCCTTCGGTTTTCTGACATCATTTCTTCATAAAAGTACATGCACACTCAAAGACGGGAGCTGTGTTTCCAAATGAATTGAATCTATAACTCTTGGCCCACCACCATGGCTCACACCTGTAATCCCAGCACTTTGGGCGGCCGAGGCTGACGGATCACCTGAGGTTAGGAGTTCCAGACCAGCCTCGCCAACGTGGTGAAACCCCGTCTCCAGTGAAAATAAAAAAAAATTAGCCGGGCGTGGTGGCTGGTAACCCTAGCTACTCGGGAGGCTGAAGCAGGAGAATCCCTTAGAACCTGGTAGGCAGAGTTTGGACACCCTGTGATAGGATTTTTGATATCCTAGGGAGATATTGCTCCTGACAGCAGAGTGGGCGTACACCCTGTGATATTATTTGTAATATCCTAGAAAGATATTGCTCCTAATATCACGGTGGCTGTACACCCTGTGATCTTAATTGTAGTATCCTACAGAGATATTACTCCTAGTAATACAGTGGGTGTACACCCTGTGATATTATTCATAATCTATTACAGAGATATGACTCCTGATATCACAGTGAGTGTACACCATGTTTGTACACCCTGTGATCTTATTTGTAACAACTTAGAAAAATATTACAGCTAATATCAAAGTGGGTCTACACACTGTGATGTTATTTGTTATCTACCAGGTAGATATTACTCCTAATATCACAGTGAGTGTACACCATGTGTGTACAGACTGTGAAATTATTCCTAATACCCTAGGAAGATATTACTCCTCATATCACAGTGGGTGTACACCGTGAGTAATATTTTTTCTAATATCCAGCGGGGGAGAGGATGATATTGCTTCCAATATCACAGAAGGTGTACACCCCTCTGTGATATTGTTCCTAATATCCAGGGAAGGAGAGGATGACATTATTCGCAATATCACTGGGGGTGTACCACCTCCCGTCGGGATATTGTTCTTAATATCCAGAGGTGGAGAGAATGATGTTACTCCCAATATCACAGCGGGTGCACACCACCCCTGTTTGTAAACACCCCCTGTGATATTGTTCCAAATGGCCTGTGAAAGAGTAACCATGACTCCCATTATCGCGGGGGGTGTTCAGCCCTTATGATATTGTTTTCTAACATCCAGGGAAGGAGAGTATGCTATTACTCCCAATATCGCAGGAGTTGTACACCCTTTTGTGTTTTTTGGTCCAATATCCAGGAAAATAGAGGATGATATTTCTCCCAATGTCGAAGTAATTCTAGAGCACCCCTGTGATATTCTCCCTAATATCCAGAAAGTAAGAGAATGACATTACTCCCAACAGCGTAGGAAACGTATCCCCGCGCTGTGGTATATTTCCCAGTATCCAGGTGGGGACAGGATCATATTACTTCCAATGTCGCAGGGTATGTACACCCCCTCTGTGATCTCGTTGCTAACATCCAGGTTTGGGGAGGACGACATTACTCCCAATATCGCAGGGGGAGTACACCCCCCCGTGACCTTGTTAGTCATTTCCTGGGTGGAGAGGATGATCTTACTCCCAATATCGCAGGGGGTGAACACACCCCTTCGAAAATCTTCCTATATTCAGAGGGAGAGAGGATGATATTACTCCCAGTACTGCAGGGGGTTTATACAGCCCTGTGATACTCTTCCTAATATCCGCAGGGAGAGAGGACGATATGACTCCCAATATCGCAGTGGGGGTACACAACCCTGTGATATTGTTCCTAATATCCAGAGCGAAAGAGGATGATATGACTGTCAATATCACAGAGGGTGTACACCCCTCCTGTAATATTGTTCTGAATACCCTGGGAGGGAGCGGATAAGGTTATGTTGAATATCACAGGGAATGTACACCCACCCCTGTAATACCCTTCCTAATGTCCAGGGGAAGAGAGGAAAATTTCACTCCCAATATCAGAGAGGCAGTACACCCCAACCGTGATGTTGTTCCCAAAATGCAAGGGGGAGAGGATGATACTACTCTCAATATCGCAGGGCTGTTCACATCCCCAGGGACAGTTTTTCCTAATATCTAGGAGAGAGACAATTATGTGACAGCAAAGGTCGCAGGGTCTGTACATCCCTTCCTGATATTGTTCCTAATATCCAGGGGGAAAGAGGATGTTATCAAACATGAAAGGGGGTGTACATCCCCCACCCCTACGATATTGTTCTTAATAATCGTGAGGGGAGAGGATAATATTACTCCAAATATCGCAGGGGTTGTTCACCCTTTTGTGTTTTTGTGCCCAATATCCAGGAAAATAGAGGATGATGCTACTCCCAATGTCAAAGTAATTGTACAGCACCCCTGTGATATTCTCCCTAATATCCAGAAAGGAAAAGAATGATATTACTCGCAACAGCGTAGGAAACGTATACCCGCGCTGTGGTATCTTTCCCAGTATCCAGGTGGGGACAGGATCATATTACCTCCAATGTCGCAGGGTGTGTACACCCCCTCTGTGATCTCGTTGCTAACATCCAGGTTTGGGGAGGAAGACCCAGTCCTCCACCCACCCAGAGTAGGTACGCCCAAGAACTAGTACATACTTGTTACCTCCACACTTTGACATCTCTGTGAAGTCCACCTGGAGACCTTCAAATGGGGCTGCTCCATAAGCTCATATGCCAGGTGGAACGGCTGGACCTTGCCTCGCATCATGCAGTCGGCAGGTAACACACCGCTGCCTCACAGTTTTGGCAAGGGCTGACAAAGGTGAGATGTAGAACAGCCAGTACAACTGCAGCTCCTAGCAGCTGTGGCGCAGCTACTCTCCCATCTGGTAACCGAATCCATCCTTCCTCCATCACTTGTCCTTCCCTCTACCTGGAGAAAGTCCTTTTCTTCTTTAGAAGAAGTAGGGCCAAGATCAGGTGCTTGAGGGAGCACTGATGCCCCGAAGGGGGCAGATGCTGCTTTTCCAGCCTCTGAGTCAGCGCGGGAATTCCCCAAACCCAGCAAGATGGAAGCTCGCTGGTGTCCTCTGCAATGCATAATTGCCACCTTGTGGGGTTTCCATACTGTTTCTAATCATTGCAAGATTTCTTGTTGATATTTTCTGTCTTTTTCCCCAGAGTTCAATAGGCCCTTTTCTTTCTATCATGCTCCATGCACTTGAACGGTTCAAAAGACATACGGAGAATCAGTGTAAATGTTGACAGTCTCACCCTCACTGAGTTCTAAGGCCCGAATGAAAGCAATGAGTTCAGCTTTCTGGGCTGACGTGGCCTGGGGCAATGATCTGGCTTCAACAACAGTGTCCAGGGTTATCACTGCTTACCCTGCACCTCTCTCTCCTTGGGGTTGAAGAAGCTGCTCCCATCCACGTATAGTTCCCAGTCTATGATGCCCAAGGCTGGCCCCGGAGGTCAGGTCTGCTAGAGTCAATTGTGTCCAACACTTCTACACAACCAGGCTCGACAGGGCTCTCTGATACCAGGAGCAAGGTGGCGGGGTGTAGGCTGTTACAAACTTCAATGGTTATACGGGGATTTTCACAGAGCAAAGTTTGGTACTTGGTGAGTTTGGCATTCATTAGCCAATGATGTCCTTCAGTATTCATTAAAGTCACCACAGCATGGGGGGCCTTTCTGTTCAGGTTCTGCCCAAGAGTCAGCTTATTTGCTTCTTGTACTCGCAGGGCAGTTGCTGCCAAAGCCCTCCAACAAGGGGGCCATCCTTTAGAAACCCTGTCTAGTTGTTGAGAGAGGTAGGCCACTGGCCTCTCCCTGGGCCACACAGTTTGGGTTCAAAGTCCAGCTGCCATCTTTTCTCTCTCTGATGCATACTATGGAGAAGGCTTTGTCATATCGGGTAGCCCCAGGGCTGGGGCTGACCTAAGTTTCTCCTTTAACTCATGAAAAACTTGCTATTGTTGGAATCCCCATTCAAAAAGTTCCCGGTCCCCGCCCCCTTGGTGACCTCATACAAAGTCTTGGCTAATACTGCAAAGTTTGGGATCTGCAGTCTACAAAACCCCGCAGCTCCTAAGAATTCTCTCACCTGCCTTCTGCTCTTAGGCTCTGCTAGATTGCAAATGACCTGCTTTCTTTCTGATCCCGGGCTGCGTTCCCCCTGTCGGATAGTATATCCCAAGGAACGTACCTGCTGTCGGCAGATCTGAGCTTTCTTCTTGGACACCTTACACCCACAGTCATCCAGGTGTCGACGTAGGGCAATCCGTTCCCTTGGCGCACCCGACTGCCGTGGGGTGTCCCAGCAAAAGCTCATCAACCTAGCGGAGCAACACGCAGCCTAGGTCTCTGGTGGGAAACTTCTGGAGGTCTCTAGCCAACGCCTCCCCGAAGATGGTGGGGGAGTTCTTGAACCCTTGGGGAAGACCTGTCCAAGTGTACTGAGTAGTGACACCTGACTCCGGATCTTCCCACTGAAAGGCAAACAGCTTCTGCCTCTCAGGGGCTAATCTGATAGGAAAGAAAGCGTCTCTCAAGTCCAAGCAGGTGAACCAGCTGTCCTCAGCTGGCAGCAACCCCACCAATGTGGAAGGGCTAGGTACTGTTGGATGGAAAGTCAGGGTAGCTAGACTAAGCAAGCGCGAATCCTGTCCCGGGCTGTAGTCCTTGGTCCATGGCTTGGGAACAGGCAGGAGGGGAGTATTCCGTGGAGACTGACAAGGAACTATCATACCAAAAGTTCTTAGGTGCTTAAGATGGACCTGGATACCTTGAAGAGCTTCTCTGGGGACCGGGTCCTGTTTTTGCCTAAGCGGCTGGGCCCCAGTCTTAACTGGCCAACCCTGGAGGGTTGTCTTCTGCCCATACTCTTGGCCACCGCTTAGCCAGAGCTGGTCTTCTCTCTTGGCCCGGCTCAGTTCACAAAAGTCTCCATTCCTCCTCTCGGGGGACCGTAAGTGTCATAATGACTCCCGTGGCGGGTAACTTTAGCAGCAAAGAGCTGTGTTCTGTCAAAGAGAGAGCAGCTCTCAGCTTGCTAAGCAAGTCCCTTCCCAACAAGGGCAAGGGACAGTCAGGCATGTACAAAAACTGATGAATCACTTGATGTCCTCCTACAGTGCAAGTCCCAGGCAAGCAGAAAGCTTGCTTTGCTGAAATCCCCGTGGCTCCGGTGACGTCAAGAGTCTTTCTGGATAAGGGGGCGACCGGGGCGGTTACTAGCGAATGTTCAGCACCGTTATCTACAAGAAAATCAATGTCTCTACCATCGACTGTCATTCTGACCAGAGGCTCTTTGGGGACACTTGGGCCCGGTCTCCCTCAGTCCAATAACCCTTCTGCCAGGTTGAGCCGGGCCCCTTCCTCCTTGTCCGGGGCCTCCTGCTCTGAGTCTCCTTGTTTTCTTTTGAGCTGAGGGCATTTGTTCTTCCACTGTCCTATTTCTTTACAATCAGCATACTGGTTATGCTGCAAACTCTGACAGCCAAGCTGAGTTTCTTTCCCAGGGCCCCCCTTCCCTTGCTTCTTTGGGGGGACAGCTCTGATTGCTGCAGCTAACAAACAGGTCGGCATTTCACCAGGCCTGACCTTCATTCTCTTTGCGCTTTCCCTCGCGGCTTACTGCATCCCTGTTTACAAACACCTGCTTAGCTATTTCTCATCAATGTGATGTATTCATCCCTGCAAGCCCAGCCTGCTTCTGCAGTTTTCTTCTAACGTCTTCCGCGCTTTGACGGACTAAAGCCATGTGAATCATGCGCTGATTTTCAGGGTTATCGTGATCAAGGGGAGTATACATACCATAGGCCTCTCACAGTCTCTGGTAGAATTGTGCTGGACTTTCTTCTTTTCCCTGAATGACCTCAGAGACCTTGTTAACGTTTGTGGCCTTCTGAGCTCCCCTCTTGAATCCTTCCAAGAGAGCTTCCCTGTCTCGGTTTAGCCTTTGCATATCCTCTCTTTCATGTGGGCCCAACTGGGGGTGGGTTCCTGGTAACGGGGTCCTTCCATACTCTTGGGGGTTTTGATAATCAGCTGGTGCATGTTCCTCTAGCCACTTAGTTGCTGCGTGGAGCCCTCTCTGCCTTTCGCCTTTCATCTCTCTTAAAGAGGAACATGAGCAACCGGTGGCGATCAGCCCAGGTGGGGTTGTGGGTCTGGATAACAGTTTGGAGTAAATCAATTAGGGCTTGCGGCTTTTCGCTCTAGGACAGGGTATTGTTTTCCCAGTTGAGAAGGTCGGCAGAGGTGAAGGGCTTTTACACAAAAACACGCTTCTCCACCACGTGACCATCCTCCTCTCTCCCAGTATACTGCTGCTCTCTCAGGGGCATTTGGATCCCCGTTTTGGGTCATAAACGAGCTGCCGAGGGAGGGGTGGAATGGCGCAATGTTACTCACCGCAATTAATAATCTCAATTATTAATTGATACTGATAATTATCAATATTAATAACTGATCATATAATTCTTAAAATCAATACCAATAATAATGATAATTCGTATTAAAGAGTTATACTGACGATAACAATAAATGATGAATATTAATGATTATTGACGCCTGGTTTTAAAGAGTGATATTGATATTATTCATTAGAAAACTGTCATATTAGCTCCTAATAATTAACATTAATATTAATAATCTGAACACTATTTTTAGCAATGATTTCTTAATATTTATATTAATATTGGTAATACATATTCATGTTAATAAATGAGGAAGAATTAATATGAATATTATCCCTAATACCGCAGTGGGTGTACACCCACCTGTGATATTGTTCCTAATGTCCAGGGAGGGAGAGAGCATGATATGACGTTCAGTATCGCAGTAGGTGTACACCCAACCGGTGATATTGATCCGAATATCATCTCCAGGGGGTGGCGTATGACGTTACTCCCAAGATAGCAGTGGGTGTGCATCCACCCGGTGATATTCCTCCTAATATTCCCGGAAGAAGAGAATGCTATTACTCCCAGTATCTCAGGAAGTGTACACCGCTTCTGTGACATTGTTCCTAATATCCGGAGGGGGAGAGGGTGATATTACTCGCAATATCGCAGGCTGTGTACACCCACCCTCTGATATTGTTCCTAGCAGCCAGGAAGTGAGAGGACGATATGACTCCCCATACAGCAGGAGGTGTACACCGATCCTGGGATATTATTCCTAATATCCACGGAGAGGAGAGGCTGATATGACTCCCAATATCGCAGGATGTACATCCAGTCTGTGATATTGTTCTTAATATTCAAAGGTGGAGAGGTTGATATTACTCCCAATATCACAGAAAGTGTACAAACCCGTGTACTATTGTTGCTATTATCCAGAAGAAGAGAAGATGATATCACCCCCCAATCGCAGGAGGTGTACACCTACTCTGTGATATTTTTTCCAACGTGCAGGGCAGGGGAGGATAATACTCTTCTTCACAGCACAGGGTGTGTACAGCCCCACTGTGATATGGTCCTTAATATTCCAAGGCGGAGAGGGTGATCTTACTCCCAATACCGCAGAAAGTGTACACAACCGCAGTGATATGGTTCCCATGATCCAGGAGAGAATAGGATGATGTTACTTTCAATATCGCACGGGGTGGACACGCCCTCAGTGATATTGTTTCTAATTTCAACGTGGGAGAGGATGATACTACACGGAATGCCCCTAGGGGTAAAAACACTCCTGTGATATTGTTCTTAATATCAAGGGGAAAGAGGATGCTATTACTCCAAAGAGCGCAGAGGATGTGCACCCGTCTGTGACATAGTTGGTAATTTCCAGAGGCGGAGAAGATATTACTGACAATAACGTGAACAAGCTGTGTGACCACCGTGGACCGTCATATCCAGGGGGGAGGGGGGGGTGATATGACTGCCCGCATCACGGGGGCCTCACCCCTTGCGATGGGGGTCCTAAGAGCCAGGGGGGGAAAGGGGCTGGCTCTTACTCCCCGTACGTTGGGGTGGGGCCTCACCCCCCTGCGATGGGGCTCCTAAGAGCCAGGGGGGGAGTGGGGCTGGCTCTTACTCCCCGTATCGCAGGAGGTGTGTACAACCCCTGCGATATTGGGAGTAATATCATCCTCTCCCCCTGAATATAAGAAACAATATCACATGAGGATGTACACCCCCTGCGATATTGGAAGTAACATCATTTTCTTCCCCTCCGGATATTTGGAACAATATCACAGTGGGTGTGTACAGCCCCTGCGACATTGCCGCTAGTATCTTCCTCTCCCTCCCAGGATAGAAGGAAGAATGTCACAAGGGGGTGTACCCCCCTGCGATATTGGCTGTAATATCTTCCTCTCCCCCGCAGCCCTTTAGGAGCAATGTCACACAAGGGGTGTACACCCCCTGCTATATTGGGAGTGATATCATCCTCTATGTCCCTGGATATTAGGAACAATATCCCTAGGGAGTGTACACATCCTGCAATATTCAGACTAATATCATCCTCTCGCCGCCTGAATATTAGGATCAATATCACAAGGGTGGTGTGCACCCCCGGCGAAATTGGAAGAAATATCATCCTCTCCACCTTTGGATGTTAGGGTCAGTATCACGGGGGAGGTCTCCGCCCCCTGCGATATTGGGAGTCATATCATCCGCTCCCACCCAGGATATTAGGAACAAGATAACCGAAGGGATGTACATCCGCTGCGCTATTTTCAATAATGTCATCCTCTACCCCTGGCTATTAGGAGTAACATCATAGAGGGGTGTACACTTTCTGCGATACTGGGAGTAATATCCTCTACCTCACGGATATCGGGAACAGTTCTATTAATTATTAATATTAATGGCTATAATAACAATTAATAGTAATCATCAATATTAATAATTACAGTAGAGACATTAAAACAGTACGGTTGAAAAATATTAATGGTTACTATTAATAATTAATAGCAATATCACTATTAATAATAAAATAATGATATCATTAATTAATGTTACTTCAATCAATCATAAGTGATGTTGGTAATAAAACAATTAATATTAAGATTAATAACTAATATTAAAAGTGACATAAATATTAATAATTAATTTTAATCATGTATAATCATATCTTGAAAATAATAATGATTAATAACATTATACTGTTAATTAATATTACCATTGATAATTATTAATAAGACTGATGTTTAATAATTCATAATATTATTACTGCTAATACCGCAGGGGGTGTACACCTACCTGTGATATTGTTCCTAATATCCAGGGATGGAGAGCATGATATTAGTTTTCATATCGCAGTAGGTGTACACTCACCCTGTGACACCGATCCTAATACCCAGCGGGTAGAGTATGACATGACTGCCAACATAGCAATCAATGTACAGCCACGCGGTTATATTGCTCCTAATATTCACGGAAGAAGCGTATGATATTACTCCCAATATCGCAGGGAGTGTACACCTCTTCTGTGATATTCTTCCTAGTATCCCGAGGGAGAGAGGGTGATAATAATTCCAGCATCACAGGCTGTGTTCACCCAGCCTGTGAAATTGTTATTAATATCCTGAAAGGGAGAGGATGATATTACTCCCCATAATAGATAGATATGACTCCCCATAATAGAGCAGGAGGTGTACAACCACCCTGTGATATTCTTTCTAATATTCAGAGGCCGAGAGGTTGATATTACTCCCAATATCGCAGGAAGTGTACACCCCCGTGTGAGATGGTCCTTCATAATATTCCAAGGCGGAGGGGATGATATGACTACATATATGGCAGAAAGTGGACACCCCCCAGGGATATTGTTCCCATGATCCTGGAGGGAAGAGGATGATATTACTTTCAATATCACAGAAGGTGGACACGCCCCCACTGATACTGTTTCTAATTGCAGCATGGGAGAGGAGGATATGACACGCGATATCCGAGAGAGTGGAAAAACCCCTGTGATACTCTTCTTAATATTCAGAGAGGAAGAGGATGATATTACTCCCAATACAGACGGGTGTACACCCTCTGTACACCGAGGGTATATAGCCGTCTCTGAAACAGTTCATAATCTCCAGAGGGGGAGATGATATTGCTCACAATATGGTAAAGAGGCTGTGAGTCCACCGCGGATCCTAAAAACCAGAGGGGGAAAAGGTGCTGGCTCTTACTCCCCGCATTGCGGGGGGTGCCTCACCCCCGTGCGATGGGGGTCCTAAGAGCCAGGGGGGGAGGCGGCTAGCTCTAACTCCCCTCATCGCGGGAGGTGCCTCACCCCCCTGCGATGGGGGTCCTAAGAGCCAGCGGGGGAGAGGGGCTGTTCCCTACGTTGGGGCACTGAGGTCCCTGTTTTCTTGCAAGCTGCCATCGGGGACCACTCTCGGCTTCCAGGGGCCCCCTTGTAGGTGGCACCATGGCCACTTGCCCTACTCCAAGCCTGCAGAAGAGCGCCTCTCTGCCGTGTCCCTTTCTTTTAAAAGACTTGCCTGACTTGTTCAGGTCCATTAGGTAGCGTCCCATTTGATTAGCTCAAAAGTACTGTAGCCCATCACATTCACTCACAGGAGGGCATTAGCGGGGTGTGGACACCAGAGAGTGAGAATGTCTCAGGCCAGTTTAGCATTCAGTTGGTTGGCCAGGTTCAGTGGCTCACGCCTGTAATCCCAGCACTTTGGGAGACCGAGGCGGGCAGATCACCTGAGGCCAGGAGTTCGAGACCAGCCTGGCCAACATGCTGAAACCCAGTCTCTACTAAAAATACAAAAATTAGCCAGGCGTGGTGGTAGGCGCCTGTAATCTCAGCTACTTGGAAGCCTGAGGTAGGAGAATCGCTTGAACCTGGGAGGTGCAGGTTGCAGTGAGCCAAGATCGTGCCATTGCACTCCAGCCTGGGCGATACGGCGAGTCTCAAAAATAAATAAATGCGAAGGCTGCTGAGCACAGTGGCTCATGCTTATAATCCTGGGACTTTGGGAGGCCGAGGCAGGAAGACTGCTTAAGGCCAGGAGTTTCAGTCTAGCATGGACAACACAGTGCAACTCTATCTCTAAGTAAAATAAAATAAAATAAGATAAAATAAAATAAAATAAAATAAAATAAAATAAAATAAAATAAAATAAGTAAAAAAGAATTCAGTTGGTTAAAAGAAACTCACTAGGTCCAGCCCACAATCAAGGGATGGAAATTACACAAAGTTGTGAAGAGTCGAGGGTGGGAGATTGCTGACAGCCCTTATAGCAGCTGCCTATCTCACATACCTGTTGGACAGCTTCTCTCTCCTAGCTGGGGGTATTTGGAGCGGGTGTCGAATCCTGCTCTTTTGTATGTCTGTTGCCTTTTCTCGCGGTGATGTGTTTCCTGTGTGTTCTGTAATTTTGGATCGTGAGCTGAGCTTCAGAGGGGCTTTATGTGGGGAATCCTGGGTGGCCAGGTTTGAGGGAGCCACCTAGAGAGGTTTTCTATTTGGCCTTTCCAGGGGCCCCAGGGTACCACTAAGCCAAGGCAACTTTTTTTTTTTGAGACAGAGTTTCACTCTTGTTGCCCAGGCTGGAGTGCAGTGGCGCAATCTCAGCTCACTGCAACCTCTGCCTCCCAGGTTCAAGCTATTTTCCTGCCTCAGCCTCCTGAGAAGCTGGGATTACACGCACACGAGGCGTGGCTAATTTTTTGTATTTTTAGTGGAGACGGGGTTTCACCACGTTGGCCAGGCTGGTCTCGAACTCCTGACCTCAGGTGATTCACCTGCCTCAGCTTCCCGAAGTGCTGGGATTACAGGCGTGAGCCACCACGCCCGGCCCAAAGCAACTTTTTAGTGTTAATTTCTCAACTCTGGCATTCCTAGACCACACAGGTAGCATGACTTCATTGTAGGAGTTCCACATTTACATAAGAGAGGCCTGAAAATGCAACGATCTCATGGGAAACTTGTCCACCACCTAAAGCTCAAATTTTCTCACCTCTCTCTGTTCCCCTGGGTGGAAATGTTTCTGTCCCTTTCTCTAAAGGTGTTGCATTTCTGTGGCCCCAACTTCATCATGCTTGACTGTAACCCTCACCCCCTGCCTTGTAAGGGCTTCCAACACTCAACCCAGCCCTGCCCTCAGGCAGTTGCAGCACCAGCTCCTCTGTCCCCACCTTGCTTCTCACTCCCCTCTTCACTTCTGCCCTTAGGGGACTTAACTTATTTTCTGAAGAACTCAGCTATATATTTATTTTATTTTATTTTATTTTATTTATATATTTTTTGAGATGTAGTTTCACTCTTTTGCCCAGGCTGGAGTGTAATGGCGTGATCTTGGCTCACTGCAACTTCTGCCTTCCGGGTTTAAGCGATTCTCCTGCTTCAGCCTCCTAAGTAGCTGAGACTACAAGCCCCTGCCACCCCTCCTGGCTGATTTTTGTATTTTTAGTAGAGATGGGGTTTCACCATTGGCCAGGCTGGTCTCGAACTCCTGGCCTCAGGTGATCCGCCCGCCTCAGCCTCCCAATGTGCTGGAATTACAGGCGTGAGCCACCATGCCCGGCCTCAGCTCTATAGTTAAAAGGACATTTGTTTCTTACCCAGCATTCCTAGGTGTTTTGAAGAGGGAGACTTCTCAGGTTATCTAACCTGCTACTGAGAACTTAAAGATAGGGAAAATCTTGGACTGGAGATTCTTGGAATCACATAAGTGAAAAATCCCAGCCGGGCGTGATGGCTAACGTCTGTAATCCCAGCACTTTGGGACGCCGAGGCAGGTGGATCACCTGAGGTCAGGAGTTTGAGACCAGCTTGGCCAACATGGTGAAACTTCGTCTCTACTAAAAATACAAAAAAATTAGCCTAGCTTGGTCGTGGGCGCCTGTAATCCCCGCTACTCGGGGGGCTGAGGTAGGAGAATTGCTTGAACCCAGGAGACGGAGGTTGCAGTGAGCTGAGATCACACCCTTGCACTCCAGCTTGGGCAACAAGAGTGAAACTCCGTTGCAAAAAAAAAAAAAAAGAAAAGAAAAAGAAAAATCCCCACAGTGCACATGGCCAAAATCACAGAGTTGCTTTGGGAGCGAGGGTGGCAATCAGACAAGGAGGCCATGACACTACCTGCTCGTCCACTCAGGGTTCCAGAACCTCCACCCAGTCACCTTATCCAGGGGTGATGGAGACAGGGGAGGTGCCACCTACGCCAGTGTCATCTCTTACAATGAGCTCTTCTCCTGCTCGAAAAGAGCCAGCCTGCTGAGCTTGCTGCCAGGGCCCGTCACACTGCCTGCGCTGTGTTTCCCGTCGCACAGCCTGTGATGTGTGTTTCACGTCGCACGGCCTGTGATATGTGTTTCCCATCATGTGTGCACGTGTGTTGTCATGTAGTGTCTGTCACAGGTGTTACCCATCATGTGTGTTTGCATGTTGCATGTGTGTGTCCTATCAGGTGTACATGTGTGTTGTCTGGCACATGTCAGCATCTGGGCATTCTCCGTGTGCCAGGAGCAGCCGGGTGGCCTGTGAAGCCTTCTGATGGGAAATGCCCAGATAGGAAGAGCACAGCCAGGAGCCAAGCCCCTGAGTGGCCACTCCATGTGCCTGGATCACCTTCAAGTCTGCTCAACATCAGAGCCTCTGTTCCTTGGCACCATGGACATTGGAATTGACTCGGAACTGGGAAGAGCTGTAGGCCCAGTATCCAGGCACCCGCTGCCCTTTTGCCCAGCATCCCAGGGGCCCACACCCTTCCAAATATCACCTTGCCCTCCATTCAGAGGTGAATCATCCCAGCGTCAGGTTGCCCAACTCCGACTGGTTTTGCTGGAGGCTGCCTGGAGGATGTCGCCAGCCACCTCCAGAGAACACTCAGTCTACAGATGCTGAGGGGGAACTGGAAGCACACAGTGCTGGCCTTCACCCAGCTTACAGTGACACCTTGGGACCGCTTCTGAGTCTGCTTTTCACTGAAGGTCGGCGTGAGGAAGGCAGCGTTCCCTCCCAGATTTAGAAAATGTCAAGTCTCCCGCCGCACCCTTTTGTGTTTCTTACAGGACCTGGGGCACTTGCTGCCGCCACACTAAGGGCTCCAACATGTTCCCTCACACACTCAACAGAGAAGGAACCTGTGGCTCAGATGGCAGACTCCCTGTCCAAGGCCACAGAGTCTGGCCCCAGGGACCACTAGAGGCTTCAAGAACCAAACTCACATGAGGGCAGAGAGGAGAGATGGGGCAAGTTTAGGGCTGGGAGAATCCATAGAGCGATGCTGAGGCAGGCATGGAGCCTGGAGGTATGGACGAGGGTCTCGCCAAAGTCAAGGGTAGAGAGGCTGTGGGGAGTGAGGAATGGTGTGGGCCAGCCCTGGGCCTGCTGGGGTGCAGCTGGGGGCTCCATGGCCCTCCCACGGCACCCACTTGTCCTCACCCAACCGTTCAGAGCTCTTCATGGCGGGGGTGTCCCTCTCCTCTGGCCACAAGAGGAGCGGGTGGAGGAACGGCACCTTCAGGCCTTGTAGGGGGTCTGCCCCTCCACCAGCCTGTTTCTCGTGGGCATCGCAGCTGAGGCTGTAGCCTGGAAAGGGTAGTAACCGAGCGTACCTGGCCTCCAACCACCACTTCCAAGGCCCCTACTGGGCACAGGGTGACCCCACCGTGGCTCGGAAGTGGACCCTGTCTGACGCGGGGGTGGTCGCTGGAGGGCCGAGGATGCCTACACAGGCCCCTGGAGGGTGTGCCTCGGGAGTCTGTCTCGCCCTCTGGACCCATGGGGGACCAGCAACGCCGTCACACCCTCCTCTGTCTCTGCCAGCCGCTCCCCCGCTCCCTTCTCCTGGCTGGGGCTGGCAAAGGCAGGCAGGTATGGGGGGGCGGGGCCTCAGGAGGGAGGAAGGGCTGGAGGGCGGGGCCTACGGACACCTCGCCCCGCCCCCACTGGGGCTACGCACTCCCCACACCCCGCGGTCCCCCTAGGTCAGGGCCTCCCACCACCGCACCCAGAGGCCGGGCCAGCCGGGCGTGCACCCCAGGGGCGCTCCGTCCCCGGCGGCCTGGGACTCCCCAGTCAGGACAGTACAAAATCTCTTCATTGCTCATTTTCTGTAAAAAATCGTGGCTCTCGGCGGACCCTGGGGATAGGAGGTGCAAAGCGCGCTCACACGCGGCCCGGGTCCGCGGCCGAGAGCTGGGGGGTCTGGAGCGGGGCCGGGTCGCAAGAAGACCCTGACCCTGCTCCGGGGCTGGGGCGCGTGCTAGGGGCCCGCGGGGTTTCAGCTGTATTTTCGAACCCCTGTGCTTGGCCGAGGGGTTCCCAAGGCTCCACTCCGCCTTGGAGGGGGCTGCGGAAGCCCGGAGGTGACACGGGCTCTGGGAGGGGCGTCCCCAACGTGGGGGAGGGGTGACAGGGGCCTTTGAAGACAGCGCGGGACTAGGAGGGGGTGCCCCCGACCTAAGTCGTGGTAAACTGAGGCCGGCGAGGAGGGAGGCTGAGTCCGGGGACCAGGCGGCCCCTCGCTGCTCCTCGGGCCAGTCGCCCCCCTGCGCCTGTTCGTACGGGCAGGGCCGGCGGCCGAGTCCAGCGGGCTCGGGGCCAGGCCGGGGTCCCGCGGGCGGCGCCTCCTCCTCCGCGGCGTCCCCATACTCGCCCTCCGCGTCGCTCTCGTCCGAGTTGTCCTCCTCCAAGTAGCGGTCACCGCGCACCTTGTGCTGGGGCCGCGGGATGTGGGGCTAGCGCGGGGCCATGCCCCGCCGCAGCTTCTGCTCCATCCGCAGGTAGGAGACCGCGGCCGCCACCAGCGTCACCAGCAGCACCGCCAGCTTAACCTGGGCGTAAAGAGAGGGATGCCAGGGACCCGCGGCCGCCTCGCCCCGCACCTTCCTCGCCTATGCCCCTCGCTGAGATAGGCCCTTCCCTCCTCCGGGAGCCTCCCCGGCCACGCGACCCTCAACTTCTCCAGCCGCTCCACCCACGCTTCCTGGACCGCCTCCTGCAGGCGAGGCTCACATCCAGCACTGTCCCTTACAGTCGCCATGCCCCTGGCGACCTCAGTGTCCCACGCTGTAAGGGGACAATGCAAATCCCTTTGCCTCATAGGGTGCATGTGCCAGTGTTGATAAAGTGCTGGCCACAGGCCCTGCCTTCCCAGGGCTCACAACACTGTGTCCCTGACACACCCGTGGGCTGTAGTGATGCTCTTCATGGGGTTTTGACTATAACCCGCAGTCAGGAATGATTTCACACCATAGCTCAGTACACACACACATATCTGTATGCATACTTCCTGCTCTTTTCTTTTCTCCAGACACGGTCGCTCCGTTTCCCCACCGCGCCCCCTCCCTCCCTTCCCCCACCCACTGCTGGAGCGCAGTGGCACGCTCACTTCAGCCTCAATCTTCCAGGCTCAAGCCATCCTCCCACCTCAGTCTCCCAAGCAGCTGGAACTACAGGCACGCGCCACCACCTCCAGCTAATTTTTAAATTTTTTGTAGAGACAGGGTCTCCTATGTTGCCCAGGCTGGTCTTGAACTCCTGGCCTCAAGCAATCCTCCTGCCTCAGCCTCCCAAAGTGTTGGGATTACAGGCGTGACATGCCCAGCCCACTCACTGCTTTTCTTTTTCCTTTTTTTTTTTTTTTTTGGGAGACAGAGTCTCGCTCTGTCCTCCAGGCTGAAGTGCGGTGGCGCGATCTTGGCTCACTGCAACCTCCGTCTCCCAGGTTCAAGCCATTCTTGTGCCTCAGCCTCCAGAGTAGCTGGGATCACAGGGACGTGCCACCATGCCCAGCTAATTTTTGTGTTTTTAGTAGAGACAGGGTTTCACAGCCTGTTACCCAGGCTGGTCTCGAACTCCAGACTTCAGGTGATACAGCCACCTCAGCGTCTCAAAATGCTGGGATTACAGGCATGAGCCACTGCTCCCAGCCCACTCCCTGCTATTTTTAGTTCTATTTTTATTTTCATTTTTTGAGACGGAGTTTCGCTCTTGTTGCTTAGGCTGGATGGAGTGCCAAGGCCCCGTCTCGGCTAACTGCAACCTCTGCCTCCCAGTTCAAGCGATTCTCCTGCCTCAGCCTCCCGAGTAGCTGTGATTACAGCCATCTGCCACCACGCCCGGATAATTTTTGTATTTTTAGAAGAGACGAGGTTTCACCATGTCGGTCATGCTGGTTTCAAACTCCCTACCTCAGGCAATCCACTCGCCTCGGCCTCCCAAAGTGCTGGGATTACAGGCGTGAGCCACCGTGCCCAGCCTTTAGTTCTATTTTTAAAAAATGTTTAGCAACTGGGACTTGCTAGACCGAGCCACCATCTTTTGGGAGCAGAGCATGAGGAGCCTGCTCCCCTTCAGGCCATGAAGGGAGACAGACCCAACATCTGGACAACAGGGTACCAAACAGCCCACAGGATGGCTGTGATGCACCCACAAATCCCCTCAGAGATGGGCAAACTGAGACTGGCTGGAGGTGGGCCAGTAAGTGGGGTGCTGAGTTGGGGGCCACCCAGTGGGCTGCAGGAATGGGGCCTTGGCCCAGAGACTGGCTTGGGAAGGGGTGGCGTTTAGGAAGCTGTGCAGCCAGGGCAGGGGCTAAGGAAGTACCTGTCACTGGGCATGGGGCCCCCAACCCTGCCCAGTCTCACCTTCATGTGCAGGCTCGAGCCCAGGTACACGGGGAAGATGGCCACAGCCTGCCACCAGTGGTAGATGTGAAGATGAAGTCCTGTCTCTCCTTGTCTTCTTACAAGATTCCCAGGAGTGCTGCAGGCAGGCAGTGCAGGGCAGTCAGGGGATAGGTGTCACCTGGGGCCTGGGGATGCCTAGCTACCATCTATGAACTTTATTAAGCCCTGTATGTGTCCCAGCCCGGGACCAGAGAGCACCTAGAAAGTGCTGTGAGCCGGTCCTGGCCTGCCCCCTGGTGGAGACCCTGGTCACCACACTGCTCATACGCTAAGCAGAAGTAGGAGCAGGTGCGCCGGGCTGTGTGGATGCAGGTGGTCCCGCTCCGCACCACATGCGTGGCCTCAAAAGAAGAAAGCTCTGTGCTTAGTCATGTCCTGTCCCCAACCCCAGGTGTGCAGTGCCAAGCTTGCAGGCGCTGTTTCTCCTTCTCAGCCGGGACTAGAGAGATCGAACTGTTTGCAGCTGCCAACTCTGCAAATCAAACCTGAAGCTAAGCATGGAAAGGGGGGCTTCCCTTCCAGTGAGTCCTCCCAGGGTGGGCAACAAGAGTAATGGATTGGGAGTCAGAAGATGCACACTCGTTCTCAGGACTGTAATGTTGTCTCCGTGGGTGATTTGGGTACTTAACTCCCCAGAGCTGCTTTTCCCAATGGTGACATGAGCCTATGCCTATTGTGTGCTGTGTTCTGAAGTTCTAAAGTGAGAAAGTGGGCATGGCACCTGCCAAATCATAGGGGCCACTATTAACACCTTCACCAGGCACTCAGGACATGAACACTCCTGTCTTGGGGCCCTGCAGGGTGACTTTACCCCCACAGTGCTGCTATGAAGAGATAAGGATCCCCCAGGGTTCACCAGAGGAGATGGGATATGGAGCTGGGCAGAGGGGATGCCATGACCAGAGAGGGCACAACATGGGTCCAAGATACCCAGGATGGACTCGGCCCAGAATTGGCTATCCTTGGGCAAAACGGCCAAGAGACTGTGGTGCAGTATGAGGCTCCAGCCCCTGCTACAGACAGAGACACCGAGCCACCCTCTGCCCTGCCAGGAGCAGGCATGACCTCTGCCACTCCACACCCCCAAGGATGACGTTCAAACCTGTTCTTAGATTCGGCCCATCAGAACAGACACTGACATGGATGTCCCGCAGGACTGTGCCTATGTGTGCTAGCTGTGTGTCACTGCGTGTGCCCATCTGTGGGCAGGGAGCATCCTGGAGCTGAACATGGGCCCACCCGCTGCCTTCTGCAAACAGGGCCCTGTTCCCCAGCAGCCCAGACCTGGTGCCTGGACTCTGGTACTGAGCAGACTGGGTTGGGGCTGCAGGCCTGCTCCTCTCTATGCAAAGGCCCATGTCTGTATCTATGCCGTGGATGTACAACAGGCCACTTGCTCCTACCACATGCTCCGTGAGGCAGAGACCAAAACATCTGCTCCAAGTGTCACGAAAACTATGCCAGGTAAGCCCTGTCCCCTGGTATGAAAAGGGAGAATCCCTGATGTGTTTTTCACACTATCCCTAAGGGGTGTCCACAGAGCCCCACACCTGCCCCCTGTAGCCAAGAGATTTCACACTGACCCTCCAGTGTTGATGGGGCCCTGTGCCCGCCCTGGGGTATTAACGGAATGTCCATGGCGTGGAACCCCCACACCTGTCTCCAGGCTGTCCACGCCCTACCCATCTGCCCCCAGTGTGTCCATGAAACTTCCCTTCCACCCCCGGAGTGTCCACAGGAAGCCCCACCTGCCTCTGCCATGTCCACAGGACCCTATGTGACCATGGGACCCCATATCTGTCCCTGGGATGTCTATGTCTAGCCAACCACCCACAGATAGCCATAAAGCATCCTGCCCCGCCCCCCCCCCCCCCCAGTGCCCACAGCTATACTCACTGCTGAGTTCAGTCTTGTTCAGGGTGCTGCCCACGCCCCAAAGGGCAGCTGCCACACAGAGGATCCAGCTGTGTTGCAGGACCCGAGGCACAGGGGCCCAGAAAAAGAGGATGAAGGTGAGCAGCAGGTGCACCCCTGCTGCAGCCACGAGGGGCACTGGGCGTGGCAGCCACAGGCCCAGCAGGCCCAGGAGTGAGGCGGCTGAGGCGCCCAGGCTGTAAGCCACGAAGACGTAAGCCAGCCGCTCCAGCCCCACCGAGCACACGCCATAGCCCTGCGGGGGGACAAGGGGTGAGTGTTGAAGTCCGGAACAGCCCAGACCCCAGTCTCAGCCCTCCCCACATCGCGGGGGGTGCCTCACCCCCCTGCGATGGGGGTCCTAAGAGCCAGGGGGGAGAGGGGCTGGCTTGTACTCCCCGCATCGCGGGGGGTGCCTCACCTCCCTGCGATGGGGGTCCTAAGAGCCAGTGGGGGGAAGAGGGACTGGCTCTTACTCCCCGCATGGCCGGGGGTGCCTCAACCCCCTGCAATGGGGGTCCTAAGAGCCAGGAGGGGAAGAGGGGCTGGCTCTTATTCCCCGCATCGCGGGAAGTGTGTACAACCCCTGCGATATTGGCAGTAATATCATCCTCTCCGCCTGAACCTAAGAAACAATATCTCAGGAACATGTACACCCCCTGCGATATTGGAAGTAACATCATTTTCTCCCCCTCCGGATATTCGGAACAATATCACAGTGGGTGTGTACAGCCCCTGCGACATTGCCGCTAGTTTCTTCCTCTCCCTCCCAGGATAGAAGGAAGAATGTCACAAGGGGGTGTACACCCCCTGCGATATTGGGGGTAATATCCTCCTCTCCCCCGCTGCCTATTAGGAACAATGTTACACAAGGGGTGTACACCCCCTGCTATATTGGGAGTGATATCATCCTCTCTGTCCCTGGATATAAGGAACAATAACCCTAGGGAGTGTACACCTCCTGCAATATTCAGACTAATATCATCCTCTCGCCCCCTGGATATTAGGATCAATATCACAGGGGTGGTGAGCACCCCCGGCGAAATTGGAAGAAATATCCTCTCCACCTTTGGATGTTCGGAACAGTATCACGGGGGAGGTCTCCGCCCACTGCGATTTTGGGAGTCGTAACATCCGCTCCCACCCAGGATATTAGGAACAAGATGACCGAAGGGATGTACACCCACTGCGATATTTTCCATAATGTCATTCTCTACCCCCTGGCTATTAGGAGTAACATCGTAGAGGAGTGTAACGCTTTCTGCGATATTGGGAGTCATATCCTCTCCCCCACAGATATCAGGAACAGTTTTATTAATTATTAATATTAATAAATATAATAACAATTAATAGTAATCATTGATATTAATAACTACAGTGGAGACAGTAAACCTTAATGTGGATAAAAATATTAATGATTACAATTAATAATTAACAGCAATATCAATATTAATAATAAAATAATGATATCACTAATTAATGTTACTTAAATCCATCATAAGTGATGTTGGTAATAAAACAATGATTAATATTAATATTAATAACTAATATTAAAAATGACATTCATAGTAAGAATTAATTTTAATCATGCATAATCATATCTTTAAAATAATCATTAATGACTAATAAAATTATACTATTAATTAATATTACCATTGATAATCATTAATGAGACTGATGTTTAATAATTCATAGTATTATTACTCCTAATACAGCAGGGGGTGTACACCTACCTGCGATATTGTTCCTAATATCCAGGGATGGAGAGCATGATATTAGTTTTCATATCGCAATAGGTGTACACTCACCCTGTGACACTGATCCTAATATCCAGCGGGTGGAGTATGACATGACTGCCAACATAGCAATGAATGTACAGCCACCCGGTGATATTGCTCCTAATATTCACGGAAGAAGCATATGATATTACTCCCAGTATCGCAGGGAGTGTACACCTCTTCTGTGATATTGTTCCTAGTATCCCGAGGAGGAGAGGGTGATAATAATTCCAGCATCGCAGGCTGTGTTCACCCACCCTGTGATATTGTTATTAATATCCTGAAAGGGAGAGGATGATATTACTCTCCATAACAGATAGATATGACTCCCCATAATAGAGCAGGAGGTGTACACCCACCCTGTGATTTTCTTCCTCATATTCAGAGGCCGAGAGGTTGATATTACTCCCAATATCGCAGGAAGTGTACACCCCCGTGTGAGATGGTCCTTCGTAATATTCAAAGGCGTAGGGGGTGATATGACTACATATATCGCAGAAAGTGGACACCCCCCAGGGATATTGTTCCCATGATCCTGGAGGGAAGAGGATGACATTACTTTAAATATCACAGAAGGTGGACACGCCCCCACTGATATTGTCTCTAATTGCAACGTGGGAGAGGAGGATATGACACCGAATAACGCAGGGAGTAGAAATACCCCTGTGATACTGTTCTTAATATTCAGGGAGGAAGAGGATGATATTACTCCCAATACAGACGGGTGTACACCCGTCTGTGAAATAGATCACAATTTCCAGAGGGGAGATGATATTACTCACAATGTGGTAAACAGGCTGTGAGTCCACCGCCGATCCTAAAAACCACGGGGGGAAGAGGGGCAGGCTCTTACTCCCCGCATCGCGATGGGTGCCTCACCCCCCTGCGATGGGGGTCCTAAGAGACAAGGGGGGAAGAGGGGCTGGCTTTTACTATTCCTGAGGGAATAGTTTAGAGGGACTCATTCCCTGCTACCGTGGGTGAGATGTCTATGAAAAGGACAACCAGTGGGGGAGGGTAGCAAAATTTTGAAGTAGATTTCTGAGATCCCCAGCACAACCAGGAACAGAAACTCCACACTCTGCTGAGCGGATAGTTTGCACATTGGTCTCCTCCCATCTGCCCACCGCACTCTCCTGTTTGTCCTGAGGAGGAAACAAAACAAGGCTCCCAACCGTCCCTCAGCACTCACTTGAAGGTGTGGCCCGTCCCTCCACACCTGTGGGTATTTCTAGTCGGGTGGGATGAGAGACTGAGAAAAGAAATAAGACACAGAGACAAAGTATGGAGAAACAACAGTGAGCCTAGGGGACCGGCGCTCAGCATACGAAGGACCTGCACTGGCACAGGCCTCTGAGTTCCCTCTGTTTTTATTGATTATTATTTTTATTATTTTAGCAAAAAGGAATGTAGTAGGAGGGCAGGGTGATAATAAGGACAAGGTCAGCAACGAAGAGGTGAGCAATAGAATCTATGTCATAAGGAAGTTCAAGGGAAGGTACTATGACTGGACGTGTACGTAAGCCAGATTGATGTTTCTCTCCACCCAAACATCTCAGTGGAGTAAAGAATAACAAGGCAGCATTGCTGCAAACATGTCTCACCTCCAGCCATAGGGCAGTTTTACCCCCATCTCAGAATTGAACAAATGTATAATCGGGTTTTATACCGAGACATTCAGTTCCCAGGGGCAGGCAGGAGACAGTGGCCTTTCTCTCTCTCAACTGCAAGAGGCTTTCCTCTTTGACTAATCCACCTCAGCACAGACCCTTTACTGGTGTCGGGCTCGGGGACGGTCAGGTCTTTCTCCTCCCACGAGGCCACTTTTCAGACTATCACATGGGGAGAAATCTTGGACAATACCCCTCTTTCAAGGGCAGGGCTCCCTGTGGCTTTCCACAGTGTATTGTGCCCCTGGTTTATTGAGACTAGAAAATGGCGATGACTTTTACCAAGTATACTGCTTGGAAACATCTTGTTAACAAGGCACGTCCTGCACAGCCCTAGATCCCTTAAACCTTGATTTCATACAACACATGCTTTTGTGAGCTTCAGGTTGGGTCAAAGTGGCTGGGGCAAAGCTACACATTAACAACATCTCAGCAAAGCAATTGTTGAAAGTACAGGTCTTTCTCAAAATGGAGTCTCTTATGTCTTTCCTTTCTACATAGACACAGTAACAGTCTGATTGCTCTTTCTTTTGCCTACACTCACTGAACTGCCCTTCCCATCTGCTGGGCCATGACCACGGAGAACAGGTCCACTGTCCTCCCTGTGTGGTGCACCATGGAGGCTCAGACTCCGGCCTCAAGGCTGGCAAGAAGACAGGTTGAGACATGAGCCTCCTGATACTGGTGACGGGAGTGGAGCCCACAGGACTGGAACCTCACACTGCAGGGCTGGAGGCACAGACTGACTATTTACTATTCTGTGGCCTGGGGTGCTCAAGGCACAGAGCTCCTTATTAGCCAAAGTCACCCAAGTTCCCCAACCTCTAAAGATTTCCTCATAATAATGCAAGAAGAAGAAGAGAAAAGTGAGTGTCCATAGAAGCTTTGGGGCTCTTCCTCTAATCAGGAGAAAGCTGGTGTGTATTCTTCACTTCTTTCTTTTCTTTTTAAACATCCAACTGCTTTAATTTTCATCTTTTATTATGGGAAAATATACCACATATAAATATTAAAAATTATAAATATATATTAGTTTATATAGAATGGCCAGTATAAACATTTAGTTTCCACGCTTTTTCAGTTTACAGTTTCATGACATTAAGTACGTTCACATTGTTTAGCAACCATCACCGCCATCGTCTCCGGAACAGTTTTATCTTTCAAAATGGAAATTGCACCCTTTCACCAAGCTCTCCACTCCTCTCTCTCACCCACCCCTGGGGGACACCTTTCTAGTTTGCAACTCTATGAGTTTAACTACTCTAGACACTTGATAGATAAGTGGAATCATACCGTGTTTAATTTTTTTGTTTTGGAGACAGAGTCTTTCTCTGTCACCCCGGCTGGAGTGCAGTGGCGTGATGTCGCCTCACTGCAACCTCCACATCGTGGGTTCAAGCGATTCTTGTGTCTCAGTCTCCCGAGTAGCTGGGATTACAGGCGTGCGCTACCACGCCCAGCTAATTTTTGTATTTTTAATAGAGACCATATTGGCCAGGATGGTCTCGAACTCCTGATCTGAAGTGATCCGCCTGGCTCAGCCTCCCCAAGTGCTGGGGTTACAGGTGCGAGCCACAGAGACTGGGCGTGTTTATCCTTTTGGGATTTATTTATTTCACTGACGATAATGTTTTCAAGGTTCATCCATGTTGCGGCCTGCGTCAGAAGTGCCTCTCTGTTTTTTGTTTGTTTGTTTGTTTGTTTGCTCATTTGACTTTGTTTTGTTTTGTGTTTCCATGGAGTCTCACTCTGTCGCACAGGCTGGAGTGCAGCGCCACAATCTGGGCTCACTGCAACCTCCGCCTCCCGGGTTCCAGCCATTCTTGTGCCTCAGCCTCCCGAGTGCTTGGTACTATAGGCACACCCCACCACACTCGTCTGATTTTTTGCATTTTCAGTAGAGACAGGGTTTCACCAGGATGGCCAGGTTGATCTTGAATTCCTGACCTCAGGTGATCCACTCACCTCGGTCTTCCAAGACGCTGCGATTTTAGGCGTGAGCCACCGCATTGGCCAGAAGTGCCTGCCTTTTTAAGGCTGAATAGTCTTCCATTATATGAAGGAACTGCAGTGTGCTTTTTCATTCATCAGTCCACGAACTCTTGGGTTGCTTCCACATTTTGGCTGTTGTGAATAATGCTGCTATGAATATGGGTGTACACAAATCTGTCTTCCACTCCTGGCTTCTAATTCTTTCTGGTAGGTACCCACGAATGCAACTTCGGGAACATCTGATCATTCTGTTTCTAATTTTTCCAGTACACGCCATACTATTTTCCCCGTTCCTTCATTGTTTTACATTCCCTCCGATCATATTCGAGCATTCCTACCTCCCTCTAGTCTCACCAATGCTTGTTTGTTTATCATATCCATCCTAATGTGTGGTATCACATTTTTGGTTTGATTTGGGCTTCCCTATGATGAGTGATTTTGAACATCATTTTAGATGCTTATTGGCCATTGCTATATCTTCTTCAGGAAGACGTCTACTCGAGTCTTCTGACCATTGTTGATGGGATGCTTTGGGTTTCTTGGTGTTTAGTTCTAGCTGTTCTTTATATATGATGGATATCAGCCTCTTTTCAGATATATGCTTTGCAAATATTTTTCCTAATCCATGGGTTATCTTTTCACTCAGTTCGCAGTGTTTTTTGCTGCACAAAAGTGTCTGTCATTTAGATGTAATCCAAGGAATCTAATTTTCTTTTGTTGCCTATGCTTTTGGTGTCATATCCCAGAGAACATTGATCAATCTGATGTCATGAAAGCGTGGCCAATGTTTTCTTCTAGGCGTATGATACTTTTAGCGCTTGGGGTGAGGTCTTTGATCCAGTTTGTGTTAATTTTTGCACCTGGTGTGACATAGGGTCCACCTTCATTCTTCTGCATGTGGAAATCAAGTTTCTCCAACACCTATTCTTGAAAAGATTGCTTTTCCACCAATGAGCTTTCTTAGCACTCATGTGAAAGATCATTTGAACACATAGGTGAGAAGTTATTTCTGGGCTCCAAAAGAAACAAACAACAACAGACAACAGATAAGGATACAGCATGGGCCGGGCGCGGTCGCTCATGCCTGTAATCTGAGCCTCTGGGAGGCCGAGGCAGGCGGATCACCTGAGGTCAGGAGTTGAAGACCAGCCTGACCGACAGGGAGAAACCCCCATCTCTGCTACAAATACAACATTAGCTGGGCGTGCTGGCACATGCCTGTAATGCCAGCTACTCGGGAGGTGGAGGCAGGAGAATCGCTTGGACCCAGGAGGCAGAGGTTGCGGTGAGCCAAGATTGCACCGTGACGCTCCAGCCTGGGCAACAAGAGCGAAACTCCATCTCAAAACAAACAAACAAAAAAAAAAAACAAAACAAAAAACCAGCATGATTTCAAGAGCAGAAAGAGAAGAGCTTAAAAACCAGCATAATGAGAAAGTTAGGAAGCTTCTTACCAAAGCATCTGGAAAGATGCAAGAAATTCTTGTGAACTAAAATTTTCATACTGTACTATCAAACACTAGAACTCACTTATTCCATCTTTCTGTATTTTGGGACCCAATTATCCACTTGTCTTCATTCCCTAACCCACCCCTTTTCTTCCCAGTGTCTGCTAACCACCTTTTTCCACCTTCCTGAGATTCCTTTTGTGTGTAGGTGTGTGATGGAGTCTCTTTCTGTTGCCCAGGTTGGAGTACGCAGGCACAATACGGCACACTGCAAGCTCCGCCTCCTGAGTTCAAGTGCTTCTTGGGCCTCAGCCCTCGGAGTAGCTGAGACTACAGGCACGCGTCACCACGCCCGGCTCATTGTTTGTGTTTTCCGTAGAGACGGGGTTTCACCATGTTGGCCAGGCAGGTCTCGAACTCCTGGACTCAAGTGATCCGTGCGACTCGGCCTCCCGGAGTGCTGGGATTACAGGCCTGAGCCACCACACCTGGCCAAGGTTTCCTTTTTTCTTCCTACATAGAAGTGAGGACTTGAAATATTTGTCATTCTGTGCATGGCTTATTTCATTTAATATACAGACCTGCAATCTCATCCATTTTGTCTGCAGCGGAGAGGAGTTTCTTCCTTTTTAGGCTGAATAATACTTCACTGGGTGTGTATACCACAGTTTCTTCATTGAAACAAATTTCTGAAGAGCAAATATTTTTAAAATGTCTCGGAATGTGAAACTTCAGGGATACTGTGCCCATTTTGTTCTTTTCTATTTCCCATCTTATGTATATGCAAGTGTATAACAAAGCAGCAATCAATGTGTGTATAAATCTATAACTTCAACAAATGTAAAATGTAAATGCTAAGTGGTGGCTGGGCGCGGTCGCTCATGCCTGTAATCCCAGCACTTTGCGAGGCGGAAACGGCCGGATCACCTGAGGTCGTGAGTTCAAGACGAGCCTGACCAAAATGGAGAAACACTGTCTCTATTAACAATACAAAAAAAAAAAAAAAATTAGCCAGGCATGTTAGCGCATGCCTGTAATCCCAGCTACTTGGAAGGCTGAGACAGGAGAATTGCTTGAATATGGGAGGCAGAGGTTGCAGTGAGCCGAGATCGTGTCATTGAACTTCAGCCTGGAAAACAAGAGTGAAACTCTGACCCAAAAAATAAGGAAAAGAAAGAAATGGAAAATGCGAAATGGTAAGAAAAAATGGCATAATAAACATTTGTGTGGTGTTGATGGACAATGCATTTGAAGATAATATTTGAGAAATCATATTACAATTATTTTCTGTTCTTACTCATTGGAGCTTGATGCCCCTAAAAACTTCATCATTGGAACCACCTCTGGTCCTTTAAAAGAAAAAAAAAATCCACATTCTCACACAGGTGCAAGAAAATGAGAATCTCAGGCATTGAGACCCAGGCCTCATCATTTGTAAGCTCCCAAGGTGAGTTGACTCAAAGCCAAGATTGAGGAACGGCGACATGGATCTCCACATAACCTGCCTAAACAGATTCTCTAGAAGCAGTTTATAAAGAAATTCCACATGAACTGTGGAAGAGGATATGAATATGATGAAGAATATGTCCTCACTTAACATCTTTGAAAGTCTCTTGGAAACTTCACCTTGAAGCAAAATTATATATAGTGAAACCACTTATTTTTCATCAACAGTATAACTACACAACTTTGAACAACCAATGGTGTTGGAGGACCTCCTGTACATTGTTTCCATAAAGTCAGTTTTCAGGGAATTCCAAAACGAAGTGAGGACTTCTTGTATATAAAAAGATGTTTGTGATTCCACCTGGATGACAGGTTATTGCTCAGAAAGTAAAAGAGGCCACCTAGGTATAGAGGATTCTGTCATGAGGTTTCTGCTAAACAAAGGATCCCAGAATCCTCACCCATTCCAGTAAAAGGCATAACGAAGAAAACAATATTCACAAAGGAAATGGGGAAAGGAATAAAAGCCATCAAGCCACAAAAAGAAAGTGACTAAGGGGCAGGGTTTGCAGATGTAGAGATTTAATGTGGTTGCCCTTTCTCACCCACACAAGAAAAAGAATGAAACAGATCATGAAATTCGACTGTTCTGCTGAGCAGCCTCCGCAGGGCACTTTGTATGTCCCTGTTTCTCAGGCTGTAGATGAAAAGGTTCAGCATGGGGGTGACCACAGCCTACATCACTGATGCCACCACTCCATTCCTAGGGGGTGGTGCCACAGCTGAAGTCAGGTACATACCAATGCCTGTTCCATCAAATCAGCAAACAACTGCTAGGTGAGAGCCACAGGTGGCGAAGGCTTTATACTTCCCATCTGATGATGAAATCCTTAGAATGGAGGGGACGATTTTATAGTAAGACCAAAGGATCCCTGAAATGGGAAGAAAACCAAACATAGTACTATCGAAATATATGAATATGCTATTGATGACGCTGTCAGAACAGGCAAGTTTGAGAAGATGAGAGGGGTCACAGACAAAATGAGAGATTTCCACATTCTTGATGATGGTGAATTGTAACACAATCGAACTGTGCAGCTGGGAATCCAACAGGCTAAGGAAAAAGGACACCAAAACGAAGAAGACACAGAGGTGAGGATTCACGATGACTGGGTAGTGCAGAGGACGACAGATGGCTACAAAGCAGTCATAGGCCATCACAGTCAGGAGCATGCCTTCTATACATGCAAAAAGGACCAAGAAAGACATCTGCGTCAGGCAGCCCGCATGAGAGATGACTCTGCTATGCGACTGCATTCCACAATCATCTTGGCAACCGTGGCCGAGGTGAAACCGATGTCAGCCCAGCACAGGTTGGAGAGGAAGAAGTACATGGGGTTGTGGAGGGGGGAGTCAGAGCGGACAGCCAGGATGCTGAGCAGGTTCCTCAGCACCGTGACCAGATACATGGACAGGGACAGGGACAGCAAAGCGAGGACCGGCTGCAGTTCTGGATCCTCTGAGAGTCCCAGGAGGAGAAATTCTCAGACCCCTGTGTGATTCCGTGGCTCTGTGTGTCTTGGACACCTTGAGAAGGAAAGAGGATTGGAAAAATAAAAGATAAAAACCAGCCCTTAATGCTGGATGCAAGCAATTCACAAGGAACATCTTCACTCTTGCGGACCATACACCGCCAGCAATGTTTCTCAGTTGTGACAATTCCAAAAATCTCAGAATTATTACGTGATTTCCTTTTTGGCTATACAAGGCTTTCTATACATACTACTTTAGAGAAAATCCACTGAAGAATATTAGAAGACCAAAACATCATATATAACAAATCCGTGATCTCAGTAAAATACGGCCTACTCTTTTCTGAAAAAATACAATGCAATGACAATGTCCTTCTCTCTTTAAGAAAAAGATCTCAGTCTAATTGAAAGGAATTAAGAAGCCATGAAATACACTCTACTTTATTCTGACACCGTGCTACAGCTTCCACTGATGTAGAATATGTAAAAGGACGACACAAGAGCTAGGACCCCATTATCTGAAAACGACATTGAACCTTATAGTTCTCAATCGGAGATCTTTTCACATGCCTGTTACTTTTCATATTTATTATCATCCTTCAGTTGTCTGACATCATTTCTTCATAAAAGTAGATGCACGCTCAAAGATGGGAGCTGTGTTTCCAAATGAATTGAATATTTAACTGTTGGCCCAGCACCATGGCTCACACCTGTAATCCCAGCACTTTGGGCTGCCGAGGCTGATGGATCACCTAAGGTCAGGAGTTCCAGACCAGCCTAGCCAATGTGGTGAAACCCCGCCTCCAGTGAAAATTAAAAAAAAATTAGCCGGGCCTTGTGGCGGCTAACCCTAGCTACTCGGGAGGCTGAAGCAGGAGAATCCCTTAGAACCTGGAAGGCAGAGATTGGACAACCTGTGATAGGATTTTTGATATCCTGGAGAGATATTGCTCCTGACAGCAGAGTGGGGGTACACCCTGTGATATTATTTGTAATATCCTAGAAAGATATTGCTCCTAATATCACAGTGGCTCTACACCCTGTGATATTAATTGTAATATCCTACAGAGATATTACTCCTAATAATACAGTGGGTGTACAGCCTGTGATATTATTCATAATATATTACAGAGATACGACTCCTGATATCACAGTGAGTGTACACCATGTTTGTACACTCTGTGATCTTATTTGTAACAACTTAGAAAAATATTACAGCTAATATCAAAGTGGGTGTACACCCTGCGATGTTATTTGTCATCCACTAGGTAGATGTTACTCCTAATATCACAGTGAGTGTACACCATGAGCGTACAGACTGTGAAATTATTCGTAATACCCTAGGAAGATATTACTCCTCATATCACAGTGGGTGTACACCGTGAGTGATATTTTTTTCTAATACCCAGCAGGGGAGAGGATGACATTGCTTTCAATATCACAGAAGGCGTACACCTCCCTGTGATATTGTTCCTAATATCCAGGAAAGGAGAGGATGACATTATTCGCAATATCACTGGGGGTGTACCACCTCCCGCCGGGATATTGTTCTTAATATCCGGAGGTGGAGAGAATGATGTTACTCCCAATATCACAGGGGGTGTACACCACCCCTGTTTGTAAACACCCCCTGTGATATTGTTCCAAATGGCCTGTGAAAGAGTAAACATGACTCCCATTATTGCGGGGGGTGTTCAGCCCTGATGATATTGTTTTCTAACATCCAGGGAAGGAGAGTATGCTATTACTTCCAATATCGCAGGGGTTGTACACCCTTTTGTGTTTTTGTGCCCAATATCCAGGAAAATAGAGGATGATATTACTCCCAATGTCGAAGTAATTGTACAGCACCCCTGTGATATTCTTCCTAATATCCCGAAAGGAAAAGAATGATATTACTCCCAACAGCGTAGCAAACGTATACCCACGCTGTGGTATCTTTCCCAGTATCCAGGTGGGGAGAGGATCATATTACTTCCAATGTCGCAGGGTGTGTACACCCCCTCTGTGATCTCGTTGCTAACATCCAGGTTTGGGGAGGACGACATTACTCCCAATATCGCAGGGGGAGTACACACCCCTGTGAAAATCTTCCTATTTTCAGAGGGAGAGAGGATAGTATTACTCCCAGTACCGCAGGGGGTATCCACAGCCCTGTGATACTCTTCCTAATATCCACAGGGAGAGAGGATGATATGACTCCCAATATCGCAGGGGGTGTACACAACCCTGTGATATTGTTCCTAACATCCAGAGCGAAAGAGGATGATATGACTCTCAATATCGCAGAGGGTGTACACCCCTCCTGTAATATTGTTCTGAATACCCTGGGAGGGAGAGAATAAGGTTACATTAAATATCGCAGGTAATGTACACCATCCGCCTCTGATACCCTTCCTAATGTCCAGGGGAAGAGAGGAAAGTTTCACTCCCAATATGACAGAGGCAGTACACCCCACCTGTGATGTTGTTCCCAATATCCAAGGGGGGAGATGATGATACTACTCTCAATATCGCAGGACTGTTCACATCCCCAGTGACATTTTTTCCTAATATCTAGGGGAGAGAGAATTATATGACAGCAAAGGTCGCAGGGTCTGTGCATCCCTTCCTGATATTGCTCCTAATATCCAGGGGGGAAGAGGATGATATCAAATATGAAAGCGGGTGTACATCCCCCACCCCTACGATATTGCTCTTAATAATCGTGAGGGGAGATGATGATATGACTCCAAATATCTCTGGGGTTGTTCACAACCCCCTGTGATATTGTGTCTGATGGGGGAGAGAAAATCATATTACTTCCAATATTGCAGGTGTTGTGTACCCCACCTGATATATGGCACCGAATATCCAAAGAGGGACAGGATGGTATTCATACCAATATCGAAGTGTGTGTACACGCCCCTTGTGATATGGTTTTTAATATCCAGTGGGCGGGAGGATGATATTAGTCCCAACATCCCAGAGGGTGTACACTACCCCTGTGATAATACTGTCCCTAACTTCCAGAGGGAAGAGGATGATATCACTCCCAATATCTCAGAAGTTGTACATCCCCCTTGATATTGTTCGTCATATCCACAGAGGAGCAGGATGACATTCCATTGAATTTCGCGACCGGCGTACACGCACAGTGTGATATTGTTCCTAATATCCAGGAAGGGAGAGGATGATATTACTCCCAATAAAGCAGTGGGTGTACATCACCCCAGTGTTATTGTCTCTAATATCCGGGGCCAGGGTAGGTGGGGAGAGGAGAACATTCCCTCAAATTTAGCAGTTGGTTTGACGCCCCTTCTGGTGTTGTTTTACATATCCAGCGGGGAAGACAATAGTACTATTTTTGATAGTCCGATTCGTCCACTGCACCTTTCCGGAATGCTGAGGTCGGGAGGCGGCATGCATTTTCCGTGTGATTCCCAATACCTTTGCCGTCTTCTGTAACAAGGCAGCCAAAAACGCAGGCCCCTTGTCTGAGCCGATCCGTAAGGGCGGTCGAAATCTAGGAATCAGGTCTCGAAGAAGCACACGGGTTACTTCACGAGCTTTCTCAGTTAGCGTTGGATAAGCCTCCACCCACCCAGAGTAGGTACACACAAGAACTAGTACATACTTGTTACCTCCACACTTTGGCATCTCTGTGAAGTCCACCTGGAGACCTTCAAAGGGGGCTGCTCCATAAGCTCCTATGCCAGGCAGAACGGCTGGACCTTGCCTCGCATCATGCTGTCGGCAGGTAACACACCGCTGCCTCACCGTTTTGGCAAGAGCTGACAAAGGCGAGATGTAGAAATACCGGCCTAACAACTTTTCCAGTGACTCCTGATGTCGATGGGTGGTTTCTTGCACAGCCAGTACAACTGCAGCTCCTAGCAGCTGTGGCACAGCTACTCTCCCATCCGGTAACCGAATCCATCCTTCCTCCATCACTTGTCCTTCCCTCTACCTGGAGAAAGTCCTTTTCTTCTTTAGAAGAAGTAGGTCCAAGATCAGGTGCTTGAGGGAACACTGCTGCCCCGAAGGGGGCAGATGCTGCTTTTCGAGCCTCTGAGTCAGCGCGGGAATTCCCCAAACCCAGCAAGGTGGAAGCTCGCTGGTGTCCCCTGCAATGCATAACTGCCACCTTGTGGGGTTTCCATACTGCTTCTAATCATTGCAAGATTTCTTGTTGACATTTTCTGTCTTTCCCCCAAGAGTTCAATAGGCCTTTTTCTTTCTATCACACTCCATGCACTTGAAGGGTTCAAAAGACATACCGAGAATCAGTGTAAATGTTGACAGTCTCACCCTCACTGAGTTCTAAGGCCCGAATGAAAGCAATGAGTTCAGCTTTCTGGGCTGATGTGGCCTGGGACAACGATCTGGCTTCAACAACAGTGTCCAGGGTTATCACTGCACACCCTGCACCTCTCTCTCCTTGGGGGTTGAAGAAGCTACTCCCATCCACGTATAGTTCCCAGTCTACTGATGCCCAAGGCTGGCCCCGGAGGTCAGGTCTGCTAGAGTCAATTGTGTCCAACACTTCTACACAACGAGGCTCGACGGGGCTCTCTGATACCGGGAGCAAGGTGGCGGGGTGTAGGCTGTTACAAACTTCAATGGTTATACGGGGATTTTCACAGAGCCAAGTCTGGTACTGGGTGAGTCTGGCATTCGTTAGCCAATGATGTCCTTTAGTATTCATTAAAGTCACCACAGCACGGGAGGCCTTTATGTTCAGGTTTTGCTCAAGAGTCAGCTTATTTGCTTCTTGTACTCGCAGGGCAGTTGCTGCCAAGGCCTTCCAACAGGGGGGCCATCCTTTAGAAACCCCGTCTAGTCGTTTAGAGAGGTAGGCCACCCGCCTAGGCCTGGGCCCCACAGTTTGGGTTCAAAGTCCAGCAGCCATCTTTTCTCTCTCTGATGCATACAGTGGAAAAGGCTTTGTCAGATCGGGTAGCCCCAGGGCTGGGGCTGCCAGAAGTTTTTCCTTTAACTCATGAAAGCCTTGCTGTTGTTGGGATCTGCATTCCAAAGGTTCCTCGTCCCCGCCCCCTTTGTGACCTCATACAAAGTCTTGGCTAATACTGCAAAGTTTGGGATCCACAGTTTACGAAACCCCACAGCTCCTAAGAATTCTCTCACCTGCCTTCTGCTCTTAGGCTCTGCTAGATTGCAAATGACCTGCTTTCATTCTGATCCCGGGCTGCGTTCCCACCCGTCAGATAGTCAATCCCAAGGAACGTACCTGCTGTCGGCAGATCTGAGCTTTCTTCTTGGACACCTTACACCCACAGTCCTCCAGGTGCCAATGTAGGGCATCTGTTCCCTTGGCACACCCGACTGCCGTGGGGTGTCCCAGCAGAAGGTCATCAACCTACTGGAGCAACACGCAGCCTAGGTCTCTGCTGGGAAACTTCTGGAGGTCTCGAGCCCACGCCTCCCCGAAGATGGTGGGGGAGTTCTTGAACCCTTGTGGAAGCCCGGTCCAAGTGTACTGAGTAGTGACACCTGGCTCCGGATCTTCCCACTGAAAGGCAAACAGCTTCTGCCTCTCTGGGGCTAATCTGATAGGAAAGAAAGCGTCTTTCGGGTCCAAGCAGGTGAACCCGCTGTCCTTAGCTGGCAGCAAACCCAACAATGTGGACGGGTTAGGTACTGTTGGATGGAAAGTCAGTGTAGCTTGATGAAGCAAGCGCAAATCCTGTACCTGACTGTAGTCCTTGGTCCGTGGCTTGGGAAAAGGCAGGAGGAGAGTGTTGCATGGAGACTGACAAGGAACAATAATTCCAAAAGTTCTTAGGTGCTTGAGACGGACCTGGATACCTTGAAGGGCTTCTCTGGGGACCGGGTCCCGCTTTTTCCTCACCGGCTGGGCCCCAATCTTAACTGGCCAATCCCGGAGGGTTGTCTTCTGCCCGTACTCTTGGCCACCGCTTAGTCAGAGCTGGTCTTCTCTCTTGGCCCGGCTCAGTTAAGAAAAGTCTCCATTCCTCCTCTCGGGGGAACATAAGGGTCACAATGACTCCCGCTCCGGGTAACTTTAGCAGCAAAGAGCTGTGCTCTGTCAAAGAGATAGTGGCTCTCAGCTTGCTGAGCAAGTCCTTTCCCAAAAAGGTCAAGGGACAGTCACGCATGTACCAAAACTGATGAATGACTGAATGTCCTCCTACAGTACAAGTCCAAGACAAGCAGAAAGCTTGCTTTGTTGAAACCCTCATTGCTCCGATGACGTCAATAGTCTTTTTGGATAAGGGGGCGACCGGGGCGGTTACTAGCGAATGTTCAGCACCGCTATCTACAAGAAAGTCAATGTCTCCACCCCCGACTGTCATTCTGACCACAGGCTCTTTGGGGACGCTTGAGCCCGGTCTCCCTCAGTCCAAGAACCCTTCTGCCAGGTTGAGCAGGGCCCCTTCCTCCTTGTCCGGGGCCTCCTGCTCTGAGTCACCTTGTTTTCTTTTGAGCTGAGGGCATTTGTTCTTCCACTGTCCTATTTCTTTACAATAAGCACACTGGTTACGCTGCAAACTCTGACAGCCAAGCTGAGTTTCCTTCCCAGGACCCCCCTTCCCTTGCCTCTTTGGGGGGGCCCCTCTGATTGCTGCAGCTGACAAACAGGTCGACGTGTCACCGGGCCTGACCTCCATTCTCTTTGCCATTTTCCTTAGGGCTTACTGCATCCCTGTTTACAAACACCTGGCTAGCTATTTCTAGTAATTGTGATGGATTCATCCCTGCAAGCCCAGCCTGTTTCTGCAGTTTTCTTCTCATGTCTTCTGCGCTTTGACGGACTAAAGCCATGTGAATCATACGCTGATTTTCAGGGCTATCGGGATCAAAGGGAGTATACATACGATAGGCCTCACACAGTCTCTCGTAGAATTGTGCCGGACTTTCTTCTTTTCCCTGAATGACCTCAGAGAGCTTGTTAACGTTCGTGGCCTTCTGAGCTCCCCTCATTAATCCTTCCAAGAGAGCTTCCCTGTCTCATTTAGCCTTTGCATATCCTCTCTTTCATGTGGGTCCAAATGGGGGTCTGTTCCTGGCAACTGGGTCCTTCCATGCTCTTGGGGGTTTTGATAATCAGCTGGTGCATGTTCCTCTAGCCACTTAGTTGCTGCTTGGAGGACTCTCCGCCTTTCTTCGCTGTTAAAGAGGAACACGAGCAACTGGTGCCAATCAGCCAAGGTGGGGCTGTGGGTCTGGATAACAGCTTGGAGAAAATCAATTAGGGCTTGTGGCTTTTCGGTATAGGGCGGTGTATTGTTTTTCCAGTTGAGAAGGTCGACACAGGTGAAGGGCTGGTAGCCAAAAGCACGCCTCTCCACCACGTGACCATCCTCATCTATCCCAGTATACCGCTGCTCTCTCAGGGGCATTTGTGTCCCCGTTTTGCGTCTCAAACGAGCTGCCAAGGGAGGGGTGGAATGGCGCAATGCGACTTACCGCAATTAATAATCTCACTTATTAATTGACACTACTAATTATCAATATTAATAACCGATAATATAATTTTAAAAATCAACACCGATAATAATGATAATTAATATTAGAGAGTTATACTAACGATAACAATAAATGATTAATATTAATGATTAATGATGCCTGATATTAATAACTGATATTGACCTTATTCATTAGAAAACAGTCATATTAGCCCCTAATAGTTAATATTAATATTGGGAAAACTTTTTATTAGCAATTATTTAATATGAATATTAATATCGGTCATTCATATTCATGTTAATAATAAATGAGGAATAATTCATAGTAATATTACTCCCTAATACCTCAGTGGGTGCACACCCACCTGTGATATTGCTCCTAATGTCCAGGGAGAGAGAGAGCATGATATTACGTTCAATATCGCAGTACGTGTACACCCACCGGTGATATTGATCCAAATATAATCTCCAGGGGGTGGAGTATGACGTTACTCACAATATAGCACTGGGTGTGCATCCACCCGGTGAATTTGCTCCTAATATTCACAGAAGAAGAGCATGCTATTACCCCCAACATCGCAGGAAGTGTACACCCCCGTATGAGATGGTCTTTAAAAATATTCCAAGGAGCAGGACATGATATGACAACATATATGGCAGAAAGTGGACACCCCCAAGGATATCGTTCCCATGATCCTGGAAAGTAGAGGATAATATTAGTTTCAATATCACAGAAGGTGGACACGCCCCCAATGATATTGTTTCTAATTGCAACGTGGAAGTGGAGGACATGACACCCGATATCCCAGGGAGTAGAAACACCCCTGTGATATTGTTCCTAATATTGAGGGAGGAAGAGGATGATATGACTCCCAATACAGACCGGTGTACAACCTCTGTACACAAAGGGTGTACACCGGTCTGTGAAACAGTTCAAAATCCCCAGAGCGGGAGATGATATTACTCACAATACGATAAACAGGCTGTGAGTCCATCGCGGGTCCTAAGAGCCAGGCGGGCAAGAGGGGCTGGCTCTCACTCTCCGCACCGGGAGTACATCCCCCCGTGACCTTGTTAGTCATTTCCTGGGTGGAGAGGATGATCTTACTGCCAATATTGCAGGGCTTGAACACACCCCTGTGAAAATCTTCCTATTTTCAGAGGGAGAGAGGATGATATTACTCCCAGGACCGCTGGGGGTTTCCACAGCCCTGTGATACTCTTCCTAATATCCACAGGGAGAGAGGATGATATGACTCCCAATATCGCAGGGGGGGTACAGAACCCTGTGATATTGTTCCTAATATCCCGAGCGAAAGAGGATTATATGACTCTCAATATCGCAGAGGGTGTACACCCCTCCTGTAATATTGTTCTGATTACCGTGGGAGGCAGAGGATAAGGTTACGTTGAATGTCGCAGGGAATGTACACCCTCCCCCTCTGATACCCTTCCTAATGTCCAGGGGAAGAGAGGAAAATTTCACTCCCAATATCACAGAGGCAGTACACCCCACCTGTGATATTTTTCCCAGTATGCAAGGGGAGAGGATGATACTACTCTCAATATCGCAGGGCTGTTCACATCCCCAGGGACATTTTTTCCTAATATCTATGGGAGAGAGAATTATATGACAGCAAAGGTCGCAGGGTCTGTACATCCCTTCCTGATATTGTTCCTAATATCCAGGGGGAAAGAGGATGATATCAAACATGAAAGGGGGTGTACATCCCCCACACCTACGATATTGTTCTTAATAATCGTGAGGGGAGAGGATAATATTACTCCAGATATCCCAGGGATTGTTCACCCTTTTGTGTTTTTGTGCCCAATATCCAGGAAAATAGAGGATGATGTTACTCCCAATGTCGAAGTAATTGTACAGCACCCCTGTGATATTCTCCCTAATATCCAGAAAGGAAAAGAATGATATTACTCGCAACAGCGTAGGAAATGTATACCCGCGCTGTGTTATCTTTCCCAGTATCCAGGTGGAGAGAGGATCATATTACTTCCCATGTCGCAGGGTGTGTACACCCCCTCTGTGATTTCGTTGCTAACTTCCAGGTTTGGGGAGGAAGACCCAGATCTCCACCCACCCAGAGTAGGTGCGCCCAAGAACTAGTACATACTTGTTACCTCCACACTTTGGCATCTCTGTGAAGTCCACCTGGAAACCTTCAAAGGGGGCTGCTCCGTAAGCTCGTATGCCGGGCGGAACGGCTGGACCTTGCCTCCCATCATGCTGTCGGCAGGTAACACACCGCTGCCTCACCGTTTTGGCAAGGGCTGACAAAGGTGAGATGTAGAAATACCGGCCTAACAACTTTTCCAGTGACTCCTGACCCCGATGGGTGGTTTCTTGCACAGCCAGTACAACTGCAGCTCCTAGCAGCTCTGGCGCAGCTACTCTCCCATCTGGTAACCGAATCCATCCTTCCTCCATCAGTTGTCCTTCCCTCTACCTGGAGAAAGTCCTTTTCTTCTTTAGAAGAAGTAGGTCCAAGATCAGGTGCTTGAGGGAGCACTGATGCCCCGAAGGGGGCAGATGCTGCTTTTCGAGCCTCTGAGTCAGCGCGGGAATTCCCCAAGCCCACCAAGGTGGAAGCTTGCTGGTGTCCCCTGCAATGCATAACTGCCACCTTGCGGGGTTTCCATACTGCTTCTAATCATTGCAAAATTTCTTGTTGATATTTTCTGTCTTTTCTGCCAGAGTTCAATAGGCTCTGTTCTTTCTATCATGCTCCATGCACTTGAAGGGTTCAAAAGACATACCGAGAATCAGTGTAAATGTTGACAGTCTCACCCTCACTGAGTTCTAAGGCCCGAATGAAAGCAATGAGTTCAGCTTTCTGGGCTGACGTGGCCTGGGGCAATGATCTGTCTTCATCAACAGTGTCCAGGGTTATCACTGCATACCCTGCACCTCTCTCTCCTTGGGGGTTGAAGAAGCTACTCCCATCCACGTATAGTTCCCAGTCTACTGATTCCTAAGGCTGGCCCCGGAGGTCAAGTCTGCTAGAGTCAACTGTGTCCAACACTTCTACACAACCAGGCTCGACAGGGCTCTCTGATACCGGGAGCAAGGTGGTGGGGTGTAGGCTGTTACAAACTTCAATGGTTATACGGGGATTTTCACAGAGCCAAGCATGGTACTGGGTGAGTGTGGCATTCATTAGCCAATGATGTCCTTTAGTATTCATTAAAGTCACCACAGCACAGGAGGCCTTCATTTTCAGGTTTTGCCCAAGAGTCAGCTTATTTGCTTCTTGTACTCGCAGGGCGGTTGCTGCCAAGGCCCTCCAACAGGGGGACCATCCTTTAGTAACCCCGTTTAGTTGTTGAGAGAGGTAGACCACCGGCCTCGGCCAGGGCCCCACAGTTTGTGTTCAAAGTCCAGCAGCCATCTTTTCTCTCTCTGATGCACACAATGGAGAAGGCTTTGTCAGATCGGGTAGCCCCAGGGCTGGGGCTGCCAGAAGTTTTTCCTTTAACTCATGAAAGCCTTGCTGTTGTTGGGATCCGCATTCCAAAGGTTCCCAGTCCCCGCCCCCTTGGTGACCTCATACAAAGTCTTGGCTAATACTGCAAAGTTTGGGATCCACAGTTTACAAAACCCCACAGCTCCTAAGAATTCTCTCACCTGCCTTCTGCTCTTAGGCTCCGCTAGATTGCAAATGACCTGCTTTCATTCTGATCCCGGGCTGCGTTCCCACCCCTATCGGATAGCAAATCCCAAGTAATGTACATGTTGTCGGCAGATCTGAGCTTTCTTCTTGGACACTTGATACCCACACTCCTCCAGGTGCCGGTGTAGGGCATCTGTTCCCTTGGCACACCCGACTGCCGTGGGGTGTCCCAGCAGAAGGTCATCAACCTACTGGAGCAACACGCAGCCTAGGTCTCTGCTGGGAAACCTCTGGAGGTCTCGAGCCCACGCCTCCCCGAAGATGGTGGGGGAGTTCTTGAACCCTTGGGGAAAGTTGGTCCAAGTGTACTGAGTAGTGACACCTGACTCCGGATCTTCCCACTGAAAGGCAAACAGCTTCTGCCTCTCTGGGGCTAATCTGATAGGAAAGAAAGGGTCTTTCGGGTCCAAGCAGGTGAACCCGCTGTCCTCAGCTGGCAGCAACCCCAACAATGTGGACGGGTTAGGTACTGTTGGATGTAAAGTCAGTGTAGCTTGATGAAGCAAGCGCAAATCCTGTACCGGCAGGTAGTCCTTGGTCGGTGGCTTGGTAACAGGCAGGAGGGGAGTGTTGCATGGAGACTGACAAGGAACAATAATTCCAAAAGTTCTTAGGTGCTTGAGACGGACCTGGATACCTTGAAGGGCTTCTCTGGGGATCGGGTCCTGTTTTTGCCTCACCGGCTGGGCCCCAGTCTTAACCGGCCAATCCTGGAGGGTTGTCTTCTGCCCGTACTCTTGGCCACCGCTTAGCCAGAGCTGGTCTTCTCTCTTGGCCCGGCTCAGTTAAGAAAAGTCTCCATTCCTCCTCTCGGGGGACCTTAAGCATCATAATGACTCCCGTTCCGGGTAACTTGAGCAGCAAAGAGCCGTGCTCTGTCAAAGAGATAGTGGCTCTCAGCTTGCTGAGCAAGTCCCTTCCCAAAAAGGTCGAGGGACAGTCACGCATGTACCAAAACTGTTGAATGACTCTGTGTCTTCCTACAGTACAAGTCCGGGACAAGCAGAAAGCTTGCTTTCCTGAAACCCCCGTGACTCCGATGATGTCAATAGTCTTTCTGCAAAAGGGGGTGACCGTGGCGGTTACTAGCGAATGTTCAGCACCGCTATCTACAAGAAAATCAATGTCTTTACCCCCGACTGTCATTCTGACCAGAGACTCTTTGGGGACAGTTGAGCCCGGTCTCCCTCAGTCCAATAACCCTTCTGCCAGGTTGAGCCGGGCCCCTTCCTTCTTTCTGGGGCCTCCTGCTCGGAGTCACCTTGTTTTCTTTTGAGCTCAGGGCATTTGTTCTTCCACTGTCCTATTTCTTTACAATGAGCACACTGGTTACGCTGCAAACTCTGACAGCCAAGCTGAGTTTCTTTCCCAGGACCCCCCTTCCCTTGCCTCTTTGGGGGGGCCCCTCTGATTGCTGCAGCTGACAAACAGGTCATCGTGTCGCCGGGCCTGACTTCCATTCTCTTTGCTGTTTTCCTTAGGGCTTACTGCATCCCTGTTTACAAACACCTGGCTAGCTATTTCTAGTAATTAGCTAGCAGTAACAGCTAATTCTAGCCTGTTTCTGCAGTTTTCTTCTCATGTCTTCTGCGCTTTGACGGACTAAAGCCATGTGAATCATACGCTGATTTTCAGGGCTATCGGGATCAAAGGGAGTATACATACGATAGGCCTCACACAGTCTCTCGTAGAATTGTGCTGGACTTTCCTCTTTTCCCTGAATGACCTCAGAGACCTTGTTAACGTTTGTGGCCTTCTGAGCTCCCCTCATTAATATTTCCAAGAGAGCTTCCTTGTCTCAGTTTAGCCTTTGAATCTCCTCTCTTTCATGTGGGTCCAAATGGGGTCGGTTCCTGACACCTGGGTCCTTCCATACTCTTGGGGGTTTTGATAATCAGCTGGTGCATGTTCTTCTAGCCACTTAGTTACTGCTTGGAGGACTCTCCGCCTTTCTTCGCTGTTAAAGAGGAACATGAGCAACTGGTGCCAATCAGCCAAGGTGGGGTTGTGGGTCTGGATAACAGCTTGGAGAAAATCAATTAGGGCTTGTGGCTTTTCGGTATAGTTCTGTGTATTGTTTTTCCAGTTGAGAAGGTTGACGCAGGTGATGGGCTGGTAGCCAAAAGCACGCCTCTCCACCAAGTGACCATCCTTATCTATCCCAGTATACCGCTGCTCTCTCAGGGGCATTTGTGTCCCCGTTTTGGGTCGTAAACGAGCTGCGGAGGGAGGGTGGAATGGTGCAACGTGACTTACCACAATTAATAATCTCAATTATTAATTGACACTAATTATCAATATTAATAACTGATAATATAATTTTTAAAATCAATACCGATAATAAGGATAATTAATATTAGTTATACTAATGATAACAGTAAATGATTAATATTAATGATTAATGATGCCTGATATTAATAACTGATATTGATCTTATTCATTAGAAATATTAGCTACAAATAATTAATATTAATATTAATAATCTGAAAATATTATATTAGCAATTATTTCTTAATATTAATATTAATACCTGTCATTCATATTCATGATAATAATAAATGAGGAATAATTCATACTAATATTACGCCTAATAACTCAGTGGGTGTACACCCACCTGTGTTATTGCTTCTAATGTCCAGGGAGGGAGAGAGCATGATATTACGTTCAATATCGCAGTAGGTGTACACCCAGCCGGTGATATTGATCAGAATATAATCTCCAGGGGGTGGAGTATGACGTTACTCCCAATATAGCACTGGGTCTGCATCTACCCCGTGATATTGCTCCTAATATTCACGGAAGAAGCATCTGATATTACTCCCAATATCGCAGGAAGTGTACATCCCCATGTGAGATGGTCCTTCAAAATATTCCAAGGCGTAGGGGGTCATATGACTACATATGTGGCACAAAGTGGACACCCCCCAGGGATATTGTTCCCATGATCCTGGAGGGAAGAGGATAATATTACTTTCAATATCACAGAAGGTGGACACGCCCCGACTGATATTGTTTCTAATTGCAACGTGGGAGAGGAGGATATGACACGCGATATCCCAGGGAGTAGAAACACCCCTGTGATACAGTTCTTAATATTCAGGGAGGAAGAGGAAGATACTACATTCAATACAGACGGGTGTACACCCTCTGTACACCGAGGGTGTACACCCATCTGTGAAACAGTTCATAATCTCCAGAGCGGGAGATGATATTACTCACAATAAGGTAAATAGGCTGTGAGTCCACCGCGGATCCTAAAATCCAGGGGGGCAAGAGGGGCTGGCTCTTACTCCTTGCATCGCGGGGGGTACCTCACCCCCCTGCGATTTGCATCGTCATATCCAGGGGGCGAGAGGGGGGTGATATTTCTCCCCGATTTTTCCTAGAATCCTGTTTATACTGCCACCCTCGGTTGACACCCTGGGACACTATCTTCCATATTCTAGCAAGATGCAGCTGCTAAAGTCGCAGGGGGTATACACCCTTCAATATTATTCGTAATTTTGTAGGGGAATGTTCAACCTGATGTCACAGGACTGTGTACACTGTGATATTATTCCCAATATTCTAGCTTTAGCTTCATAATAATGTCACTTTGTATGTCCATCTGGTGCTGGTATTCTTATTCTCCTAAGTGGAGGTTGCCTTTATTGTCACATGGGGTATGTTCCTTTTGATATTATTCATAATGTCCTAGATGGATGTCACCCCTTATGTCACAGGGGGTGTACATCTTGTCAAATTACTCGTATTATCCTCATAAAATGTCACTCCTCATATCACAGAGGGTGTACACTCTGTGATATTGTCGTCATATTCTAGGGAAATGTTACTGCTAATGTCACAGGGAGTGTAGACCCTGTCCTAAAATTCCTAATATCCTAGCGGGAGTTCACTGCTTATTTCACAATGCGTGTACACCCTTTGATATTATTCGTATTGTCCTGCATTGATGTCCCAATGCAGGTACATTCTCTGGTCGTATTCGTTATATCCTCGGGGTATGTTACTTCTAATGTCACACGAGGTGTATTCCCTGTGTTCTATTTGGTAATATCCTAGGGCAATTTTACTTTTAATGACACAGGGGGTGTACACATTGTGATGTTATTTGTGATATTCTAGAAAGATGTTACTCCTAATATCACAGGGCTTTACACCCTGTGATAGTATTCATAATTTCCCAGTGGTCTATACTCCTATTGGCACAGACGATAACACCCTGTGACATTATTCGTAATATTCTAGCGAGATGATACTCCTCATGTCACAGGGGGTGTACACCCCGTGTTATTATTCTTACTATTCTAGGGGGACGTTACTCCTAATGTCACAGGGATGTACACCCTGTGATATTATTCATAGTGTACCAGAGGGATATTAGCGCTAATGTCACGATGCGTGTACACCTTGTGATATTATTTGTCATATCCTAATGTCACAGGAGGTGTGTTCCGTGTGATATTCTTTCTAACATCCTAGACGGATGTTGCTCCTAACGTCACAGGGTGTGTACATCTTGTCACATCATTCACAATATCCTAAAACTATGTTATTCCTCAGGTCACAGGGGGTGTTCACCCTGTGATATTTTTCATCATTGTTTTGTGGGATGTTACTCCTAAAGTCACACGGGGTGTACACAGAGTCACACAGTGATATGAGTTGTAATATTCTATAGACATATTACTCGTAAATCACAGGGGCTGTACCTCCTGTGATATTATTCATAATATTCTAGGGAAATGTTGCTACTATTGTCATGGGGGTGTACACCCTGTGATATGACTCGTCATATCCCAGCGAGATGTTACTACTGATGTCCCAATGCCTGTACACCCTGTGATATTATTTGTAATATCCCAAAGAGACGTTACTACTAAGGTCACAATGCATGTGCACCCTCTGATGTTATTCGTTATATCCTCGGGGGATGTTACTCCTAATGTCACAAGGGGTGTACTCCCTGTCATATTATTCATAATATCCAAGGGGGATGTTATTTTTAATGTCACCTGGGGTGACATGATGCGTTAAGAATGCGTATTCAACCCCTGTGATACTATTCCTAATATCCTAGTGGCATGCTCTTCCGAATGTCACATGGGGTGTACACCATGTGTGTACACCTGCTCTGATATTATTCGTAATATCCTAGGGGAATGTTACTCCTGATGACACAGGTGGTGTACACCATGTGTGTACCCCTTCTGTGTTATTATTCATAATATCCTAGGGGGATGTTTCTCTTAATGTCACAAAGAGTGTACAAAATGTCACAGGAGGTGTACACGTTGTGACGTTATCTGTAATACCCTAGAAGGATGTTACTCGTAATATGTCACAGGGGTGTACATGCTTTGATGTTATTTATAATCTCATAGAGCGATATGACTTCAAATATCACAGTGGATGTTCACACATAGTGTATACCCTGTGACAGTATTCATAATATAGTAGGGAGACACAACTCCTGATATCACAGTGCGTGTACCCCGTGTGTGTACACCCTTGATATGAGTCGCGATATCCAGGGTAAATATGACTCCTCATATCACACAGTGTGCACACCCTGTGATATTTTTCATCCTACTTTAGGGAGATATTGCTTCTAATATCACAGTGGGTGTACCCCACGTGTGTGTACTCTGTGACAGTATATTCTATATCCTAGGGAGGTATTACTCGTAATGTCACAGTGGGTGTTCACCCTGTGATATCATTCTTGTTTGACCTTGCTGCCTTTTTTAACCCACACTACAAAAGGAATGGAACAGATAAGAAGGTCTTGAGATTAGACCGTGCTGCCGTGCGGCTGCCGCAGGACACTTTTAATATCCCTGTTTCTCAGGCTGTAGATGGAGGGGTTCAGCATGGGGGTGACCATCTTGTACATCAGTGAGGCCACTGCAGCCTTTCTCAGGGAAGATGACACATCTGAACTGAGGTACCCTCCAATGCCTGTTCCATAAAATCAGCAAAAAACTGACAGGTGAGACCCACAGGTGGAGAAGGTTTATACTTCCCACCTGATGACGAAACCCTCAGAATGGAGGAAACAATTTTAGAGTAAGAGAAAAGGGTCCCCGAGATGGGAAGGAAACCAAATACGGCAGCAGGGAAATACATGATGATGTTATTGGTGAAGGTGTCACAACATGCAAGATGGGGGAGTTGAGAAGGATCACAGAAGAAATTAGGAATTTCCACATCCTTGAAGCAGGTCATTTGTAAGGCAATCATGTTGTGCAGCTGGGCGTCTAAAAGACCGAGAAAAAAAAAAGACAACAAAAGTAAGAAGCCACAGAAACACGGGTTCATGATGGCTGAATGATATAGAGGGTGACAGATGGCTACAAACCGGACATAGGCCATCACATTCAGGAGCATGTGTCTCTTCCATGCCTCCAAAAATGGCAAAGAGAGACATCTGAGTCAGGCAGCCTGCATAGGAGATGACTGCTGTGAGATTGGATGTCCACAACCATCTTGGGGACCGTGGGGGAGGGGAAACCGATGTCAGGCAAGGACAGGTTGGAGAGGAAGAAGTACATGGAAGTGTGGAGGTGGGAGTCAGGGCTGACGGCCAGGATGATGAGCAGGTTCCCCAGCACCGTGACCAGGCACATGGACAGGAACAGCCCAGCAAGGACCGGCTGCAGTTCTGGATCCTCTGAGAGTTTGAGGAGGAGGAATCGAGAGACATCCGTTACATTCTGTGGGTCTGTAGAGTTTGGACACCTTTTGCCTAGAAAAGAGGGTTGAAAAATCGGAAACAAGTAAACCAACACCCAGCATTGTGTCTGCATTTTGGATAGAAGCAATTCACAAGTCATGTTTTCAGATTTCAGAGCAATCCACTCAGCAATATTTTGCAGTTCTGACAAACTCAATTGTCTTCTCATGCTTTCTTCATTGATTTCTGTGCTATTCACTTGCTGTACACACCTGCCTTAGAGACACTAGATTCAAGAATGTTCCAAGAACCAGATCATCATATCTAACAAATTCGTAATTGCTAGAAAATACAGCCTATGTTTTCCGAAGAAAAATATGTAATGAAACCGTTCTCTTCACTTTAAGAAAATGGTTATCCTAATTAAAGGAAATTAAGAACTCAAATATTTTATTTGATTCGAAAAGATTGATACAAATTCCCTTGATGTAGAACATTTGTAAACACTGTATAACAGCTGAGACCATGCCATCTGGAAATGAAATGAAAGTTGATAGTTCCTCAGCAGAAAATAGTTCCACATGCCAGTTAGGTCCTAGTGATTTCGTCATTACGTTTTCTGACTTTTCTCTTTCAAGAGAGTAATTGCTTCCTCCAATCTGTGGGTCTTGTTTTAAAATTCATGGAAGCTATAACTCCTGTCCTTAGCTTAGGTGGACTTGGAGTTCTCATCAGAAAGTTTGGCCGGACGCCGTGGCTCACGCCTGTGATCCCAGCACTTTGGGAGGCGGAAGAGGGCAGATCACGTGGTCAGGAGATCAAGACCATCCTGGCCAACATGGTGAAACCCTGCCTCTATTAAAAATACCAAAACGTCACCCGGTATGGTGGCATGCGCCTGTAGTCCCAGCTACTCAGGAGGCTGAGGCAAGAGAATGGCTTGAACCTGGGAGGCAGAGGCTACAGTGAGCCGACATCACACCACTGCACTCCAGCCTGGGCAACAAGAGCAAAACTCCGTCTCAAAAAACAAACAACAAAAAGAATCAAGTAAGTCGAAGTCACACGGATGACAGCCAATTTTTGTGAACCAAGGAAGCGTCAATTCAATAATTCACATCGATTGTTACTTTTGCTATCTCCTATGTGCCAAGCAAGATATCGGCTCTGGGGAATCAGAAACAAAAGAGACTCACTTGTTCCTCACAATACTCAGTACTTACTGAGATAAGGACAAAATAAAATGTCCTGTCTGGAATGCAGGGAAACCAGAACTTTGGCTCAGGGGATATTTCTGTTGAATTGTGTGGAGTTGAAGCTTAAAATATTAACGAATGTATCTAAAATTCACTTTGCCTTGACTTTATGCATCCATCACATAGAGATCACGCAGCGGGCACCCACGATCTGTTTAATCATCGCTCGCTTCCATTGGATCAACTAGAAATCAACTCAGATGAGAGTGCTGAGTCCAGGCTGGAGTGCAGTGCAGTGATCTCGGCTCACTGCAACCTCCGCATCCCAGGTTCAAGCTATTCTCTTGCCTCAGCCTGCCCAGTAGCTGAGAATACAGGCGCTCGCCACTACACCCAGCTCATTTTTTTCTGTTTTTAGTAGAGACGGGGTTTCACCATGTTGGCCAGGCTTGTCTTGAACACCTGACCTTGTGATTCGCCTGCCTCAGCCTCCCAAAGTGCTGGGATTACAGGCGTGAGCCACCGCGCCCAGCTTCAAAATGTTTTAAGCAGAGCTCAGAGGTCTTAACCACAGGCACATCAGAGGAGCATTTTTGAACTGGTTTCCAGCTTCCTCAATAGGAATGGAAGCCAAACTCCGAATTGATGACTCCTTTGAGGAAGTCGAGAGCTGTAAGGAAAGCCAGGAACAGGGGCAAGGGAGAGATGCGTCCCGAATGATCCTGTGCCAATTCTTTCTGGAATCTTTGACACAGTGATTGTGGCACCCACTGGTCTAGCTGTGGTCTCCAAGGAACCCCCAAAGGGAAGGGCACAGTGAGCAGGGGCATCGTCCTGAGTGACAAGGATTTGAGAGGGCAGGTTGGATGCAGGGAGAGGACTGGCCAAATGCCATGTGTCTGGCCTTAGACTGCCTGGTTCAAGTTGGACTTCACCCTTTTTGACTTCAAGATCTGGTGCAAGTTCTATGAAAATGCGTTGCTCCTTTTCTTGTCTGTAAAATCATCATGAAATGTGCACTCATAACTGGGAGACTACGCAGATGAAATGAAACAAGCTGCATAGAGCACAGAGCTCAGAGCCTGTCCTTTAGGAAGCCCTCAGTTAAGGGTTCATGATGCCATGGTGTCTGTCATGATCCTCTATCCTCATCATCACCTTCATCATCTTTTTGTTGTTCTGAGGGAACAGTTTAGAGGGACTCATTCCCTGCTATCATGGGTGAGATGTCTATGAAAAGGACAACCAGTGGGAGAGGAAAGCAAAATTTTAAAGAAGATTTCTGAGAGAGACCCCCCACCACAACCAAGAACAGAATCTCCACACTCTGCTGAGCTAACAGTTTGCACATTGGTCTCCTCCCATCTGCCCACCACACTCTCCTGTTTGTCCTGAGGAGGAGGAAACCAAACAAGGCTCCCGACCATCCCTCAGCACTCACTGAACCGCCCTTCCCCTCGGCTGGGCCATGACCACGGAGAACAGGTCCACTGTCCTCCCTGCGGGGTGCACGTTGGAGGCTCAGACTCCATCCTCAAGGCTGGCAAGAAGACAGGGTGAGACAGAAGCCTCCTGATACAGGTGATGGGTGTGGAGCCCACAGTACTGGAATCTCACACTGCAGGGCTGGAGGCACAGACTGACTATTTACTATTCTATGGCCTGGGGGGCTCAAGGCACAGAGCTCCTCATTAGCCAAAGTCACCCATGTTCCCCAAACTCTAAGGATTTCCTCAATATTGCATGAAGAACAAGAGAAAAGTGAGTGTCCATAGAAGCTTTGGGGTTCTTCCTCTCATCAGGAGAAAGTTTGTGTGGATTATTCGCTTCCTTCTTTTCTTTTTAAAGATCCAACTGCTTTCATTTTCAGCTTTTATGATGGGAAAATATACCACGTATAAATATTAAAAATTATAAATATATTTTATTTCATATAGAATGGCCAGTATCAACATTGACAATTTCCACTATTTCTCAGTTTACAGTTTAATCACATTAAGTACATTCACATTGTTTAGCAACCATCGCTGCCGTCATCTCCAGAACAGTTTTATCTTTCAAAATGGAAATTACGCCCATTAACCAAACTCTCCGTTCCTCTCTCTCGCCCACCCCTGGGGGCCACCATTCTATTTAGCAACTCTATGAGTTTAACTACTCTAGACCCTTGATATAAGTGGAATTATACTGTGTTTAATTTTTTTTGTTGCTGTTGTTTTGGAGACAGAGTCGTTCTCTGTCACCCAGGCTGGAGTGCAGTGGCCTGGTCTCGGCTCACTGCAACCTCCACATTGTGGGTTCAGGTGATTCTTGTGTCTCAGTCTCCCGAGTAGGTGGGATTACAGGCGTGTGCCACCACGCCTAGCTAATTTTTGTATTTTTAATAGAGATGAGCTTTCCCCATATTGGCCAGGCTGGTCGCGAAATCCTGACCTTAAGTGATCCGCCTGCCTCAGCCTCCCAAAGTGCTGGGGTTACAGGTGCAAGCCACTGAGCCTGGCTGTGTTTATCCTTTTGGGATTTATTTATTTCACTGACGATAATGTCTTCAAAGTTCATCCGTGTTGCAGCCTGTGTCAGAAGTGCCTGTCTGGTTTTTCGGGGGTTTTTTTGTTTGTTTGTTTGTTTGATTTTGTTTTGTTTTGTGCTTACATGGATTCTCACTCTGTCGCACAGGCTGGAGTGCAGTGGCACAATCTGGGCTCACTGCAACCTCCGCCTCCCGGGTTCAAGCGATTCTTGTGCCTCAGCCTCCCGAGTAGCAGGGACTATAGGCACACGCCACCACACTCGTCTAATTTTGTGCATTTTCAGTAGAGACAGGGTTTCACCAAGATGGCCAGGCTGGTCTTGAATTCCTGACCTCAGGTGATCCACCCACCTCGGTCTTCCAAGATGCTGGGATTCCAGGCGTGAGCCACCGCACCGGCCAGAAGTGCCTGCCTTTTGAAGGCCGAATAGTCTTCCACTGTATGAAGGAACTGCAGTGTGCTTTTTCATTCATCTGTCCACGAACCCTTGGGTTGCTTCCACATTTTGGCTGTCGTGAATAATGCTGCTATGAATATGGCTGTACAGATATCTCTTCCACTCCTGGCTTCTAATTCTTTTTGGTAGGTACCCACAAGTGCATCTGTGAGATCATCTGATAATTCTGTTTCTACTTTTTCCAGTACACGCCATACTCTTTTCCCTGTTCCTTCACGATTTTGCATTCCCTCCAGTCATATTCGAGCATTCCTACTTCCCTCTAGTTTCACCAATGCTTGTTTGTTTATCATATCCTTCCTAACTTGTGGTATCACATTCTTGGTTTGATTTGTGCTTCCCTATGATTAGTGATTTTGAACATCATTTTCGATGCTTATTGGCCATTGCTATATCTTCTTTAGGGACACGGCTACTCGAGTCTTCTGACCATGGTTAATGGGATGCTTTGGGTTTCTTGTTGTTTAGCTCTAGCTGTTCTTTACATAGGATGGATATCAGCCTCTTTCCAGATAGATGATTTGCAAATACTTTTCCTAATCCGTGGGTTATCTTTTCAATCAATTCACAGTGTTTTTTGATGCACAAAAGTTCCTGTCATTTAGATGTAATCCAAGGAATCTAATTTTCTCTTGTTGCCTATGCTTTTGGTGTCAGATCCCAGAAAGCATTGCCCAATCTGATGTCATGAAAGTGTGACCAATGTTTTCTTTTAGGCATAGTATACTTTTAGCGCTTGGGATTAGGTCTTTGATCCAGTTTGTGTTAATTTTTGCACCTGGTGTGACATAGGGTCCACCTTCATTCTTCTGCATGTGGAAATCAAGTTTCTCCAACACCATTTCTTGAAAAGGCTGCTTTTCCACCAATGAACTTTCTTAGCACTCAGGTTAAAAGTCATTTGAGCATATAGGTGAGAAGTTATTTCTGGGCTCCAAAACAAGCAAACAACGACAGATGACAGATAAGGATACAGCATGGGCCGGGCACGGTTGCTCATGCCTGTAATCCCAGCACTTTGGGAGGCCGAGGCGGGTGGATCACCTGAGGTCAGGAGTTCAAGACCAGCCTGACCAATAGGGTGAAACCCCCATCTCTACTAGAAATACAACATTAGCTGGGCGTGCTGGGGCATGCCTGTAATCCCAGCTGCTCGGGAGGTGCAGGCAGGAGAATCGCTTGAACCCAGGAGGCAGAGGTTGCGGTGAGCCAAGATTGCACCATTACACTCCAGCCTGGGCAACACGAGTGAAACTCCATCTCAAAAAAAAAAAAAAAAAAGAAAGAAAGCAGCACGATTTCAAGAACAGAAAGAGAATAGCTTACAAACCAGCATAATGAGAAAGTTAGGAAGCTTCTTACCAAAGCATCTGGAAATATGCAAGAAATTCTTGTGAACTAAAATTTTCATACTGTGCTATCAAACACTAGAACTCACTTATTCCATCTTTCTGTATTTTGGGACCCAATTATCCACTTCTCTTCCTTCCCCATCCCACCCGTTTTCTTCCTAGTGAAAAGCCTTTTCAAGTATAAAGGAAAACCACCTTTATACTTTCCGCCTTCTTGAGATTCCTTTTGTGTGTAGGTGTGTGATGGAGTCTCTTTCTGTTGCCCAGGTGGGAGTATACAGGCACAATCCGGGCTCAATGCAACTTCCACCTTCCGAGTTCAAGCACTTCTTGGGCCTCAGCCCTCTGAGTAGCTGAGACTACAGGCACCTGTCACCACGCCGGGTTAATTGTTTGTGTTTTCAGGAGAGACGGGGTTTCACCATGTTGGCCAGGTGGGTCTTGAACTCCTGGCCTCAAGTGATCCGTGTGACTCGGCCTCCCAAAGTGCTGGGATTACAGGCCTGAACCACCACACCTGGCCAAGATTTTCTTGTTTGTTCCTACATATAAGTGAGGACATGAAATATTTGTCATTCTGTGCCTGGCTTGTTTCACTTACAATACACACCTGCAATCTCATCCATTTTGTCTGCAGTGGAGAGGATTTTAATCGTTTTTAGGCTGAATAATACTTCATTGTGTGTGTATACCACAGTTTCTTAATTGAAACCAATTTCTAAAAAGCAAATATTTTTAAAATGTCCCGGAATGTGAAACTTCAGGGATACTGTGCCCATTTTATTCTTTTCTATTTCCCATTTTATGTATATGCAAGTGTAAAACAAAGCAGCAATCAATGTGTGTCTAAATGTATAACTTCGACAAACGTAAAATGAAAATGCTAAGTGGTGGCTGGGCGCGGTCTCTCACGCCTGTAATCCCACCACTTTGGGAGGTGGAAGTGGGCAGATCACCTGAGGTCGGGAGTTCAAGACCAGCCTGACCAATATGGAGAAACACTGTCTCTAGTAAAGATACAAAAAAAAAAAAAAAAATTAGCCGGGCGTGGTAGCCCATGCCTGTAATCCCAGCTACTTGGAAGGCTGACACAGGAGAATCGCTTGAATACGGGAGGCAGAGGTTGCAGTGAGCCGAGATCATGCCATTGCACTCCAGCCTGGGCAACAAGAGTGAAACTCTGCCTCAACACACACAAAAAGAAAAAAGAAAAGAAAAAGAAAAAAATAGGAAATGCTAAACGGTAAGAAAAAACAGCATAATAAACGTTTGTGTAGTGTTGATGGACAATGCATTTGAAAATCATATTTGAAGATATATTACTATTAACTTCTGTTCTTACTCATTGGAGCTTGATTCCTCTAAAAATTTCATCATTGGAACCACCTCTGGTGCTTAAAAACAAAAAACAAACAAAAAAAAAACCCACATACTCACACACGTGCAAGGAAATCAGAATTTCATGTAACGAGACCCAGGCCTCATCGTTTGTAAGCTCCGCAGGTGATTTCACTCAAAGCCAAGATTGAGGACGGGTGACGCGGATCTCTACACACAACCTGCCTAAACAGACTCTCTAGAAGCAGTTTATAAAGAAATTCCACGTGAACTCCGGGAGAGGATATGAATTTGATGTACAGTATGTCCTCACTTAACATCTTTGAAAGTCTCTTGGAAACTTGACCTTTCAGCAAAATTCTGTATACTGAAACGTTTTTAGCAGGTGACTTGATTTGATTTACATTTTTCAGACATGTAGCTTCACTATCATGGTTATGGTGGTCCGTGTGTTACTAACATTGCTGAAACCACCATGCCAGAATTACCCTCCCATTTGTGGGTTAAAACACTGTGCCCATCTCTCCCTCCCCAGAGTCCTCTTGGTGGCTACTCTTAGGAGGAACTAACATCGCCTACATTCCCCCATCACACCCAGCACAAGTGCCCTCCCAGCCAGCTTCCCCAGCCTCCCCCACCCAACTCAGTCCCACTCACACCCAGCATGCCAGGGACTCTCCCATCAGGGGAACACCCTGTAACCCCCAAGTTCCTCCAAAGCCTCTTGAGAGGGACCAGAGTGCCCTGCAGGGAGTGGGTCCTGGTGGGTCCGGTGGAGGGAACGTCCTTGCTGGAACTGGCTGGGTCTTAGCCGGGAAGTGGTGACAGGTATCTCTCACATACGCTACGGGAACCCAGCGCAGCCAATGGAGTCCAATCAGCACACCTTGCGCCCACCCATTCGTTTGGTACCTTGAGGCCACTGCCCACCCTCCAGGTACCCCGGTCTCAAGCTTGCCCTGAAGTTCAGGGAAAGGCGCTGGCGCCCCCTGCTGGTTGCGCTCTCCCATAGCAGGGCTCACATTTTTGGAGAAAGAAACCAGCTGTTAGCAGCTTTCACTCTTCACCATGTTAAGCAAAGTGCAGCATTTTATAACTGGATGAAAAGCCAGATATTCTGTCAGCTGACTAGATTGTTCTGTACGCATATCCCTGAGCTATTGTTTGAAGGATATTTTTACTGAGTTGACTTTCTTCATAAGATGATATGACTAATGAAAAGAAAAGGCAATGGAGTTTTTAAAACCGGCATGAGGAACCAAATGCTGCCACTGACTAGCTATGTACATGTGATCCAAAGGTTCCCTCTGTTCAAACAAAATAACAGTGCTTACCTAACCAGGTCATCTGTGAGCTGGGACTTCACAGGCAGGCGTGGAGGGAGATGGATGCGAGAAGGGCTTCGTTAGCTGAGAGGGTCGTGCAACTGGAAGGTAATAGCAAGCATTTTCCAGTTGGAACTTTTGGCCGACATTTGTGGTGGGGAGACAAACAGGTCTAATTTGCCTCCCGCGCATGGGCAGGTAGGAAGATGCTGGTGGGTTTGGTTCGACAGTCTTGTGGAAGGGGTGCTTTTTTAATGCACACTCAGGCACCATGGGAGCCTGTTGTCACCCTGGATATCTGGCTCCGTGCCCGTGCCCTTCCACCCTGCCTCGACAAGAGTCATGGCACCCAAAATAAATGAGTTCAAATCTGAGTTTCACAGGCTCAGGGAAGAACCCAAGCTACCAAATGCACAGGCCCCTCCTGTATACGGTTACAGCAGGTAAGGGAATAACTTACTCAGTGCAAGCTGCTACAATAAAACAGCACAAGCTGAGTGGCTAATCAACAACAGGCATTTATTTCTCACAGGTCTGGAGGCTGGAAGCCCAAGATCAGGGTGCCAGTGCTGGCATGGTCGGGTTCTGGTGAGGGCCCTCTTCCGGGTCACAGACAGCTGTCTTCTCATTGCATCCTCATATGACAGAAAAGAAGTGCACAAGCTCTCTGGCCCCCTCTTACAGGTGCTAATCCCATTCACAAGGGTCCTACCATCATGACCTCATTACCTCCCAAAGACCCCACCTCCAAATACCACCACATTGCCATTAAGCTTCAATATATGAATTTAAGGGGGAAACAAACATCCAGTCCATTGCAGGTTGTCCTGATAATATGTGTGCCCGGGGCATTGTCCCCACAGCAAATAGCGACATTGGAAGGCAAACCAATGTCAGGTTTCCTAATGTGCACAGAGGCGTCCGTGGAAGAGTGAGTCCGGTGATCTTACCAGCTAATTGCATTGAGCTACCCCACCTTGGGGATTTACCTGCCAAGGAGAACAGAACACCACTGGCTTTGACACCCATCTCTCAACAATGATGGATGAATGCTGGAAATTTACCTGCTTGGGTAGCTGTGTCTAAGTTCATCTTCCTTGTATGGACTTTCTTTTTTTCTTGCTCTCAAATACTTGTATTATGAAATATCTCATTTAAAGTTTCTTTAAAATACATTAAAAGTATATTTAAAGAGTACGTTTTAAGAGTGCAGAGAAAACATAATGAATACCTCTTTGCTTAAGAAAAAGTATTTCAGACACAGCATGAAATCAGTTGCTGGTTCCAAGCCCCTCCCCTTCTCACTACGCTGAACTTGGCGTGCATTCTTTCTTCAGGTGTGTTTGTAATCTTACTGCATATGGACATATCCCCCAGCAATATCAGGGATTGTTTTGCTTGTTCCTAGACATCATATTAATGGTATCATACCAATTATATGCCTGCGCTACTTAATGTTTCATTCAACATTGTTTTGGGGGACTATCCATGTTGATACCTGAATTCTCTTGTGTTCATTTTTTCCTTTTGTGAAATAGTCCATCATGGAAATAGTCCCTGGTGTGCCTATCTGCACTCCTAATTGACAGGCATTTAGGCTGTTTTCCATTTTCCTAATTACAAGTGATGCTGAGTGCACATTCCTGAACACAGGTGTGAGGCTGTCTCTGGAGCACATGCCAAGGAACAGAATTCTTAGCTCATAAGGAATGTGTACCTCCAGCCTTAGTCAATATTGCCAATTGCTGTCCAATCTGATTTTATTCATTTACGCTCCCACTAGCAGTATATATGGGTCTTTCTTTCACTTCTTGCCAACTCTTGCCAGTCTAATGAATGGGAAGTAGTAACTCATTATTATTTCAATTTGTATTCCGTGTATTAATCCCTGAGACCTTAACACTTGTGTATTGCACATTCTGGTTCCTCTTTGGCAAATTGCCTTGGCATTAAGATAGTAAATTTTCCTTGCCACCTAGGCTGGTTGAATCAGGATGCTTAATTACTTAGAGGTAAAAAGCACCTGGCTGAAATAGCCATCCCTGAGGCTGCCTGTTGAGGATAAGAGATGCTTCATCCATCTTTAGATCCTTTCTTGGAAACGCTGAGCGCAGCCAGCCATGCAGGCTTTTCCAAGCTCTGATGCTGCCATGTGTCCACAATAGCATCCCCACAACCTGGATCCATCATTCCCAGCATAATGATGGCTCCTTTTCTTCTCCTTGGCAGAGCCCAAAACCCAAAGCTGAGGCCTCAGGGCTGTTCTAATGTGCTTAGAATGGGGGTAAAGGTAATGCCAACCAAAATGAGGAAACCGGTATTCCCACTCAGTCACTGCTGAGTCAGCGTAAATCACTCCAGAGGACAGTTTGTCACTGACCTCAAAGACTCAATTACAAAGATGATCACCATAGCATTGTTTACAGTAGCACCAAAAAAAAGGAACCACCTAAATATCTCTAAATGTCCAACATCACGGTTTGAAAAAATAAGGAATGGTACATCCTTCCATGGAGTGTACTTTAAAGCCACCCAAAATCATACTGCACATGGATATACAATGTCAAGGAAACTTGCTCAGGAGTCCTAGCTTGTGGTCCATGGACTCCCAAGGAGATGCTTCTCAAAGGGAATTGGCATCCCCTGAGATACTCATGAAAGTGCAGACTTCCGGGCCCCCCTCCAGACTGAATCTGAACTTCCATATTGGAGGGCAGGAATCCTACCAAGTTCCCCAGATGAGTCTCAGGCACACTAAAGCCAGAGCGTCGATGCCTGGGACCCAAAACAGGGAAGAAGCACTCTGGTGTATCAAGAGGAAAAAAGCAAGTTACATACAAACGCAGTATATATAAAAACCACCCCCTTCATGTGGGTGTGGGTGTATGCATACTTTTGAAAAAAAAAAAAATTATCAGCTGGTTGCAGTGGCTCACGTCTGTAATCCCAGCACTTTGGGAGGCCAAGGTGGGTGGATCACCTGAGGTCAGGAGTTCGAGGCCAGCCTGGCCAACATGGTAAAACCCTGTCTGTACTAAAAATACAAAAATTAGCTGGGCGTGGTGGTAGGCATCTGTAATCCCAGTTACTTCGGAGGCTGAGGCAGGAGAGTCGCTTGAACCCAGGAGGCGGTGGTTACAGTGAACCAAGGTCATGCCATTGCACTCCAGCCTGGGCAACAAGAGTGAAAGTCCGTCTCAAAAAAATAAAAATAAATATATATATATAATTTTTTTTAATTTTTATTTTTTAGAGACAGGGTCCTGCTGTGTCACCCAAGCTAGAATGCAGTGGCACGATCTTGGCTCACTACCCAATCTCAAACTCCTGGGCTCAAGTGATCCTCTCCACTCAGCCTCATGAGTAGCTGGGACTACAGGCATACTCCACCGCAAATGGGTTTTTTGTTTTGTTTTGTTTTGTTTTTTGTACAGACAGGGTCTCACTATGTTTGTGTTCCCTGGCTGGTCTTAAACTCTTGGCCTCAAGCGATCCTTCCGCGTCAGCCTCCCAAAGTATTGGGATTACAGGTGTGAGCCACCACGCCCAGCCTGTGTGCATGTACTAATACTTAACAGCAGTTACCTCTAGATTACCTCAGCACCATTGACAATCAGCCCAAAGACTCTTTGTGGTGGGGCTGTCCTGTATGTTGTAGGGTGTTAGCCGTATCCATGGGTGCAGTAGTGTAACAATCAAAAATGTGTTTGGTAGCACGAAAGCGCAACTATAGTTAACAATAATTTATTGTATATTTTAGAGTAACAAACATAGTGAAATTACGTTGTTCCTAACACAAAAAAAGATATATACTTTAGGGTATGAATATCTCAGTCACCCTGATTTGATTATTACTTATTATATGTTTATATCAAAATATCACATGTACCCTGTAAGTATGTACAAATATTATGCATAATTTAGATTTATTTTAATTTTAATAAAAAATAAATATTAAAAAATGTCCTCAGATATTGCTAAATGTCCCCTCAAGGAACAAGGTCCCCAGGTGGAGAACCGATTCTCTAGATGGGACATGTATAGATGATGTTTTCCTTTGTTTTTTAGTATATATGCCTATTTTTTAGTTTTTTCTAAAATAAGTGTACTTTAGTCATATTAAAAAAAACTTTGTATTTATTACTGTCCCATTGCCTGCACTGTCTGAAAAAAATACACTCAAATGAAAACATATTCACTTTAATACTTACAGTAAGAAAATTAATTTTATTATTATTTTAAAATAGCTATGGAAAAACTATACAAAGTCCTCCCAAATGTCAATATTCCTTAGGCACCTTTGAAATATTTATAATCTTAATCTTTGGGCTAGGCATCCTAATTGTAATTTCATATCTTAAAGAAGCAATTCTAAATATAGGAAATGCTTCACAAATATGGTTGATTTTTCAGAGTTACTTATAAAAGCAAAAAGTTATAAACACTGTAAAACCAACCATAGGAAACTATGTTAATTAAGGTACATTCACTTGATAGACTATCATACAGCATTAAAATGATATTTATAAAGAATTTATAACAATATGGGGGCAAGGTTTATGCCATATTGTTAAGTGGGAAAATAACTGAATACAAAATCAAATATGTTACATCATCATTCAAAGGTATAATAATGACAATAAAAAGAATCTCATCAACATGGTTGGAAGAAATACACCAAGATATTAAAAGTAATTGTTAATTGAACAATGGCATCATAGGTGACTTTTTCTCTCTACTTTTCTGAAATATCCAAATTTTTTACAATAAACATGTAAGTGTTTACAGTGAAAGAGAGAATAGTGAAATTTCCTTTTAAAAATACTTGAAAATGATCACAAAAATGTGTCAACATTTCAGGTAAGAAATATGTTTTTATATTGGTCTGTACACAAATTTCTATCCAGATGATAAAAATAACTTCAAGAAATTAAACCTATTCAGAAACAATATAAACTCATTGTGATTGTGTCTAAATTCATAGGCTTTGAGAAGGATAAATTTTTAAAGTGTAAATTACTATGCAGGTGGTCAGGAAAAGGTTGTATGGAGTCACATGATAAATGACACAAAGAAAATGCTTTTTATGAAAAACAAACTGGATAGATTTTTTCCCAAGCCAGAATCACATTCTTCTAAATCATTTAGAAGGAAATAAAATAATTTGGGCTTGATTAGCATTTAACTAACCAAGGACAGATTCCAGCCACCTCATGGATTTTGATCTAACTTGTTTACATTCATCAGGGGTGATGGGCAGTTCCAGCCCACAGGAAGCACAATCTTTGCAGACAAAAGGTGGCCCTTCTCATATTTGTCAGGCAATATTTGCCCAACCTGGCCACTCCTAGTTGGCTCCAATGAACTCTTGTTAGCTCACTCCTAGGTCTCTTGTGGACCCAGACTATATCTTACAATAGACCTCAAAGAGGGAGGCAGCTGCGTGCATTCGATAGAAAATAGAAAAAGGCATGGCCAGGTTGACCACAATTATCCAGGGTTCAAAGCCAAAGACAATCTCCTCCAATCCATTGTCATACTCAGGTCGACAGCCAAAGGCGGGAGGTATCCAAAGCTGCAAGAGAAGAGAAAATGGCATGTGGTGGGGAGCAGCTTCCAAGCCACCACGGAGGCCCCACTCAAGTCCCAGGCCTCATGGGAGCTGAACCTAATGCACAGGGACTGAGTCACCCCTGACAGAACAATAAGGAGACCTCATGGCATTTCCCATCTCCACAGAAACCACCAAATCCATGTCTGCCATGATCCTGCTCACTTCCTCAACCACCCTTCCCTGCAATCCATCCTGAATGAGCACTTTCTGAACCCATCCAACTCTTTCCATCCCTACAGCCCTCGCCCAGCCTCGGTTTCCTCATTTGAAAGATGGGAATTCTAACACGTGTCTGAGAGGGCTTAGATGAGAATTAAGTTTGCAAAACTGAAAGCAATGACTTTTGTTTGTGTTGTTCACGGAACCTACACACTGTTCCCTGCTTCTCAGACTCTTTTGTGTCCCAGTTCTCTCCCCCTGTGCCACCTCTTGAGTTGTCAGGCTCCTCACTCCCGCTTCCGGCTGTAGCCTTCTTCAGCTTCCTCCACTCCCTGGCTGTGGCAGGCAGCCTCTAGGATGACCCTCACTGATCCCCAGCTCCTGCAGTCACCCCCTTGTGGAGTCCCCACCCCTTGAGTGTGGGATGCACCTAACGACTCACTTCCAACTCACAAAATTTGGCAAAAGACACAGGAAGTCACTTCTGAAATTAGGTTGCAAAAGGACCTGCTATCCCTCTTGCTCATCTTCTCCTGTAAGACAGGTGGCAGAGCTGCCATGCTGTGAAGCACCCTATGCGGCAAGGGGCCCAGGGAGTACTCCCGTCAACAGCCAGCAAGGAACTCAGACCCTCAGTCCAACAAGCCACAGCTGAATCCTGCCAACAGTCACATGAGTAGATTTGGAAACAAATCCTCTGCCACCTCTCGCAAAGTCAAGCCTTGAAATGAATGCAGCCCCAGCCAACAGTTTCAGCCTGGGAATGGCCCTGTGCAGAGACTCTCAGCTAAAACTGTAGTTGGATTCATAAGTCAGAGAAACTATGAAATCATAAATGTACTTTGTTTTAAGTTGCTGAGTATTGGGGTGGTCTCTTCCATAGCAATAAGTAACTGAGACACATAGCCTTCATTAGTATCCCATACAGAACACTCCCTGGTATATACAGCCGACCTCTGTATCCAGGGACCTGCGGCTGTGGATTGAACCAAGCACAGATCAAAAGTATTCAAAAAGTAGGCTGGGCACAGTGGCTCACACCTATAATCCCAGAACTTTGGGAGGCCAAGGCAGGTGGATCACCTGAGGTCAGGAGTTCAAGACCAGCCTGGCCAACATGGTGAAACCCCATCTCTACTAAAAATACAAAAAATTAGCCAGGTATGGCGGCATGTGCCTGTAATCCCAGCTACTCAGGGGGCTGAGGCAGGAGAATCCCTTGAACCCGGGAGGCGAAGCTTGCAGTAAGCCAAGATCATGCCACTGCACTCCAGCCTGGGCAAACAGTGAGGCTCTGTCTCAAAAAATAAAAATAAATAAATTCAAAAAATAAAATGGTTGGTTGTGTCTGTAGTGAATATGTACAAACTTTCTTCTTGTCATTATTCTCTAAACAATACAGTATAACAACTATTTACATAGCATTTAAATTGTATTAGGTATTCTAAGTAATCTAGAGATGTCTTAAAGTGTATGGGAGGATGGGTAGGTTACATGCAAATATTACCCCATTTTATATAGAGGACTTGAGCATCTGTGCATTTGGTATCCACCACGGGGACCCTGGAACCAAGACCCCTCTCTTTTACTTTGCTTACTGGCTGCTGTGACCCTTAGGGGCTCTCCTACCTGTTTGGCGGGTCCCTCCCAGTCTCCTTTGCCATTTCATCCTTTGCTGTGCCTCTTAATGTTGGCCAGCGTCCAGGGATCTTTCCTGGGTCCCTTTCTATTCTCTCTACACATGAGCCCTGGGGCTCTCTCCCAGTCCCTGGTTGTAAATGCCAGCTATAGGCCTATGACTTCCCAGTCTCAATCTCCAGCCTGGACCACATCCAAGAACCCCAGGCTCATAGTTTCCGGTGGCAACTTGAGTGTCTAAAACACACCTCAAACTCAACCCACCTTCCCCATTTCTCTATCTGCTCAGCTACGTCGTCCTCCCAGGTGGTCCATCGAGGCTCCAGGTGTCATCCTTATCTCCCTCCTACTCTCATAACCATGCCCCCTCCCATCCAGTCCATCAGCGCATCTCCACTCTGTGCCTCCAAAGCAGTATCTTCAGCCCACCTGTGGCTCTCTCTCTCCACCTGTCCATCCAGACTTTCTCACCTGGACCATGGCGGTGGCCCCCTGCCTGGTCTCCCAGCTCGCACTAGGGCTCTACTCGGCCACCAGATTTACATTTCATGGAAATCAGATCCTGTCCCTACCTTGATCAAACCCCCAAAGTCTTCCCAAAATATTTAAAGTAAAATCTACACTCCCGCATGGGGTGATAAAGCGCTCTGTTAGCTGATTTCTAACCACCCACGCTTCTCCCCACTCACCCCACCCACATGGCACGCAGCCCTTCTTCCTGTTTCTCAAACCAGAACCGCTCACTCCCACCGGGGGTTTTATACCAGCCATTGTTCCCTCTGCCCTGAACATGCGTGGCCAGCCCCTCCTTGTCTCACCTCACCCTTCAGCGAGGCCTTCTCACTAAGCTGGTCCCTCTGATCTACAATGGCTGCCCAAGAGCTATTTCCCACATCCTCCTTTTCCACTTCTCTGCTTAACACAGGTACACTATAAGGTGTCTTTCTTGCTCAGCTGATGGTTTTGCCTGCTGTTGCCTGGTTTGTAAGCCCCATAAGAGGAAGACCAGAGATCTTGGTCATTGCTGTACCCTCAACATGCATAGCAGTCCCTGAACCTCTGTAGGTACTCAAGGAACACCTTCTAAAAGAAGGGAGAGAGGAAGGGAGAGGGAGACAGGGAGGAAAAATGAGAAGAAAGGAAGGCAGGAAAATGGGACCTCTTTTCTGAAATCCACATCTTTATGTCTGCTGTTCAGTTGGCTATAAATTCTTGTTACTTATCCTATTGAGAAGTGGCCTATGAACTCTTTCCTTGAATCTAGATGGACTCTGTGACTACATGACTAATAAAATATGGCAGAAATGACACCATGCAGTTTCCAAGCCCAGGCCTTAGGAGACAGGCAGCTTCCAGTTCAATCTTTTGGAGGGTTGGCTCTGGGGCCCTGAACCACCAAGTACGGAGTCCGACCACCCTGAGACGTCATGCTGGAGACCCACCTGTGGGTGCCTCAGTCAAGAGTCCCGGCTGAGCCCAGCCTCCCAGCCACCCCCACCCAAGGCACCAGACCACGGAACTTCTGCCCAAGGCTTCACCAACTTCACCTGATGCTGTGAGGAACAGAACTGCCTATCCAAGCCCTGCCAGAATTTCTAACCCACAAAGCCATGAGTCACAATAAATCCCATGAGACAAAAACAGTCATGCATGTTGCTTTTGTCATACATTTGGGGTAGTTCATTGCATGGCAATAGAAAACCAAAATATCTGCCTACTGGGTTCATCCATTTGGATGCCACAGAGGCACCTGAAACAGAACACGTCCATTACTTAACTCTGGTCCTTCCTTCCACACTGACCTCCACCCACTGCTCCCAAGGTTGCCCCTCCTCCAGGGTCCTCCATCTCCAACATAGTATCACCATCTCCCCAGGAACTCAAGTGTGAAGGCAGGGGTCACACTTGGCACCTGTCACCCTTCGCGAGTTGCAACCTGGAGACCCTGGAGGGTGTTATGATGAGTGAAATAACCCAGTCACAAAAGGACTAATACTCCACAAATTCACTTATATGAGGAGTCTAGGAGTCAAATTCCTAGAGACTGAAAGAACGGTGGTTGTCAGGGGCTGGGGAGAATGGGGAGTTCATATTTAATGAGGGCAGGGTTTCAGTTTTGCCAGACGAGAATAACCTGGAAATGGATGGTGTGATGTTTGCACAATGTGAACGTACTTTACTTCACCACACACTTGAAAGTGGGTGCAATGGGAAAGTTTATGTGATGTGTTTTTTGCCACAATTAAAAATATAATAAAATAAGCATGTGTCAGATCCCGTCACTCTCAGTGTAGACCCTTCCATGGTTTTCTCTTGCGTTTAGGATAGAGTCTTGGCTCGCAGGCCCTGTGTGGTCTCCCCTCTGCCCTCTGCTCTGTGCTCCCAGGTCATATCCAGTGAGCCCTGCCTTGCCTTGCATCCATCCCTTCCCCACACCTGCAGCTCTGCCCTAATAGTCTCTCATCCCAGCCCCATCTACACCATTCCTTAGAAGAGGACTTCCCTGACCCATCTCCCACAGCACCCTGCCCTTCCCCATCACCACACCCACCGTCTGTTGTCTCCAGTGCCACAGCTCCTGGAAATTCAACTAACATTTCCATGTCCGTCTCTGAAGTGGAGCCCACCCCACCTGGACATGCACATCAGCACCTGCAGCTGGGGCCTCTGGACTGGCTCCCGATGCTGGAGAAGACAGCTCTTGCTCTCTGCCAGATGCCTTTGGCACCACCTGGGGTCAACCACAAGGTTTCAAAGTGCCACCCCATGAGCCAGCACGGGTATCCTAAGACTCCACCCTGCAATGATTTCCATCCTCTGCTTCAATCCCCCAGAACCCAACCAGTGCCTGGGGGCATCATAGACCAAGCACAGGGAGGAAGAGATGAAGCCCACCCTTCTCCTTGGACTGGGCCCTGGGTCTGGCTTTCGGGTCCTGACAGACCATCAGTTGCCACTTGATTCTGGTATTTCGGACAGTGCTATCTTTCTTCAAGTGGGTCCAAAAATTCAAGCCAAGTATTTCACCCAGTGGTCAACCAAAAAGGCAACCAGGGAAAAACAACTTTTCAGAACTTAGTTTTAAAAAATATATTAGGCCAGGAGCGGTGGCTCACACCCGTAATCCCAGCACTTTGGGAGGCCTAGGCAGGCAGCTCACCTGAGGTTAGGAGTTCGAGACCACCCTGACCAACCTAGTGAAACCCTGTCTCTACTAAAAATAGAAAAATTAGCTGGGCATGGTGGTTGCATGCCTGTAGTCCCACCTCCTCGGGATGCTGAGGCAGGAGAATCACTTGAACCTGGGAGGCGGAGGTTGCAATGAGCCAAGATCATGCCATTGCACTACAGCCTGGGCAACAGAGCAAGACTCCATCTCAAAATATATGTATATTAATATTAATCACAGGATATGTACAAAAAGCATATGCTTGAGGAAGATTCTAGAACTAGCTCTGACTATAAGAATTTGTGTTTTGGAACATGCACCTCAAAAAAATGCAGCCGAATAGTATCTATCTCTCTTGTTAACTCTTTCAATTCTTGGTTCACTGCTGTGCCCCTGACATAGCCCCTGGCATACAGCAGTTTCCTGGCAAATGTCTGTTAGATGGAGAAGAGGGTCTGCCTGCAGCCAAACTCTTCTGGGCCTTCCGCCTTCAGCGCCCCTCCTCACTGCCTAGCAAACTGAAGGAAGCCGGGTGATCCAAGGTTAGAGTGGACCAGGTTTGCTTGGCAGACACACAGCCATTCTGATTTCAGAAGGGACCTTCCCAACTTTGCGTTCTTAGGGTGATATCAAAAGCTGCAGGCCCTGTATGCACCATCTGAAATTCAGGGGAGGAAGCCCAAAAGCCTCTGAGCTGCTAGGGCAACAGAGAGCAGGCTTGATAACGGAGGCTGGTAGCAAAGAGCTGACTTCACCCAGAGTGATGGGCAGGCACCTCTGTGGACTGGGGCACTCCCCTCCAGCCACCAGTCACCATCACTGCAGAGACTCATGCGGTGGCAAAGGCTGCTTCCCCCTCCTCACCAACCCCCACCATCCTTCCTTTATGTGTCTTTAAAAAAATCCCAACTGCACACAATGCTTCTTATTCCTTTTTCTTCTCTCCATCCCTCCATCACTGCCCTGGTTCAAGCTCCTCCCCTTCCTGCCTGCTCTGTTGCAGGGCTTTCTCTCCCAGTCTTTCTGCTTCTGGCCCTATCTGTCTCCATCCTTGCTACATACAGCTACTGGGAGGATCATTCCAAAACACAAATCTGAGAGAGTCCTCCCTTGCCCTCAACATAAAGACTAGACTCTAGCCAGGCCTAGGAAGCCCTGCTCAAGCCAGAGTCCACCTAGCTGGGCCCTCTCTCCTATTTCCCATTCTGCTACTCTGCTTAACACATGTGGAATTTATGCCAAACTACTTGGTGCTCCCAAAACATGCCATGGTGTCTTTTGCCTCTGTGTCTTCACATATTGTGTACCTCTGCCTGAAATGCTTCTCCCTGCCTTGATAACCTGGTGAACTTCCAGTCATTCCTTGCTGATGCGGACAGATAGGTGAGTGACTGTACACCTTCCTCTCCCTTGCCACCTTCCATCAGAGAGGCTGGAAAGCAAACCATCCACTTCCCCAGCCTCCCTTGCAGTGAGGGGTGCCCATGTGAGAGACACTGCCTGGCACCAGCCCTTCCCCACTGCTTTCTGTCTTGAACCCAGATGTGATGCCTGGTGCAGCTGCAGCCATCTCATGACCATGCGGCAACAAGCACCACACCACCCAAGTGACAAGATGAACAGTGCCTGGATGCCTGGTGACACGGTTCAGCTGCCAGGCCAACCCCAAGAAGCCAACCTCTGGGATTCTCATGAGATAATTAAACATTGTTAAGACTGAAGACACTGCGAATCAAATTGCCTATCACTTGCAACCAAAAGCACTCCTGATTGACAGTGGGCCTCACGTCAAGCACCCACTACTCACTGAAGTCCTTCTGGATCCCTGCTCCTAGTACACCTTGCACAAACCCATCTCAGCACTTGTCCTGCTCACTGTATTAGATTTTCTCATTGTCTCCCTCCCCCATTATACTGAGACCTTTTAGAGGAAAGAGACTGAGTCTTTCCACTTTAATCTTTAGTACCCTGCCCAGCCCCTAGCACACAGCAAGTCTTCAGTAGGTAGATTTGTAGAATACAGGTCTATTTTCCAGCCTTATATTGTAATTTTGTACTTACAGTATTTTTATTACAAGCTGCCTCCATTCCTTATTTTAAAAAGGCAAGAGAAACCTAGATGTCCATCAATAATGGACTGGATAAAGAAAATGTATTATGGACGGTACAGTGGTTCACATCTGTAATCCCAGCACTTTGGGAGGCTGAGGCAGGAGGATTGTTTGAGCCCAGGAGTTCAAGACAAGCCTGGGCAGCACAGTGAGAACCTATCTCTACAAAAAAAAAGTTTTGGCCAGGCGTGGGAGCTCACACCTGTAATCCTAGCATTTTGGGAGGCCAAGGTAGGTGGATCACTTGAGGTCAGGAGTTCGAAACCAGCCTGGCCAACATGGTGAAACCCCCATCTCTACTAAAAATATTTTCAAAAATTAGCCAAGTGTGGTGGCAGGTGCCTGTAATCCCAGCTACTCTGGAGGCTGAGGCAGGAGAATCACTTCAACTCGGGAGGCAGAGGTTGCAGTGAGCCAAGATCGCACCATTGCACTGTAGCCTAGGCAACAAGAGTGAAACTCTGTCTCAAAAAAAGAGAGTTTTTTAAATTAGCCAGGTGTGGTGGCACATGCCTGTGGTCCCAGGTACTCAGGAGGCTGAGATGGGAGGATTGCTTGAGCCCAGGAGGTCGAAGCTGCAGTGAGCTGTGATCATGCCACTGCACTCCAGCCTGGGCAACAGGGCGCGACCCTGTCTCAAAAAATAAATAAATAGAAAATGTGTAGCTCTACACCGTGGAATATTATGCAGCCTTAAAAAAGAATGAAATCACACTATTTGCAGCAACCTGGATAGAACTGGAGGCCTTATCCTAAGTGAATTAACACACGAACAGAAAACCAAATACCACATGTCCTCTCTTATAAGTGGGAGCTTAACATTGGGTACTCATGAACACAAATATATGAACAGACACTACCAGGGACTACTAGGGGGAGAGGCCGGAAGCGGGGTGCAGGGTGAAAAACTACCTATCGGGCACTATGCTCATTACCTGGGTGATGGGATCATTTGTGCACCAAACCTCAGCAACACGCAATTTACCCATTTAACAAATCTGCATGTGTACCCCTTGAACCGAAAATGAAAGTTTAAAGTAAAATTAAAAGAATAAGAATAACTTGGTGCAGATTACCGAAATATTGCAGAGGAACAAGAAGGCTGCAATATTCCTCAGGACTTTTCTCTTGGCGTTGCCCTGTAAGAAACGGGGAAGGCGGACTGGGCTTGGGCTCCCTCCCCAGCTGCTCTCCTCCTGCTTCTCCTCCTCCTTGTCATGGCTTTCTCTCATGCACACATTTCCATTGGCTGCTGGTGGCATGTCCTTGCCCTGGGGAGCCACATCTCTGGCCACACCTCCACTCTTGGGGCAGGAAGAAGCAAGGGGCATGGTGTTGCCATTGCAGACTGTGACCACCCGAAGGGTTTGGATGTCCTCAGAGAGTTTTTCAGGCTCTCGGTGAATGGATTCAAAGATGAAGAGGTTCTGGATGTACTTCTCCACGATCGCCAGGATGGAGTAGGGCAGGTTGTACCAGGTGTAGCGGGGGTGGCCCTCAGCACAGAGGATGGCCAAGATTGAGCCCCAGGAGATAAGCCAGGAGCCCGAGGCAGTGCCCACCAAGAGGTCCGAGTCCAGTTTGCGGGCCGGATTTTTGGACTCATCCAGTGACTTCTCGTCTATCCTGTAAATCCGGATTCCAGCCAGCCCCGCAGCCCCCATAAGCATCAGCAGGGTGATGGCATACAGGTAGAACATGATGAGTGCCGACTCGCTCTTGGTCTTGGAGCGCCCAATATGAATCAGGTATACCACCACCACAGCAATGGTGGCGGCCAGCACGGTCAGGCCCAGGACTGCGCCCACCATGACCCCATCAGACTTGAACTGCATCTTCTGGTGCTGATGGCTGTCAACTTTGCGCCCGATGTTCTTCCACAGGACGTAGAGCATTGTGGAGGCCAGGATCTGATACTCTATGTTGAAGGGGTAGAGGTAGTAGATCCCGTGGGAGATGGCAGTGCACAGAGTTGGGGGCGTGCAGTTACACTGCGGTGTGTGGTCATCTAAAACTAGGGGAGACAGGTAGATCACACAGGAGGGCGATTAGCAGGTGCAAGGGGGAACAGAAAAGCACAGAAAACTGTTTCCACCGTGGATTCAGGCTTGGGTCTTCCCACTGGATTATGAGCTTTATCATGTCATAGCTTATTATCACGTTTAATATCATGGCTAAGTTGATAGCCCTGAGTATCCCCAAAGCATATTCATTACCTAAATCACATTCATTTGGTGAGTTGCCAAAGAGGATAGAGAAGATGACTCTATTGTTGTAAAAAATAGATATGTAGATGATAGATAGATAGATGGATACACACACACACAGACAGACGGAAAAAATCTGGAAGGACACAAACTAAAATGTCAACAATGGTTATCTCTGGGTGAAAAAATGACAGATGATTTTTGATCTCTTCTAGATTTTGCTTCCCTGTATTTTCTAAGTTTTCTCTGTGAAGATGATTTACATGTGTGATTTTTCAACATTATTTTGAAAAAATACTTTCTGGAGAAAATGCCCCTTTTAATTAGCAAAAGATGTGCCTCTTAAGACTCCAGTGCAAGCAGGCATGCAGGAGACAGGCGCCGTCCGATATCGGTGCGGGGAAAGTAAACGGGTACCACCTTCTGGAAGAGAAGCTGGCTGCGGTATGGAGGGCCTTCTCATCACAGGAGGGCAGATGCTGTAAGTAAATGATGAAACAGGTCACCAAAGCCCTAAAGGCGATGCAGTCTCTGACCCATAATTCTGTTCTTTCCATTCTACCCTTCTACTCAAAGGGACAAATAAAAAAATGTAATCAAAGAGTCAGGTAAGGCCAGGAGCGGTGACTCAGCCCTGTAATCCCAGCACTTTGGGAGGCCAAAGCAGGTGGATCACTTGAGGTCAGGAGTTCGAGACCAGCCTGGCCAACATGGCGAAACCTCGTCTCTATTAAAACTACAAAAATTAGCCAGGTGTGGTGGCAAGCCTGTAATACCAGCTGCTTGGGAGGCTGAGGCAGGAGAATCACTTGAACCTAGGAGGCAGAGGTTGCAGTGAGCTGAGATCGTGCCACTGCACTCCAGCCTAGGCGACAGAGCGAGACTCAGTCTCAAAATATAATTTAAAAAAAACTCAGGTAAAATTGTGTGTGTGTGTGAGAGAGAGAGAGAGAGAGAGAGAGAGAGAGAGAGAGAGAGAGGAACAGCTCAATGTCCAACAATTTAGAAATTGTTAAGTAAATTTTAGTGTATCACAACAATGAGATACTAAACAGCCACTGCACATTATAATTAAGATGTGCTTTATGGTTTGGGGTATTTTGGGGGTTTTTTTGTTTTGTGTTTTGTTTGTTTTGAGACAGAGCCTCCTTCTGTTGCCCAGGTTGGAGTGCTGTGGCAAAATCTTGGCTCACTGCAACCTCAGACTTCTGTGCTCAAGCATCCTCCTACTTCAGCCTGCTGAGTAGCTGGGACCACAGGCCCGTGCCACCACGCCCGGCTAATTTTTACATTTTTTGTAGAGACAGGGTTCCGCCACGTTGGCTAGGCTGGTCTTGAACTCCTGAGCTCATGAGATCCGCCTGCCTCCGCCTCCCAAAGTTCTGGGATTAAAAGCATGAGCCACCGCACCCGGCCAGGATGTGTTTTAATATTAAGAAAGTAATCTCGTTTCAAGGAAAATGGAAAAAAGTAAGAACAAACTGTGTATCTATTTTTTAATGCAAGTCACGACCCAGTACCAGGCTGTAAAATCAGGTAGCGACCAACTTTTTTGTAGCAGAAATAATTTTCAGTGGACTAGAATAGGACAGAATGGAGTGGAGTCAACTACAATAAAATTTGGAAGCGTCTCTGATATAGTAAAACTAAGTATTATTTCATCAAGCATACACACATAGGTACATGCGTGTTTGGATTACAATGTAAAATCTGTCTCTTGTCGAAGG